>NC_000010.11:103021883-103324913 GCF_000001405.40 Homo sapiens | reverse complement strand
ATCCGCCTACCTCGGCCTCCCAATGTGCTGGGATTACAGGCGTGAGCCACCATGCCCAGCTGACCCTATTAGTTTTTTTTATGGATTAAAAGAGATCTCCTGTTCTAGCTATGTAATATTTTCTTTTTTTTTTTTTTTGGTTTTTTTTTTTTTTGAGGCGGAGTCTCACTCCGTTGCCCAGGCTGGAGTGCAGTGGGGCGGTCCCGGCTCACTGCAACCTCCGCCTCCCGGGTTCAAGTGATTCTCCTGCCTCAGGCTCCTGAGTAGCTGGGATTACAGGCCTGTGCCACCACACCTGGCTAATTTTTGTATTTTTAGTAGAGACGGGGTTTCACCATGTTGTTGGTCAGGCTGGCCTCCATCTCCTGACCTCGTGATCCTCCCGCCTCGGCCTCCCAAAGTGCTGGGATTACAGGCATAAGCCACCGCGCCCAGCCATAATATTTTCTTCTTGTTGTACGATGGAAACCTCAAACTTCATGTATCATTGAACATAAAAGTAAAATATACTCATAGTTCTAGTTCTGTGGTCCAGTTAGTAAAAATGAACATTTATATAGCTTTGCTTTTTCTTTTTTTTTTTTTCATTAGTCAAATTTAAAAAGCCTTTTTGTTATTCTCCATCATGTGTTAAGTTTTATAGAATAATTTTTTATCTAAAATACTGTGTATTGTGGCTGGGCACAGTGACTCACCTATATAATCCCAGTACTTTGGGAGGCCAAGGCAGGTGGATCATTTGAGGTCAGGAGTTTGAGACCAGCCTGGCCAACACGGTGAAACCCTGTCTCTACTAAAAAATGAAAAATAGCTTGGCATGGTGGCACACTCCTGTAATCCCAGCTACTCGGGAGGCTGAGGCTGGAGAATTGCATGAACCTGGGAGACGGAGGTTGCAGTTAGCCTAGATCATGCCATTGCACTCCAGCCTGGGCGACAGAGTGATAATCTGTCTCAAAAAAATAGTAAAATAAAATAATAAAATACTGTATTGTTAGTTAAATTAATAGATATGTTAAAACAGTGACTGGCCATGTGTAGTGGCTCATGCCTGTAATCCCAGCACTTTGGGAGGTCGAGGCAGGTGGATCACCTGAGGTCAGGAGTTCAAGACCAGTCTGGCCAACGTGGCGAAACCCCGTCTCTACCAAAAATTAGCCAGGTATGGTGGCGCACACCTGTAGTCCTGGCTACTCAGGAGGCTGAGGCAAGAGAATCGCTATTACCCGGGAGGTGGAGATTGCAGTGAGTCAAGATCATGCCACTGCACTCCAACCTGGGCGACAAGAGGGAGACTCTATATCAAAAAAAAGAAAAGGGGCCGGACGCGGTGGCTCACACCTGTAATCCCAACACTTTGGGAGGCCAAGGCAGGTGGATCACCTGAGGTCAGGAGTTCAAGACCAGTCTGACCAACATGGTAAACCGCATCTCTACTAAAAATATAAAATCAGCCGGGCGTGGTGGCGCATGCTTGTAATCCCAGCTACTTGAGAGGCTGAGGCAGGAGAATCACTTGAACCCAGGAGGCGGAGGTTGCAGTGAGCCGAGATGGCGCCACTGCACTCCAGCCTGGGCAACAACAGCAAAACTCCAACTCAAAAAAAAAAGTGACTGAAAGTTTGCTAGTGTTTTTAGTACCGATATTTACTGGTAGTAAATATATACTAAATCCAGTGAAATATGACTTCTCTAACTGAGCTTGACATATCCTGGTTATATCTCATGGCAGCTGAAAACTAGAAATGACTTATTTTTACCTTGTAGCCACAGCACACTTGAGGTTATTCTTAGGTTTTTGTTAGAGACAAAGCTGGTTAGTGACTCCTGGATTAAGAATTATGAGTGATCCCATAACAGCCTGTTATTTCTAAAAGCAGAAGACTTGCCCTTATTATAGAAAAAGAAGTGATACCCAGGAGGACCCTCTCTAGAATACAGATTATTCTATGGCTATTTATGTGTCTGTGTGTGTGTATGTTTTGTGTTTTGTGGGTTGTTTTTTTTTTTGTTTTTTGTTTTTTGTTTTTTTTTTGGTGGCAAGGATAACATACTGTGTTGCCCAGGCTGGACTTTTTGTGTGTGTGTGTGATACAGAGTCTTGCTCTGTCACCCATGCTGGAGTGCAGTGGCACAGTCTTGACTCACTGCGGTCTCTACCTCCCGGGTTCCAGCAATTCTCCTGCCTCAGCCTCCCAGGTAGCTGGGATTAGAGGTGCATGCCACCATGCCCGGCTAAATTGTTTGTATTTTTTAGTAGAGATGGGGTTTCATCATTTTGCCCAGGCTGGTCTCAAACTCCTGGCCTCAAGTGATCCTCCTGCCTCAGCCTCCCAAAGTACTGGGATTACAGGCATGAGCCACTGTGCCCAGCCTGTTTTTTTAATTGACAGAAACAAAATATTTTGGGCTGGCCGTGGTGGCTTGCACCTGTAATCCCAGCACTTTGGGAGGCCAAAGTGGATGGATAGCTTGAGCCCAGGAGTTTGAGACCAGCCTGGGCAACATAGCGAAACCCCAGCTCTACAAAAAATACCAAAATTAGCTGCACACAAAATTAAGCGCACACCTGTAATCCTAGTAGTCCTAGCTCCTAGGGAGGCTGAGGTGGGTTGAGCCTGGGAGATCCAGGCTACAGTGATCCATGATTGCACCACTGCACTGAGCCTGAGCGACAGCAATACACTGTCTCAAAAAAAATAAAAATAAGTGAAGTGAAGGCCAGGCAAGGTGGCTCACCCTGTAATCCCAGCACTTTCAGAGGCCGAGGTGGGTGGATCACCTGAGGTCAGGAGTTCAAGACTAGCCTGGCCAACATGGTGTAACCCTGTCCCTAGTAAAAATACAAACATTAGCCGGGTGTGGTGGCACATGCCTATAGTCCCAGCTACTTGGGAAGCTGAGGTGGGAGGATCCCTTGAACCTAGGAAGCGGAGGTTGCAGTGAGCTGAGACCATGCCACTGCACTCCAGCCTGGGTGACAGAGTGAGACTCTGTCTCAAAAAAAAAAAAAGTGAAATGAAATAAATAATATCTATTTATTGTATACAACATGATGTTTTGAAATATGTATACATTGTGGGATGGCAAAATTGAGCTAATTAACATACCATTACCTCACATTTTTTGTGGTGAAAACACTTGAAATTTCTATTCAGCAATTACAATATATTATTATTATTATTATTGTTTGTTTCTTTGTTTTTGAGACGGAGTCTCTGTCACCCAGGCTGGAGTACAGTGGCGCGATCTCGGCTCACTGCAAGCTCCGCCTCCCGGGTTCATGCCATTCTCCTGCCTCAGCCTCCTGAGTAGCTGCGACTACAGGCACCCACCACCACGCCTGGCTAATTTTTTGTATTTTTAGTAGAGACAGGGTTTCACCATTTAGCCAGGATGATCTCGATCTCCTGACCTCGTGATCCGCCCACCTTGGCCTCCCAAAGTGCTGGGATTACAGGCATGAGCCACCGCGCCCAGCCTACAATATATTATTACATATAGTCACCATCTTGTACAGTATTTCTCTTCTAAGTTGATTTTGTTACCTAAAAATGTGGGTTTCTTTTTTGCTTACATCATAGAATTTAAGGCTTTTAGCATTTTGAAATAAAATGATATAAAGGCTCATACCTGTAATCCCAGCTACTCTGGAGCCTGAGGTAGGAGGATCACCTAAGCTTGGGAGGTCAAGGCGGCAGTGCATGATGAGACCCTGTCTCAAAAAGAAAGATATAAAATTTGTTTCAACCTTTAATTTTCTTTGTCAGCTCTTGGCTCTCTAAATAAATATTCTACCACTCAGCTACTGTATAGCTGGTAATGTTCATAAATTATTATTTAACCAAAATGTTAGAATTATCAAATATACAGACCCATTAATTGGGGACTAAAATTGTTGAGGCCTAAATTTAAGGTAGAGTAAGTAATTAAGAGTTACTTCTAATATGAACAAAACATTGAGCTGGTTTGCTAGTCATCAGACTACAATTCTTGGTGTCCTGCAGTCACGAGCCTGCTATGCTGACTTTCTTTGAACCAGTTAGTCCCAGGTGGGAAATGTGTGCATGGTTTACAGATATGTGACCTTCATTTATGGTTATTTACTAACAGGAACGAGTAATTCCCACGGGACTGTTAAACTTTAAAGTTTTTTGTGGCAGATCAAATTTTAAAAACAAGACAATTCCAAAAGTTTAAAAAATACAGATCTTTTTTTTTTTGAGACAAAGTTTCACTGTTTTTGCCCAGGATGGAGTGCAATGGTGCGATGATGTCGGCTCACCGCAACCTCCGCCTCCTGGGTTCAAGCGATTATCCTGCCTCAGCCTCCTGAGTAGCTGGGATTACAGGCATGCGCCACCATGCCTGGCTAATTTTCTAGTTTTTTTAGTAGACAGAGTTTCTCCATGTTGGCCAGGCTGGTCTTGAACTCCCAGCCTCAGGCAATCTGCCCACCTCGGCCTCCCAAAGTGCTGGGATTACAAGTGTGAGCCACCGCGCCCGGCCATCATGTGTTCTTAAGAAAGATTTAAGTTCATTTAAAATTTAGAGATCAATAATTATCCAAATATGTTTCTTTCTCATAGAGACTCCAGTGTCTCAGGGTTACTGTGGTTGATTTAGTGGTATTTACTCTTTGATGTCTTATTGTATTTTGCTTTGTTTGATATTCAGACCTTATTTTGCTTTTATGAGATGAAATTTAGAACATACACCTCACATTGATCACTAAAAATTCTTCTATAAGATGTGATATTTGATTTTGTTAATCCTGCCATAACTAATTCCATCTTAAAAGTTAGGCTGGCCAGGCATGGTGGCTCATACCTGTAATCTCAGCATTTTGGGAGGCTGAGGCGGGCGGATCACGAGGTCAAGAGATGGAGACCATCCTGGCCCACATGGTGAAACCCCATCTCTACTAAAAATACAAAAATTAGCTGGGCATGGTGGTATGCACCTGTATAGTCCCAGCTACTCGGGAAGATGAGGCAGGAGAATCACATGAATCCAGGAGGTGGAGGTTGCGGTGAGCCGAGATCGCACCACTGCACTACAGCCTGGCGACAGAGCAAGACTCCATCTCAAAAAAGTTAGGTTATTATTATTACTTATTTGGTGTATGATATTAAGCCTTCTATTAAATTTAGTTTCCAAATAATTTTTTAAGGACTAATATATGATGTTTCCATACCATTTATTATATATTGTTACTAAATTGAGGGTCTATGTATTTGACCTTAGGAGTACAAAGATGAGACAAAATTCATGCCATCAGGGGACTCAGAATTTTGTAGGAAAGATATATAAGTAAACAACTAACTAACAATAGGATGTAATGAATGCAACAGTGGAGATAACACAAAAGTGAATGATTTAACTCAGGAATGGGTTTGAAGAACAAATAGGAATTTGCCAGACACAGAAAAAAAGAACTTAGTAGCAAAGAAGAGTATGTATGGCCAGGTCCGGTGGCTCACGCTTGTAATCCCAGCACTTTGGGAGGCCGAGGCGGGCACATCACAAGGTCAAGAGATCGAGACCATCCTGGCCAACATGGTGAAACCCCGTCTCTACTAAAAATACAAAAAAAAAATTAGCTGGGCATGGTGGTACGCCTGTAGTCTCAGCTACTCAGGAGGCTGAGGCAGGAGAATCGCTTGAACCCAGGAGGCGGAGGTGGCAGTGAGCCGAGATCCCACCACTGCATTCCAGCCTGGGCGGCAGAGTGAGACTCCATCTCGAAAAGAAGAGTATGTATGATCAAAGGAATGAGCCAGTGTGGCTTATCAAAGCACACTGATTGAAAAATCTTAACTTGGAAGCTCTAGCATGATCTTGCTTTTAAAAAGATGAGGACTTTTTCTCCTTTTAATAAGACTACTTTCATGGTCTGATTTCTGCTCTGAGATTCAAAAATATTTTTGTTATCTCTTCTTGATACTCCAGAGGGTAAGATATTATGCACAAAAGAGTTAACGTATCAGCCTTGAGGCTGCTGTCGTTAGAAGGGCCTGCTTACAAAGCTGGCCTTTGGCTATCGAGGAACTAGGCCTGCAAAAAGTTTCCTACACTAATGTGAAAAGTTTTCTAACTGCAATTTGGTAGTTGTTAGACAGCGAGTGCCAACAAAACCAACTTTTTTTTTCTTTTTTCTTTTTTTTTTTCAGACAGAGTCTCGCTCTGTCGCCCAGGCTGGAGTGCAGTGGTGCCATCTCAGCTCACTGCAGCCTCTGCCTCCCAGGTTCAAGCCATTCTCTGCCTCAGCCTCCTGAGTAGCTGGGATTACAGGCGACCGCCACCATGCCCGGCTAATTTTTTTGTATTTTTGGTAGAGACAGGGTTTTACCATCTTGGCCAGGCTGGTCTTGAACTGCTGACCTTGTGATCCGCCTGCCTCAGCCTCCCAAAGTGCTAGGATTACAGGTGTGCGCCACCGCACCCGCACTTTTTTCTTTTTTTTTTTTTGAGATGGAGTCTCCCTCTGTTACCCAGGCTAGAGTGCAGTGGCGCGATCTCGGTTCACTACAACTTCTGACTCCCAGGTTTGAGTGATCCTCCTGCCTCAGCCTCCTGAGTAGCTGGGATTACAGGTGTCTGCCACCACACCCAGCTTATTTTTGTATTTTTTGTAGAGACAGGGTTTTGCCATGTTGGCCAAGCTGGTCTCGAACTCCTGACCTCAGGTGATCTGCCCGTCTCGGCCTCCCAAAGTGCTGGGATTACAGGCGTGAGCCACCGCACCCAGTTGATCCCATTTTTTTTAAAGCAAAAAATGAATAACAGAAAAACCCACATGCACACATAGTGTTCTAGGACCATACACATCAAACTCTTAGAAACTGACCAACCCCAGCTGGGTGCGGTGGCTCATGCCTGTAATCCCAGCACTTTGGGAGGCTGAAGTGGGCGGATTGCCTGAGTTCGGGAGTTCGAGACCAGTCTGACCAAGATGAGAAACCCCGTGTCTACTAAAAATACAAAATTAGCCATGCGTGGTGATGCATGCCTGTAATCCCAGCTACTTGGGAGGCTGAGGCAGGAGAATTGCTTGAACCCAGGAGAGGCAGAGTTTGCAGTGAGCCAAGGTTGCGTCATTGCCCTCCAGCCTGGACAACAAGAGCGAAACTCTGTCTCAAAAAAAAAACAGAAAAAAGAAACTGACCACCCTCTAGGGGCTAGGATTGAAGTGAGGATTTATCATTCTACTTTCTACAATTTTTTTTAAGTTTGTTACTATATACCTGTCTTTTTATTTATTTATTTATTTTGAGATGAGGTTTCGTTTTGTTGCCCAGGCTTGGGGTGGAGCGGTACGATCATATCTCACTACCTCAAACTCAAGCAGTCCTCCTGCCTCAGCTTCCCAAGCAGCTAAGATTATAGATGAGAGCCACAGTACCCAGCACCTCTGTGTTTTCTGAATTTGTTACAGTGAATTATTTTGTAAAGATTTTTGTAAAGCTTTTTACAAAAAATTTAAAGATCTGTAAAAATTCAAAGTTGAAAATATAGTAATAATACCGTGAATGTATACCACGTGGTATAAAGCCCACTAAGAGTGATAGTTTTTGGATTGCTAAATATTTAATGAAACATAGGCCCGGTGATTTGGCTCATGCCTGTAATCCCAGCACTTTGGGAGCCTGAGGTGGGCGGATCACCTAAGGTTAGGAGTTTGAGACCAGGCTGGCCAACATGGGGAAATCCCATCTCCACTAAAAATACAAAAATTAGCCGAGTGTGGTGGCGTGCCCTTGTAATCCCAGCTACTTGGGAGGGTGAGGCATGAGAATCGCTTCAACCTGAGAGGCAAGGGTTGCAGTGTGCTGAGATTGCGCCACTGCACTCCAGCCTGGGCGACAGAGTGAGACTCTTGTCTAAAAAAATAAAATAAAATAAAATTAATAAAACAATGATGGTACCAAATTCTTTAACTTTTTATGGATCTAAGTTCTCTGTGCAAGATCTCATATCATTACTTTCAAGTCACTTTGGAAATACCACTCTAAAAACAGGTGACAGGCTAGATTTGGCCCTTGAGTATGCCAACCCGGGTTCTATCTCATAATTCTATATAATCTCAGATTAGTAACAACTTTTGGATTTTAGACTTACTAGCTTTTAAATTGACAGAGTGGTATTTGCAAAATGAATTGAAAGCACAGCCACACCGTGGCTGCTTTTGTGCTATAACAGCTGAATTGAAGAGATATAACAGAGATGCTATGGCCCACAAAGCCTGAGGCATTTATTATTTGGCCCTTTGCAGAAACGGTTTGCCGACCCCTGAGATGGCATTTAGGCTTTGGAGAAAATTAGATCTTGGACAGACCTGGGTTTATATCTGAACTTTGCTATTTACTAGCTTTGTGATCTCAGGAAAGTTTAATGTCTTTACTTCTTAGTTTCCCTATCTGTAAAATCAGAATTGTAGTTACCTAATTCATAGGAATATGAGGATTAGATAACACATGTCAAATACATATGTAACTTATTGTACATAGTGGCTGCTTATTTAAATGCAGCTGCTATTACTGTTCTTTCCCAACCATGCTAAAAGTTTTTAGAGTTTAACATGTTGACAGTGTATAAAATTTATTGGAGTAAACAGTATTGAAGATAAGAAGTCTGGCTAGGAGGTAGTTTTAGTGGTTTAAGTCTATGGGCAGTAGTTGAAAGGTATGATATGAATTCAAGAGATAGGAAGAAAGAAGCAATAGGACTTTGTAATTGATTGCATGTAAGAAGAAAGGAAAAGGAGAAAGAGGAAGCAGAGGTGACATTCTGGTATGGAAGACAATGAGAAATTTCATACCATAATCTAAATAGTAATGTTAGGAGATGGAGCCAGTTAAGTGAGATATCTCTCTCTCTCTCTCTCTCTCTCTCTCTCTATATATATATATATATATACACACACACACACACACACACACACATATAAGCTGTTGAGGCTCTAACCCCATTTTAAGGTAATAGGAAGTAGTACTCAGTGAAAGATTAAAGATTTGCATTTCTATCTTAGCAAGTAAGTATAGTAGAGTCTTAATAAAATGTATATATACAACAATATTCTCTCTAGAGAATTCTATATAAAAGTCAGTATATTGGCCGGAGCACACTGGCTCACACCTGTGTTTTGGGAGGCCAAGGCAGGAGGATCACTTACGACTAGGAGTTTGAGACCAGCCTGGGCAATATACCGAGACCCTGTCTCTACAAAAATTGAAAAAAGAAAACCACACAATTGGCCGGGCACGGTGGCTCACGCCTGTAATCCCAGCATTTTGGGAGGCTGAGGTGGGCGGATCATCAGGTCAGGAGATCTAGACCATCCTGGCTAACACACTGAAACCCCGTCTCTACTAAAAATACAAAAAATAAGCTGGGCATGGTGGTGGGTGCCTGTAGTTCCAGCTATTCGGGAGGCTGAGGCAGGGGAATGGCGTGAACCCAGGAGGTGAAGCTTGCAGTGAGCCGAGATTGTGCCACTGCACTCCAGCCTGGGCGACAGAGCGAGACTCCATCTCAAAAAACGAACTAAAAAACACACAATTTGCCAGATGTGGTGGTGCACACCTCTAGTCCCAGCTACTTGGGTTGCTAAGGTGGGAGGATTGCCTCAGCCTAGGAGTTTGAGGCTGCAATGAGCTATGATTGGGCCACTGCACTCCAGCCTGAGTGACAGAGTGACACCCTGTCTGGGGGGAATAAAAAGATATATCTTGGAGCTTTGCAATTACCAAAGGGCTGAAAAGTCCTTGTTGAAATTGTTCCATCTACAAAACAGTTTCCTTAGTGTGAACTTCAAGTCAGTGTTGTACTATGATTTATGTGGCATTGTTGGAAAATGAGATATTCCTCCTAAGAGAATTTTTTCAAATAATGGATGATTGCCTTTTTAAGCATTAATACCTTTTAATGATTTTTTTTTTTTTTTTTTTTTTTTTTTTATGACAGAGTCTCGCTCTGTGGCCCAGGCTGGAATGCAATGGCATGATCTCGGCTCATTGCAACCAACACCTCCTGGGGTCGAGTGATTCTCCTGCCTCAGCCTCCCAAGTAGCTGGGATTACAGGCACCATGATTACCACCGTGCCTGGTTAGTTTTTGTATTTTTAGTAGAGACAGGGTTTCACCATGTTGGCCAGGCTGGTCTGGAACTCCTGACCTCAGGTGATCTGCCCGCCTCTGCCTCCCAAAGTGCTGGGATTACAGGCGTGAGCCACTGCTCCCGGCCTTAATGATTTTTATCACAGATATTTAAAAAGATATACTTTCCTTTGCTACCTGATGTTGAATACATCTAATTTGACTTAATTTCTTAATTAATGTCAAAATGAATTTCTTAATTAAAGTCTAAAATGACTTAATTTCTTTGAGATTCAGGGAAATCATTTTGAATATCAATTATACTGTGCTGTTGTCCTGCTGTATCCTCTAATGCTCTTCCCATGTTACCTTATTTACTTCTGTAAAAAGTTTCTAAAACTCTCTTTTCAAGAGCGTTTAATCAGTCTAAAATAAAATTACAAAATCTAGTTTGGAAACAATTTATGTTGATTTGTTTTCCTCATTTCTTCAGATGGTATTTTGAAGCAAGAAATCAATCTAATACTCTCTTCATGTCCATAGGTAGATATAATCTGTGGTGATCACCTGTTGGAGCAGTATCAAACTCTAAGGGAAATCCGACGTGCAATAGGTGATGCAGCAATGCAGGTAGGTTATAGACATACCCATGTCTAACAGATAAGTTACTTAGTGAAAGTTATCCATGTTATCAGTAAGTTTTCATAAATATTCTACAATACTCTTAAAATTACCTACACTATAAATAATAATTATATTTAATATTTATCAAATTCTTGCTGTGTGTCAGGTACTGTTCTAAGTAATTTATGTAGATTAGCTTATTTATTCTTCATAATTATTCTAAGAAAGCAGGCAGTTTTTTATTTCCCATTTTAAAGATAAAGGAAACTGAGATACAGTAAGGACATATAACTTCCTACAGTCAGTGGGTGAGACAGGGCTCAGACTCTAGGCAGTTTGATTCTAAAAGCCTTGTTTTTTTCCGCCTGTCCAGTGCTATAATACAATTTTGAAGGCTTCTAGGCCAATGCATCCAGAAGGACATTTCAAGAAAAACTTGCAAGTACTTATTAGGCTTTAGAGCCAAGTTTGTCCAACCTGTGGCCCTCAGGCCACATGTGGCCCAGGATAGCTGCGAATGGGGCCCAACACAAATTCATAAACTTTCTTAAAACGTGATGAGATTTTTTTTTTTCTATCAGCTACTGTTCGTACTGGTATATTGTATTTTTATTTATTCATTTTTTTGAGACAAGGTCTTGATCTGTTGCCCAGGCTGGAGTGCAGTGGCACTATCTCAGCTCACTGCAGCCTCTGCCTCCCAGGTTCAAGCAGTTCTCCTGCCTCAGCCTCCCTATTAGCTGGGATTATAGGCATGTGCCACCACACCCGGCTGATTTTTGTATTTTTAGTCAAAACAGGGTTTCACCATGTTAGCCAGACTTGTCTCAAACTCCTGACCTCAAGTGATCCGCCCACCTTGGCCTCCCAAAGGGCTGGGATTACAGGGGTGAGCCCCTCTGCCCAGCCTGTGTTAGCATATTTTATGTTGGCCAAAGACAGTTCTTCCAGTGTGGCCCAGGGAAGCCAAAAGATTGGACACCCCTGCTTTAGAGATTCACATAGCTTTTCTTATACAGTAGATAAGAACTCAAGGTAACTATTTTGATGTTTTAATTAACCTATAATGTGAGTGGGAATATAATGTGAAGTCTCTTAGTCAAAATAATAAAAACCAAGATAGGATCTACAAGTTTAATGAAGAGAAAATAGGACCACATATTCTAATGTATTTCTGAATCTATAGTGGAAAGTTGTTTTTGTTTTTGTTTTTGTTTTTGTTTTTGTTTTTGAGACGGAGTCTCGCTCTGTCGCCCAGGCTGGAGTGCAGTGGCGTGATCTCGGCTCACTGCAAGCTCCGCCTCCCGGGTTCACGCCATTCTCCTGCCTCAGCCTCCCGAGTAGCTGGGTTTACAGGCATGCGCCACCACGCCCAACTAATTTTGTGTTTTTAGTAGAGACAGGGTTTCTCTGTGTTGGTCAGGCTGGTCTCTAACTCCCGACCTCAGGTGATCCACCCACCTGGGCCTCCCAAAGTGCTGGGATTACAGGTGTGAGCCACCGCGCCCGGCCATGAAAATTGTTTTAAGAGCTATATGACTCTGAGAAGCTTATGAAGTACTAATGAAGATTTGATGAACTCTCAAACAAATTTTTGTTTGCTAGAAATATAATTCTTGGGGAAAAAAGGGCTTCTGCTGTGAGTGGCACACATAGGGCATCGTTTGCTCTTGGTGCCAGAATCAACATCAAGAGATTTCAGAAGCATAATTTTTTGGTACTTGGGCAGCTGGTGATCATTGGTCCTGTAGCCCTTACTTGTTGTGTAAATTAGACAGTTGTGACTTTTTTTTTTTTTTTGAGACGGAGTCTTGCTCTGTCAACAGGCTGGAGTGCAGTGGTGCGATCTCAGCTCACTACAACCTCTGCCTCCCGGGTTCAAGGGATTCTCCTGCCTCAGCCTCCCAGGTAGCTGGGACTATAGGTGCCTGCCACCACGCCTGGCTAATTTTTTGTATTTTTAATAGAGACGGGGTTTCACTGTGTTAGCCAGGATGGTCTCGATCTCCTGACCTCCTGATCTGCCTGCATCAGCCTCCCAAAGTGCTGGGATTACAGGCGTGAGCCACCATGCCCAACCGTGACTTTTTTTTTTTTTTTTTTTTTTGGAGACAGAGTCTTGCTCTGTCACCAGGCTGGAGTGCAGTGGCGTGATTTCGGCTCACTGCACCTCCTCCTCCTGGGGTCAAGTGATTCTAGTACCTCAGCCTGCCAAGTAGCTGGGACTATAGGTGTCCCACCACACCAGCTAATTTTTGTATTTTTAATACAGATGAGGTTTCACCGTGTTGGCGAGGCTAATCTCAAACTCTTGGCCTCAAGTGATCTGCCCACCTCAGCCTCCCAAAGTGCTGGGATTACAGGCATGAGCCACCACACGTGGCTGACAGTCATGGCCTATTGGGTAAATCCAGGTTTCTGCTCCCTCTTAGGGCTGTGTGGTGTGATGCACTGTTTCTAGGTTATGTGATTGGTTTGTTGTATTAAATGTTGTGGGTGATTATAACACAAGGACAAACATTTTGTGTATCTTAAGTATAGAAAACATATGGTAAATATCTCTATTAAAGACAAGAAATGCGGCTAGGTGCGGTGGTGGCTCATGCCTGTAATCCCAGCACTTCGGGAGGCAGGGTGGGAGAATCGCTTCAAGCCCGGGAGGTCGCAGCTGCAATGACCCATGAGTGGCTCTGTACTCCAGCTTGGGCAACGGAGCAGGACCATGTCTCAAAAAAAAAAAAAAAGAGAGAGGCCGGGCACAGTGGCTCACACCTGTAATCCCAGCACTTTGGAAGGCAGAGACGGGCAGATCATTTGAAGTCAGGAGTTCAAGACCAGCCTGGCCAACATCCTGAAACCCCATCTCTACTAAAAATACAAAAATTAGCTGGGCGTGGTGGCAGGTGCCTGTAATCCCAGCTACTCGGGAGGCTGAGGCAGGAGAATCGCTTGAACCCGGGAGGCAGAGTTTGCGGTGAGCCAAGATCGCACTACTGCACATCAGCCTGGACGGCAGAGCAAGACTCGGTTTCAAAAAGAAAAGAAAAGTGATTCTTGGCCAGGCATAGTCGCTTGCTCCTATAATCCCAACATTTTGTGGGGCCAAGATGGGAGGATCATTTGACCCCAGGAGTTCCAAGACTTGCCTGGGCAGTATAGCGAGTCCCGTCTTTACAAAGGATAGAAAAATTAGCAGACATGGTTGTGCATACCTGTGGTCCCAGTTACCTGGGGAGGCTGAGGCAGAGGGATTGTTTGAGTCCAACACTTCAAGACCAGCTTAGACAACGTGATGAAACCCCATCTCTACGAAATACAAAAATTAACCAGGTGTGGTGGCACATGCCTATAGTCCCAACTACTTAGAAGGCTGAGGAGGGAGAAGATTGATTGACCCGAGAGGTTGAGGTTGCAGTGATCCATGATCACACCACTGCACTCCAGCCTGGGCGACAGAGTAAGACCCTTTTTCAAAAAAAGAGAAAGAAAAGAAATAATATTTTTTTTTTTGGTATAATTGCCTATGTTCCTTTGTCTCAATGGAACAACTGCTCAAAAGAAGATGTGAATATTATAAGAATTATCTTTTTTTCTTGTCCTCACAATCTGTTCCCAAGAATTATTTTCTTAATGCAAATTATACAGTTCCTTGGAAGAAGCAGAAAATATACACATATGCATAGTTATATGTGCATAATGTACATATGATATATTTTAATTGACATATAATGAAATGCATGAGTTTCAACAAATACCTATTTGTTTAACTCAAACCCCTCCTTCACATACAGAACCTTTCTGTCACTCCCAGAGAGTTCTCTCATGCTCCTTCCCAGTTAATTCTTCTCCCTAGCACCAAGGCAACCATTGTTATGATTTTGTCACTGGGGATTAGTTTTCTCTTTTCTTTCTTTCTTTTTTTTTTTTTAAGACATGGTTGGGCCAGGTGTGGTGGCTCATGCCTGTAATCCCAGCACTTTGAGAGGCCGAGGTGGGGGGATCACCTAAGGTCAGGAGTTCAAGACCAGCCTGGCTAACATGGTGAAACCCCATCTCTACTAAAAATACAAAAAATTAGCCGGGCATGGTGGCGGGTGCCTGTAATCCCAGCTACTCGGGAGGCTGAGGCAGGGAATTGCCTGAACCTGGGAGGCAGAGGTTTCAATGAGCTGAAATTGCACCATTGCACTCCAGCCTAGGCAACAACAGCAAAACTCTGTCTCAAAAAAAAAAAAAAGAAAGACAAGGTCTCACTCTGTTTTGCCCAGCCTAGAATGCATGGAATGCAGTGGCACAATCATGGCTCAGTGTAGCCTCAACCTGGGGGGCTCAATTGATCTCTTCCCACCTCAGCCTCCCAAGTAGCTGGGACAACAGACGTTACAGATGTGCACCACCACATCTGGCTATTTTTTTTAATTTTTTGTAGAGATGGGGTTTTGCCATGTTGCCCAGGCTGGTTTTGAACTCCTGAGATCAAGCAATCAGCCATCTCAGCCTCCCAAAGTGCTGGGATTATAGGTGTGAGCCACCATGCCTGAACTCTGTTTCTTAAAATAGCAGTTTTGTTAAGATGTAATTCACATACTGTATTAGTCCATTCTTACATTGCTATAAAGAAATACCTGAGACTGGGTGATTTACAAATAAAACAGATTTAATTGTCTCACAGTTCTGCAGGCTGTACAGGAATCATAGCAGCTTAGCTTCCAATCATGGCTGAAGGCAAAAACATGATAGGAACCAGAAGAGAGAGAATAAGGAGGGAAGTGCTACACACTTTTAAACAACCATATCACACAAGACCTTATTCACTTTTGTGAGGACATTACCAAAGGGAAATTGTGCTAAACCATTCATGAGAAATCCAACCCCGTGATCCAATCACCTCCCACCAGGCCCCACCTCCAACATTGGGGATTACAATTCAACATGAGATTTGGTGGGGACACAGATCCAAACCATATCATTCCACCCAAATCATGCCCCCCCCCCACCAAATCTCATGTCCTCACATTTCAAAAGACAATCATGATTTCCCAATAGTCCCCCAAAGTCTTAACTCATTTTCAGCATTAACTCAAAATTCCATAGTCTCATCTGAGACAAGGCTAGTCCCTTCTGCCTATGAGCCTGTCAAATCAAAAACAAGTTAGTTACTTCCAAGATACAATGGGGGTATAAACATTGGGCAAATAACTCTCATTCCAAAAGGGAGAAATTGGCCAAAAGAATGAGGCTATATGTCCCCATGTAAGTCTGAAACACAGAACAGCAGCCATTAATTTTTTTATTTTTATTTATTTATTTATTTTTTGAGATGGAGTCTCTCTCTCTCTGTCACTCAGGTTAGAGTGCAGTAGTGTGATAGGCTCACTGCAACCTCTGCCTCCCAGGCTCAAGTGATTCTCCCACCTCAGCCTCCCAGCTTGGTGGGACTGCAGGTGCACACCACCAAACCTGGCTAATTTTTGTATTTTTTTGTAGAGATGGGGTTTTACCATGTTGCCCCGGCTGGTCTCAAACCCCTGGGCTCAGGCAATCTTTCTGCCTCAGCTTTCCAAAGTGCTGGGATTACAGGCGTGATCCACCATGCCTGGCTCTCATTAAATCTTAAAGCTCAAAATTAGCCAGGCATGGTGGTGCACTACTGTAATCCCAGCTACTTGGGAGGCTGAGGTAGGAGAATTGCTTGAACCTGGGAGGCAGAGGTTGCAGTGAGCAGAGATCACACCACTGCACTCCAGCCTGGGCAACAGAGCAAGACTCTGTCTCAGAAAAAAAAAAAAAGCTCTAAAATCTCCTTTGTCTCCCTGCCCTACATCCATGGTACACTGGTGCAAGGGTGGGTTCCCAAGGCCTTGAGCAGCTCCACCTCTGTGACCTTGCAGGGTTTGGCCCCCATGGCTTCTCTCACGAGCTGGTGTTGAGTGCCTATGGCATTTTCAAACTCAGGGTGCAAGCTCTCAGTGGGTCTACCATTCTGGGATCTGGAGGACAGTGGCCCTCTTCTCACAGCACCACTGGGCAGTTCCCCAGTGGAGACCCTATGTGGGGGCTCCAACCCCACTTTTCCCCTCCGCACTGCCCTAGTAGAGGTTCTCTGTGAGGGCTCTGCCACTACAGCAGGCTTCTGCCTAGACATCCAGGCCGGTCTTGAACTCCTGACCTCAAGTGATCTGCTCGCCTCAGCCTCCCAAACTGCTGGGATTCCAGGCGTGAGCCAGCATGCCTGGCCAAAAAGAACATTTTAAATTAATTTTATTTTTAAAAATTCAATAAAGATTTCCACAATAAACCATAGTCATTAAGTCTGCAAATATATATGCAGTTATGCGTCACTTAACAATAGGGATATGTTCTGAGAAATGCATTGTTAGGCAATTTAATGATTGTGCAAGCATCATAAAATGTACTCAGGTTAGGCATGATGTCTCACACCTGTAATCCCCGTATTCTGGGAGGCCGAGGCGGGAGGGTCACTTGAGCCCAGGAGTTTGAGACCAGCCTGGGCAACATGCTGAAACCCTGTCTCTACAAAAAATACAAAAACTGGCAGGGCATGGTGGCATGCACCTGTAGTCCCAGCTACTTGGGAGACTAAGGTGAGAAGATCACTTAAGCCTGGGAGTTCAGGGCTGTTGCGAGCTCTGATCATTCATGCCAGCCTGTGCGACAGAGCAAGACCCTGTCTCAAAATAATAAATGAATGAAATAAACAAACTTTCTTTCTTTTTTTTTTGAGACAGGGTCTTGCTGTGTGGTCTTGTCGTGTTGCCCAGGTTGGAGTGCAGTGGCATGAATATGGTTCACTGTAGCCTCAACCTCCTGGGCTCAAGCAATCCTCCTGCCTCAGCCTCCCGTGTGGCTGGTTACCAGAGGTGTGCCACTGGCTAATTTTTTTATTTTTCATAGAAATGGGGGTCTCACTTTGTTGCCCAGGCTGGTCTTGAACTCCTGAGCTCAAGTGATACTCCAACCTCAGCCTTTCAAAGTGCTGGGATTACAGGCATGAGCCATGAGCCACCACACCTGGCCTTGTGTTTAAATTTTTTTATTTTTTTATTTTTTATTTTTTGTTTGTTTTTGAGACAGGGTCTGGCTCTGTCACCCAGGCTGGAGTGCAGTGGCATGATCTTGGCTCACTGCAACCTTTGCCTCCCAGGCTCAAGTGATCCTCCCACCTCAGCCTCTTGAGTAGCTGGAAATATAGACATGTGCCACCACACCTGGCTAATTTTTGTATTTTTTGTAGAGACGGGGTCTCACTATGTTGCCCAGTGTGGTCTTGAACTCCTGGGCTCAGGTGATCCACCTGCCTTGGCCTCCCAAAGTGCTAGGATTATAGGCATGAGCCCCTGCACCTGGCCTTGAGTTTAAATTTCTTTAGATAGACATCTGCTCTCTCTGGTTTACCACTGGTCTTCAACATTCCCTATTGACTTCACATACCTAACTTATGTATTCATTTATGTTACTGGCCTGGGCCTTGTGGGCACTTGAATTTGTGAACCTTTTTCTAGAATTCTGGTGAGTTTTTACTGTAATTGCCAGGAACACAAACCAGATTGCAGTGAGTTGAGGAGTGAGGAAGTGGAGCCATGGAAAAGCTTAGCAAAGAAGCGAAGGAGAGTAATAGCCAGAGCAGCACTGGAAATACAGGATATATGAGCTGCAACCCCTTCTCTGTGTTGCTCAGTTCAGGTCTGTGGCACATTTCCCAATGACCTTTCCTTTTAGCTAGTTATCCAGTCTGCAGGAAATTAGAAATAGTCCCTTAAAAAGGTGGATTGCGGCCAGGCGTTGTGGCTCACACCTATAATTCCAGCACTTTGGGAGGCCAAGGCGGGCGGATCACCTGAGGTCGCGAGTTCAAGACCAGCCTGACCAACATGGAGAAACCCCATCTCTACTCAAAATACAAAAATTAGCGGTGGGTGTTGACGCCTGCCTGTAATCCCAGCTACTCAGGAGGCTGAGGCAGGAGAATCGCTTGAACCCGGGAGGCGGAGATTGCAGTGAGCCGAGATGGCACCATTGCACTCCAACCTGGGCAAGAGAGCAAAACTCCATCTCAAAAAAAAAAAAAGGTGGATTGCTTGCGGATGCAGCCTTGGTGAGAGCCAAAGAATTAAGATCTGGTATCAAGAAAGGAGATAGAACGCCACAAAAAGTAGATAAAAAGACTTGGACACATAGCATCTGGAATCATATAGTATGGGGGTTAAGTTGCCTAACTGCCCTGGGGCATTCTTTACTCTTTTAAAAAATTCTTTTTCCTTTTTTTTTTTTTTAAATTATATAAGTAGAGAGGGGGAGTTTCACCATGTTGCCCAGGCTGGTCTTGAACTCCCGGTCTCAAGTGACCTGCCCACCTCGGACTCTCAAAGTGTTGGGATTACAGGCATGAGCCACTGCATCCAGCTGAGGGCATTCTTTAAGGCAGAAGTAAAACATATATATTTTAGGCTTTCATTAAATGAGTAAGTGTTTCAGAGCTTTAGCAATTATTATAGTGGTGAGCTGCATTTATGTGGAAGTGAACAGATCTGCGATGCGTTGTAGTAGTTGAGTCTTTTTTAGGAGAATCTAATGCTTAAATAGTCTATTAAGAAGTCTAGGGCCGGGTGCAGCGGGTCACACTTGTAATCCCAGCACTTTGGAAGGCTGAGGTGGGCAGATCACCTGAGGTCAGGAGTTCGGGACCAGCCTGGCCAACATGGTGAAACCCCGTCTCTACTAAAATTACGAAAATTAGCCAGGCGTGATGGCGGGCCCCTGTCGTTCCAGCTGGTCAAGAGGCTGAGGCAGGAGAATCGCTTGAACCCGGGAGGCGGAGGTTGCAGTGAGCCAAGATTGCGCCATTGCACTCCAGCCTGGTGACAGAGCCAGACTGTGTTTCAAAAAAAAAAAAGTCTGGGCTGGATGCGTGCCTCACACCTGTAATCCCACACTTTGGGAAGCCAAGATGGGGGTATTGCTTGAAGCTCAAGAGTTTGAGACCAGCCTGGGTTACATAGCAAGACCTCGTTTATACTGGGAAAAAAAAAATTTTGAAGTAGCCAGGCATGGTGGCACATGCGTGTGTGTGGTCCCAGCTAGTTGCGAAGCTGAGGTTGGAGGATCACTTGAGCCTGGGAGATTGAGGCTACAGTGAGCTATGATCGCGCCATTGCACTCCAGTTTGTGTTTATGGCTACATGATAGTTTCAGAATTGGCTCCTGAGAGTCATTAAAAAGACACATTGACAAGCTGGTCTAGATGGCTCACGCTTGTAATCCCAGCACTTTGGGAGTCTGAGACAGGCAGATTGTTTGAGCCCAGCCTATGCAATACGGTGAAACTCTGTCTCCTACAAAAAATACAAAAATGAGTCTGGTGGTGGTGCGTGTCTATTTTCCCAGCTATTCATAAGGCTGAGGTGGGAGGATCGCTTGAGCCCAGGTGGTCAAGGCTGCAGTGAGTCCAGATTTGGCCACTGAACTCCAGCCTGGGCAACACAGCAAGACCCTGTCTTCAAAAAAAAAAAAAAAAGTGGGGCTGGGTGTCGGGCCAGGTGTTCTGGCTCACGCCTCTAATCCCAGCACTGTGGGAGGCTGAGGCAGGAGGATCATCTGAGATTAGGAGTTCAAGACCAGCCTGGCCAACATGGCAAAACCCTGTCTCTACTAAAAATACAAAATTTAGCTGGGCCTGGTAGCACGCACGTGTAATTGCAGCTACTCGGTAGGCTGAGGCAGGAGAATTGCTTGAACCTGGGAGGCATAGGCTGCAGTGAGCAGAGATCGCACCACTGTACTCCAGCCTGGGCAACAGAGCAAGATTCCGACTCAAAAAATAAATAAATGTATACATACATACATGCATATGATACATACGTACAAAAATTAGCTGAGTATGGTGGCGGGTGCCTGTAATCCCAGCTACTTGGGAGGCTGAAGCAGGAGAATTGCTTGAACCTGGGAGGCAGAGGTTGCAGTGAGCTGAGATTGCACCACTGCACTCCAGCCTGGGCAACAGAGTGAGACTCTGTCTCAAAAAAAAAAAAAAGCACATTCACAAGGAGTGTTTGGTGAATAAGAAACTATATGGTCCACTTATTTTCTTTAAATTAAAGAATTTCACCTTAGTGTTAGATTATTAAAAAAAAGTAAGCCAGCTTTGACTTGATCATTTGCATTACTGGTTTGAAAGAACTGCAAAATCGTCTTTTTTTCTCCCCTTTTCAGGATGGTCTGCTTGTCCTTCATTATGGTCTTGTGGTTTCTCCTCTGAAGATAACTTGAAGATTCTAGGCACATTATGAGGAGGGAAACAAAGGAGGCTTCTGCAGGACTGCATCTCACCAAAGATTTCCATGAAATGTAATTGCTACCACTTTGCTGTTCAAGACATAACTTACCTATTTTTAGCACCAAGAATTATAGCGTTTATAAGTACAACTTGGAACGATGGAATGCATCTGTTACTAGAGACTGTATATAAAAAGCAGCCAAAGCTCAGGGGAAATTTTTCAAAAATTGAATTTTAAAATTTCTTATGATTTTAAATACCTTGACATTGATTTTGCTTCCCATCTTTGAAGTAATTGGTTAGTTTTCTTTGTTCAGCCATTTCAAGTTGGTGGTTGGGATATCTGCTCTCTGGGATGGCATCAGTTGGGCAGTCATCTTTTTGGAAGAGAAGTGTGCTTTTGAGTGGAAGATTCAAAGCCAGTCTTTGTTAAACTGCAGGGTGTACTCTCAAAGACCAAAACTATTGGCCACTTTTGTATGTTGCCAGCATATTTTGAACTTGTACCTTTTTTTATACTAGCAACACTACAAAGGAGAAGTTACTCATTTCAAAATGGATGAATTGTTATTATGTGTGAAGAGACTCTGAGTTTATGATCTGTGCCATAAAATTTCAGTGTAATAAGACTTCTTCAATACATCTTCCAATAAGGGGTGCTTCTTTGTGACAGTATTTTTATTTCTGACATTCATTTTATTTGGGTACATAGTGTGGTTGTTGATACCTTGCAATAGTATTGCTTCTGAAAGTAATAAAAAATTTTAGGAGAATTTGAGAAGTTTACAGAATTACTTATTCATTGTTTTCTTAGTAAGTCAGTTTAATGTTTATTTTTCTCATTATTTCATCACTGCAATAAAGAATAAGGGTGTTTGAGCTCACCTCCATGCAAAGACTTCAGTTTTAAAACATTATTTGCCTAAAATTAGCATTGTGATGCTTTCTGAAAGAAATATTTTATAAATCCTGTTTAACAGCAGAATTTCTGAATGTGTAGAGACTACTACAAAATTGGAAAAAGATTGGCAATTCTTTGTAAAGAATTTGTGAATTGTGTATAAATTTATTCTAACATTTAATAAAAATGTATTTTAACCTATTTGGGAATGTTAGTGTTTACTGTGGGTTAAAAAAAAAATAACCAGGCCAGGGCTGGGTGCAGTGGCTCACGCCTGTAATCCCAGCACTTTGGAAGACCGAGGCAGGTGGATCACCTGAGGTCAGGAGTTTGAGACCAGCCTGGCCAATATGGTTAAGCCTCGTCTCTACTAAAAATACAAAAATTAGCTGGGTGTGGTAGCAGGTACCTGTAATCCCAGCTACTCAGGAGGCTGAGGAAGGAGAATTGCTTGAATCTGGGAGGCAGTGAGCTGAGATTGCACCATTGCATTCCAGCCTGGGAGACAGAGCAAGACTCCATCTCACAAAAAAAAAAAAAAAAACCAGGTCAGGCACTGTGGCTCATGCCTGTAATCCCAGCACTTTGGGAGGCCAGACGGGCAGATCATTTGAGGTCAGGAGTTTGAAACCAGCCTGGCCAACGTCTCTACTAAAAATACAAAAGTAGCTGGGCATGGTGGTGTGTGCCTGTATTCCCAGCTACTTGGGAGGCTGAGGCAGGAGAATCGCTTGAGCCCAGGAGACGGAGGTTGCAGTGAGCCGAGACTGTGCCACTGCTCTCCAGCCTGGGCGACAGAGTGAGTGAGACTCCATCTCAAAAAAAATAAAAAATAAGCCAGGCGTGGTGGCTCATGCCTGTAATCCCAGCACTTTGGGAGGCCAAGGTGGGCAGATCACTTGAGCTCAGGAATTCGAGACCAGCCTAGGCAACATAGCAAGATCCCATCTCTACAGAAAAAAAAAAAAAATTACCTGGGCATGGTGGTGAATGGCTGTAGTCCCAACTACTCAGGAGGATCAATAGCCTGGGTGGTCAAGGCTACAGTGAGCTACGATCCTGCCGCTGCACTCCAGCCTAGGCAACAGAGCAAGACACTGTCTCAAAAAAAGCCTGATCTTTAGTAGCTACTTAGAATGTGCCACTTGTAACAAGTGAGTTGACCGAGAGTTGAAGAGATGTTAATGTTTAAAGATTATTGTCTTCAGAACCCAGATTTTGTTGTTTTCAACATTACAGATTTTTTTTTTTTTTTTTGAGACAGAGTCTTAAGGCTGTCACCCAGGTGGAGTGCAGTGGCGTGATCTCACCTCACTGCTACCTCTGCCTCCCAAATTCAAGCGATTCTTGTGCCTCAGCCTCCCGAGTAGCTGGGATTACAGGCCTGTGCCACCACACACGGCTAATTTTTTTTTTTTTTTTGAGACAAGTCTCGCACTGTTGCCCAGGCTGGAGTGCAGTGGTATGATCTCGGCTCACTGCAACCTCTACCTCCCGGGTTTAAGCGATTCTCCTGCCTCAGCCTCCTGAATAGCTGGGATTACAGGCCACCCGCCACCATGCCTAGCTAATTTTTGTATTTTTAGTAGAGACGGGGTTTCACCATGTTGGTCAGGCTGGTCTCAAACTGCTGACCTCGTGGACCTCGTGATCCGCCCACCTCAGCCT
This sequence comes from Homo sapiens, assembly GCF_000001405.40. NCBI lineage: Eukaryota > Metazoa > Chordata > Mammalia > Primates > Hominidae > Homo > Homo sapiens. The sequence goes on along the minus strand of NC_000010.11, from coordinate 103,301,328 downwards.
CCCAAAGTGCTGGGATTACAGGTGTGAGCCAACGCGCCCGGCCACATTACAAATTTTGCCATTTCAGGGAAGAGATTATCCCCACAGAGACTCAACTGTAGACTTGGGGTAAGCATTCACTTACCCCCTATTTTCCTCAATAACCATCCCATTCATTACTGTAACATGGCAAAATACTTATCTCCTTAAAAGTAGAATATCAAATGTAATTATTTGATAAACACTTCTGTGATGAGCAAGTTAAGAGTGTCACTTGTTAGACATTGTGTGGACAAGAAGATTCAAAGAGGAGTGATCTGTCTTCAAGGAACTCACAGCCTATGGGTTACAACACCTCTAAGAATCTAATAAAAAGCAGTTATTGGTAAGTACTGTGAGTCAAAAAAATTCTACCTTTTCTTTTTTTTTTTTAAACAGAGTCTTGCTCTGTCACCAGGCTGGAGTGCATTGGCAAGATCTCGGCTTACTGCAACCTCCATCCTCCGAGTTCAAGCGATTTTTCTGCCTCAACCTCCCAAGTAGCTGAGATTACAAGTGCCTGCCACCGTGCCCGCCACCGTGCCCGGCTAATTTTTTGTATTTTTAGTAGAGATGGGGTTTCACCATCTTGGCCAGACTGGTCTTGAACTCCTGACCTCATGATCCACGCACCTCGGCCTCCCAAAGTGCGAGGATTACAGGCGTGAGCCACCGCGCCCGGCCTGTAGCTGTCTTTAAATAACCAGAAGGTCAAAAAATGAGGGAAAAACCACAAGTAAAAATTAGCCAGATGCTGGGCACCATGGCTCACGCCTGTAATTCCAGCACTTCGGGAGGCAAATGTGGGAGGATCGCCTGAGCCCAGGAGTTTGAGACCAGCCTGGGCAACATGGCGAAACACCGACTCTACAAAAAATACAAAAATTAGCCAGGTATGGTGGGGCGAGCCTGTAGTCCCATCTACTCAAGAGGCTGAGGTGGGAGTATCACTTGAGCCCAGGAGATGGAGGTTGCAGTCAGCTGAGATTGCACCACTGCACATAGCCCGGGTTACAGAGGCAGATCCTGTCTCAAAAAATAAAAATAAAAATTAGCTAGTTGTGCCGGGCGAGGTGGCTCACTCCTGTAATCCCAGCACTTTGGGAGGCCAAGGTGGGCGGATCACGAGGTCAGGAGATCAAGACCATCCTGGCTAACACGGTGAAACCCCATCTCTACTAAAAATACAAAAAATTAGCCGGGCATAGTGGCAGGCGCCTGTAGTCCCAGCTACTCAGGAGGCTGAGGCAGGAGAATGGCGTGAACCAGGGAGGCGGAGCTTGCAGTGAGCGGAGATCACGCCACTGCACTCCAGCCTGGGCGACAGAGCAAGACTCCGTTTAAAAAAAAAAAAAATTAGCTAGTCGTGGTTGTGTGCTCCTCTGATCCCAGCTACTTGGGAGGCTGAAGCAAGGAGATTGCTTGAGCCCAGGAGGTCAAGGCTGCAGTGAGCTACAATCATGCCACTGCACTGCACACTCCAGCCTGGGTGACAAAGTGAGACTCTGTCTCCTTAAAAAAAAAAAAAAAAAAAAAAACGCCCAGTCTTTTGTTGTTGTTGTTGTTGTTGTTGGTCTCGAACTCCTGACCCTCATGATCCGCCTGCCTCAGCCTCCCAAAGTGCTGGGATTACAGGCATGAGCCACCACACCCAGCTTTTTTTTTTTTTTTTTTTTTTTTTTTGAGATAAGGTCTCCCTCTGTTTCCCAGGCTGGAGTGCCGTGGCATGATCTCAGCTCACTGCAGGCTCCATCTTCCCCGCTCAAGGAATCCTCCCCCACCTCAGCCTCCTGAGTAACTGGGACTACAGGTGCCTGCCACCATGCCTGGCTAATTTTTGTATTTTTAGTGGAGTTGGGGTTTCTGTCCACCTCAGCATCCCAAAGTGCTGGGGTTACAGTCATGAGCCACCATGTCAGGCTCAAATGCCCAGTCTTGATTCACTCTGATTCCCCCACTTACCTGTTCTCACTTTATCTCTGCTGAAGGTGCACAAGGCCCGGATACATGTGTTAGTCTTATTGTCACCACCAGCACCATGCATTTAGTTTAGCTGAGATGAAGGTTTTTTATTTTATTAATTTTTTTTTGACACAGAGTCTCACTCTGTCTCCCAAGCTGGAGTGCAGTGGCTCGATCTCAGCTCACTGCAACCTCTGCCGCCTAGGTTCAAGCAATTCTCCTGCCTCAGCCTCCTAAAGTGCTGAAATTACAGGCATGAGCCACTGCGCCTGGTTGAAAGTTTTTTCAAAAGGAGTTTTTACTAGGAACAGAAACAGAAACAAAACTAGATACCCAAATCTGCACAAAAGTTTGCAATAGAGCATATGAAGTACAGATTCTAGAGCCTAACTTCAATGGCTAAAGAAAGATTTGTTTGATTGGGACAATTTGCAGGTCCTTTTGTTTTTGCCTAATCCCTATCTGAGGTAATATTAAGCAAAGATGCCCAGAGGAATAGTTCATGGTAGTTTTATTTTTTTTTTTAATTTTTTTTTTTTTTTTTGAAACAGAGTCTCATTCTGTCACCCAGGCTAAAGTGCAGTGGCACAATCTCAGCCGGCTGCAGCCTCTGCCTCCCAGGTTCAAGGAATTCTCCTGCCTCAGCCTCCCGAGTAGCTGGGACTACAGGCACTCACCACCACACCCGGCTAATTTTTGTATTTTTAGTAGAAACGGGGTTTCACTATGTTGGCCAGGCTGCTCTCAAACTCCTGACCTCAGGTGATCTGCCCTCCTTGGCCTCCCAAAATGCTGGGATTACAGGCATGAGCCACTGTGCCTGGCCATTCGTGGTAGTTTTAATTTGGCAGAATGAGTGCTTAGCAGTTTTCTCGTTTCTCCTTTAATGCCATCCCGTTTTCTCTGTAATATAGATCTCAGCCATTCCCGCTGACCTTGGGCGTCACTCTCCTTCCTCTGCACTGCCTTTCTCTGCTGCTTCAGTCAGATGCATTCTTACCTAGTTTCAACAGTTCTTCCTTTGGACTCCAAGCTAACACCGACCTGGACATACTCTATCCCCTCTCCTACAGAGACTTGGTTTAGGATTCCTGAAAGTAACACCTTGGACCCATGTATTTGTCCAATTCAGCTTGTCCAAAGTGTGTACCCTATTATCCACTCTTAGATAAGTGTTCTTATAATTTCACCAGGAGATATTTACTCATCAGATGTATTTGTAACTCACTGTTAAAATTTTTATTCTGTTTTTTCTTTTCTTTAAAACTCGCAGCTGGGTGCAGTGGCTCATGCCTGTAATCCCAGCACTTTGGGTGGCCGAGGTGGGCGGATCACAAGGTCAGGAGTTTGAGACCAGCCTGGCCAATATGACAAAACCCCATCTCTACTAAAAATACAAAAGTTAGCCGGGCGTGGTGGCGTGTGCCTGTAATCCCAGCTACTCAGGAGGCTGAGGCAGGAGAATTGCTTGAACCCGGGAGGCGGAGGTTTCAGTGAGCTGAGATTGCACCACTGCACTCCAGCCTGGGTGACAGAGTGAGACTGTGTCTCAAAAAAGAACCTCTAGTCATTGCAACCACTATGCTGTATTTTGTTATCTTGGAAACCTCTGATAATAGAGAAGATTCAAGCACATGCTGATTCTGAATGTTCATCTTTGTTTTCTTTAGTAGACCATGTCTTAAGAGGAAGTCCTATTTTTTATCCTTTTTCATTATGTTGTTGTGTATATGAGTTTGATTATTGGCTTCTCTTCACAACTGGACTAGTGAAATCTAAATTTTATTACCTGTAGAGATTAATAGTCCTCTCACAAATGAAATGACATATTGATCTCCCGAAAGCCTGCCAAGTAGTTACTTACACAGAATGGGTATTATGGCTTGATCGATACTGCATTTTGATTTGGTGCTGATGGTGTCTGTGGTTTTACAGGGCTTCTTATTATGACACCATTTTCATTGAAATGAGAAACAATTTTTTCTTCTGAGGTTTCTCAGGAAACATTTTCCCTGAGAGAAAAGCTAGTTGAATAATATTTTAAATTAGAAGATGAAGAAAAGGCTGCCAGGAACATTTTTTTTCCCTGAACAGAAATAAAGGCAGGGAGCTGGGCACGGTTCTTTGTGCCTGTAATCCCAGCTACTCGGGAGGATCACTTGACCCCAGGAGTTCAAGACTGCAGTGAGCTATAATTATAACACTGCACTCCAGCCTGGGCGGCAGAATGAGACTCTGTCTCTTAAAAAATAAGTAAAATAAAATAAAATAAAATAAGACATAAAGGCAGTATTGCATAGTCGTTAAGGACACAAATCATAGAGCCAGACTACAGAGCTTAAAATCCCCGCTGTAGGCCAGGTGTGGTGGCTCACGCCTGTAATCCCAGCACTTTGGGAGGCCAAGGCAGGCAGATCACCTGAGGTCAGGAGTTTGAGACCAGCCTGACCAACATAGCGAAACCCCATCTCTACTAAAAATATAAAAATTAGCCGGGCATGGTGGCAAGCACCTGTAGTCTCAGCTACCTGGGAGGCTGAAGCAGGAGAATCACTTGAACCCAGGAAGCAGAGGTTGCGGTGAGCCAAGATCATGCCACTGCACTCCAGTCTGACTCTGTCTCAAAAACAAACAAAAACAAAAAAACAAACAACAAAAACAAAAAACAAAAACATAAAATCCCAGCTTTGCTGCTTGCAAACTCTGTGATCTTGGACATATTATTTAACTTTTGTAAACTTTAGTTTTTCTTCTCTGTAAAAGGGAACAATGGTACCTAACTCAAGGGGTTGTCATGAGAATCAAGTGAATATATAAAGCACTGAGAACAGTACCTGGCACAATCTATTATCAAGTTCAAATATGGTCCTTACATACTCACTTCTCAGATTACTTTGCTGAGTTAGTTCCTTTCTGATGAATAAGAGGGTCCATTAATATTACAAGATTGCTGTTGAGCCATCTATTTTTTCCTTTCTTCTTACATATTTATCATCTTACCTGCTTCTATCAATAACCAGGAAAGAGATGGGGATACAGCTTGGCGATCAACATCTCAGGAGCAGAAGTTGGACCTGCATTCTGCTTTCACCCTAATTCCAATCTTAGCTCTTCTGCTTCTGCTTTATGACCAGATTATTCCATGGACAGACAGTTTCAGTTGTCAGAAAGAGTTCCTGTTGTTGAGCTAAAGTCTTAGTTTAAGATAAAGTATTGTTTAGCCCTAAAGAATATCAGGAATTTTAAATGTCGTGTATGAATTCTTATCCCAGGAAACCATGGAAGATTGAAATTACACCTCTCACTTATTCATACATGTAGCATAGCAAATGAACCTGTGAGTTAAATTTGTTTTAATAAGCACTTCTAAGAAAATATGCTATTTTTGCCATGTGCAATAATCAGCAATTGACTAAAAGCTGCCACTCGTTAGTATTCCAAAACTCTAGTCCTTATACAAATGATCTTGGTTACACTCTACTGAGCATTCTATAACCCTTAGGAGTGTATGATAGAACTAGAATGAAATGTCTCAGACCCAGAACAGAGACCATTTGCCTCATTATGGGAGAGAATAGCCATGTGGTGATCCACAGTGATTAATCAATGAGGAAGCAAGCCTAGAGACCCCTCTAACTTCAATCTTCAGTTTTCTTTGTAGCTTGAGCTTCCTCTGTTTTGTTTCATTCAGAATCCCTGAGACACTGCAAAAAAATAAGTCTTGAAATATCTGCAGTGTGACTCACTCCATTTTATCATAATTCTGCTGTGTGTATGTGTGTGTGTGTATGTGTGTGTTTTAAAGGGAATGTAAAAAAGGGTTTATAAATCTTAGCTGGTCTCCGCCCCCAGCTAGTAAGCCTGTGAAATATCAGCATAAAACATAGGGGAAATCAAACCATCTTATGGGAGATCAACAAAGGAGGAGAGAAGCCCTTTGATCTATATAGTAATCACTCTCTTCATTCTTTAAGAGTATGCAGCAGGGCATGGTAATGTAATAAAAACAGTCCTTTATTTGCTAGATTCAGGAGCACCCACCCTTTTGAAAATGGCAGGTGAGATATTTGAAAATCGCAAAATGCATGATGACTTCAATGTAACCCGTACCTTAAGCTTGAAAATTTCGCAAAGCCAGTATTGTGTGTTCTATAAAGAAAAATCAAATGTCACATATGAGTTCTGCTTTAAACGCCCATGAAGCCCACTCTCTGTTATTTCCATTTTAAATTACTGTGCTAATTTTCAGGTACAGGCCAGGTGCGGTGGCTCACACCTGTAATCCCAGCATTTTGGGAGGCCAAGCCAGGCAGATCACTTGAGACCAGGAGTTTGAGATCGGCTTGGCCAACATGGCAAAACCCCGTCTTTACTAAAAATACAAAAATTAGCCGGGTGTGGTGGCACATACTTGTAATCCCAGCTGCTCAGGAGGCTGAGGCATGAGAATCACTTCAAACCAGGAGGCAGAGGTTGCAGTGAGCCGAGATCGTGCCATTGCACTCCAGCCTGGGCAACAGAGCAAGACTCTGTCTCAACAACAACAACAACAACAACAAAAACAAACACAAAAACACACATCAAAAAAACTTTCAGGTACATAAACTTATTTTGTTGTAAGAAAAATGAAAGTATTCTTTTTTTTTTTTTGAGATGGAGTCTCACTCTGTTGCCCAGGCTGGAGTGCAGTGGCTCTATCTCTGCTCACTACAAGTTCCGCCTCCTGGGTTCATGCCATTCTCCTGCCTCAGCCTCCCAAGTAGCTGGGACTACAGGTGCCTGCCACCACGCCTGGCTTATTTTTTGTATTTTTAGTAGAGATGGGTTTTCACCGTGTTAGACAGGATGGTCTCGACCTCCTGACCTTGTGATCTGCCCGCCTCGGCCACCCAAAGTGCTGGGATTACAGGCGTAAGCCACCATGCCCGGCCAAAAAAATAAAAGTATTCCTACAATTTAGGTGTTTTTCAGGAACTTAGAGACATCTGATGATATAATAATAAAAATAATATTAGTTGAAATTTAGTGATGGTACTTATAAGTAAGCAACATTTCCAGCTCTGCGTGCGTGTGTGTGTGTGTGTGTGTGTGTGTGTGTGTGTGTGTGTGTTTAAACCCATTTACATCCAGAGAGATTTCTGGCTTTTTCTTTGGGCTCTGTTTTGAAATCAATACTCTTTTTTTTCGTTTTTTTTTTTTTTTTTTGAGACGGAGTTTTGCTCTTGTTGCCCAGGCTGGAGTGCAATGGCATGATCTTGGCTCACTGCAACTTCCGCCTTCTGGGTTCAAGTGATTCTCCTGCCTCAGCCTCCCAAGTAGGTGGGATTACAGGTGTCCCCCACCATGCCTGGCTAATATTTTTATATTTCTAGTAGAGATGGGGTTTCACCATGTTGGCCAGGCTGATCTTGAACCCCTGACCTCAGGTGATCCACCCGCTTTGGCCTCCGAAAGCGCTGGGATTACAGGCATAAGCCACCACGCCTAGCTGAAATCAATACTCTTATTAGATCTGGTTTATGTTTTCCTAATGGGATTCCTTCTAACGGGGATTGACCCAGGGTGGCTATACACAGTGGTCTCAGCTGGAGCAGAAAGTGTATGAGACGTTCATGATTATATTTTTCTGATAGTTCCATAAATTTCCTACCAGTGGGTTTGTTTTTTGTTTCGTTTTTTTGAGATGGAGTCTTGCTCTGTCACCAGGCTGGAGTGCAGTGGCCCGATCTTGGCTCACTGCAACCTCCGCCTCCTGGGTTCAAGCGATTCTCCTGTCTCAGCCTCACAAGTAGCTGTGACTGCAGGCGTGCGCCACCATACCCAGCTAATTTTTGTATTTTTAGTAGAGACAGGGTTTCACCATGTTGGCCAGGATGGTCTCTATCTCTTGACCTCGTGATCTGCCTACCTTGGCCTCCCAAAGTGCTGGGATTACAGGCGTGAGCCACCATGCCTGGCCAAATTTCCTACCAGCGGGTTTTTAAAATTGAGGTGAAATTTATATAACATAAAATCAATCATTTTAAAGTGAATGATTCAGTGGCACTTAGTGCATTCACAATGTTGTGCTGCCACCACCTCTATCTAGTTCCACAACATCTTCATCACACCAAAATAAAACCCCATATCCGATGAATAGTCATGCCCCATTGCCCCCTCTCTCCAGCCCTGGCAACTTTTTTTTTTTTTTGAGACTGTGTTTTGCTCTAGTTGCCCAGGCTGGAGTGCAACGGCACCATCTCAGCTCACTGCAACCTCCGCCTCCCGGGTTCAAGCGATTTTCCCACCTCAGCCTCTTTAGTAGCTGGGATTACAGCTGCCTGCCACCACATCTGGCTAATTTTGTATTTTTAGTAGAGATGGGGTTCCACCATGTTGGCCAGGCTGCTCTCGAACTCCTGACCTCAGGTGATCCACCCGCCTCGGCCTCCCAAAATTCTCGGATTACAGGCGTGAGGCACTGCGCCCAGCCAAGCCTTGGCAACTTTCAGTCTGCTTTTTGTTGCAGGTTTGTATTTTGTTTTTTGAGACACGGTCTCACTCTATCACCCAGGCTGGAGTGCAGTGGCACTATCATGGCTCACTGCAGCCTCGACCTCCTGGGCTCAAGCAATCCTCCCACCTCAGCCTCCCAAGTAGCTGGAACTACAGGTGTGCACCACCACGCCCAGGTCATTCTTGTATTTTTTGTAGAGAGAGGGTTTTACCATGTTGCCCAGGCTGGTCTTGAACTCCTGAAGTCACGTGGTCCACCCGCCTCAGACTCCCAAAGTGCTGGGATTACAGGTGTGAGCCACCACACTTGGCCCCAGTTGATTTTTAAATACTCTTTTTTTTTTTTTTGAGACACAGTTTCACTCTTTCACCCAGGCTGGAGTGAAGTGGTGCGATCTCAGCTAGCTGCAACCTCCACCCCCTGGGTTCAAGCAATTCTCCTCTCTCAGCCTCCCGAGTAGCTGGGATTACAGGTACGTGCCACCACATCTGGCTAGTTTTTGTATTTTTAGTAGAAATGGAGTTTCACCATGTTGGCCAGGCTGGCCCTGAACTCTTGACCTCAAGTGATTCACCTGCCTCAGCCTCCCAAAGTGCCAGGATTACGGGCGTGAACCACCGCGTATGACCTTAAATACATTTTAAAAGCTATTTCATGTTTGTCCTTAGAGCCATTAATGGTGGCACTGGTCCTCTGTTCGAGTTCACAAGTAAGTTCTAGAAGTTTATCCCCACAATTATTTGTGACTTACATTAACTCTGGAGCTAAACTTTGGGCTGTAGCCTCCAGACAGTTGTTCAGATTTTGCCTTGATAGCCAAGGCGGTAGAATGAATTCTAAGTGCCCTGGATTGACCACCTCTTGTAGAATTGTCCCTTCTGTAATACGCCCTCATTTTCTGGCCCCTTGATGGGAAGCTACAGAATTCCTTTGCTAAATTATAAGAAAGCCCACCCCACCTCCCTTTTTTTTTTTTTTTAATAGAAAACGAGTACCCAAGTCTATGTAATTTTTGGCAGAAGCAGAGGTGATTTGTGGTTGCCTGGGCCCAAAGTCCAGTTTTGAGATACCACCACCTCCTGGCAATGCAGGAAGGCAGCGGCTGAGGAAGTCTGCGAGTGCAGCAGTTTGCCTGGAGGATTTGGTGTTGCAAAAGTTTTCTGGGACAGAGAAACCTTAAGTAAAACATGGTGAGAAAGAGGTGGAACAAGATAAAAAGAAAGACTTCTACTCCCTTCAGCAAGGGGATTTATGTAGAAAGGAAACATAAGGGCCAGGTGTGGTGGCTCCCGCCTGTAATCCCAGTACTTTGGGAGGCCGAGGCGGGTGGATCATTTGAGGTCAGGAGGTCGAGACCAGCCTGGCCAACATGATGAAACCCCGTCTCCACTGAAAATACAAAAATTAGCTGGGCGTGGTGGCACACACCTGTAGTTCCAGCTACATGGGAGGCTGAGGAAGGAGAATCGCTTGAACCCAGGAGGTGGAGGTTGCAGTGAGCCGAAATCATGCCACTGCACTCCAGCCTGAACAACAGAGCAAGACTCCATCTCATTAAAAAAAAAAAAAAAAAAAAGGGAAGAAAAGCAAGTATTGTAGAGTCAGACAGAAGACAAGGGTCCAAAGCTCAGCTCTGCCACTTCCTGTGTGATATCAGACCAGGGTATTAACCTTGTTATTCTGAGGTTCTACTTCTTCATTTGTAAAATGGGGATACAAATACTATACCTAACGAGTAGTTGTGAGGTTTATACAATTCTGTTTACTAGCTCATATAGTGTCTGACACATAGTAAATAGGTACTGAATAAAGTTTAGCTATTATGAAGTCTCTGGATGCAGGGGATATAATTGTCTAATGAATCTGAAAGTCATATGGGATATCATTAGCACATGCTGCAGGAAGGCTTTCCCCTCATCTCTTGGATTCATTTTGTTGTCTTGTTTAGGTAACAGTTGATGTCACTTGCTTTCCTTCTCTTGACCTCTCTGCTTTGATTCTGAACATTTTCCATGTTATCTATTATTCTGAATTAATCATTTTTCAACTCTGTAAGTTACTCTTCTTTTTTTTGAGATAGGGTCTCACTCTGTTGCCCAAGCTGGAGTGCAGTGGCGTGATCTCAACTCACTGCAGCATCCACCTCCCGGGCTGAAGTGATCCTCCCACCTCAGCTCCCCAGTAGCTGGGACTACAGGAGCCACCACAGTTGGCTAATTTTTGTATTTTTTTGAGAGATGAGGTCTCCCTATGTTGCCCAGGCTGGTCTCGAACTCCTGGGATCAGGCCATCTGCCCCACCACCCCCACCTTGGCCTCCCAAAGTGTTGGGATTCCAGGCATGAGCCACCACGCTTGGCCAATATCTTTCTTCTATAAATAAGTTCATGGCAATTAAGGTGGCTCACTAAAAAGAGAAGATACAAATCAGTCAGAGCCAGACTGACTCTGAACCCAAACAGTGCTTCTCTCAGTGAAAGGGCAGGAACCACAGAACACGAATTATGTTGGTGAGATTCGTGTGACTTTTAATTTATTATGTTACTAATGTCTTACAGTAAGTGTGAGGAGTAAAGACAGGGATGGGGTAAAGGTAAGGAAAAGTATTTTTCAAGTTCCTTGAACTATTGAAGCATGTGCTAGGATAAGAAAGTTCAGTAAAAGCATCATGTCCTTATCACCAGAGCTCTTAAAGGAGACATGGAACAGAGACGGGGCAACTCTTCAGCTCTGGCCGAAGTGACTGCTGGACAGAGAACAAATCCTGCATCAGCCTTGGCACACATGAAAGACTGGGCAATGCAGATGCTACACAGTTGGGCAGATGAAGAGCTGACTGTCCAGAATCTACTTCTAGCAAGCGAGTAGGCGCATGCACACCCCTTCTCTGGTCTGAGTGTCTCTTCCTCTCCGGCAGGACCCCACCAACTGTGCAGCCATGGGGTAAGTGTTAGGGAAGTCTTTTAGAAAAGAGAAAGATGTCTTTCTTATATATACGCTGGTAGTGTTGATTGACCAGAAGTGGTTTCTTTTACTTTGGGGCGGTAGCATTGTGTTCTGGTGACAAAATATCCTACACTTAGCACTCGTAAAAGGCATAGGAGAGTGAAAGCAACGCCTCTTTATGACCTAGGCTAGTGGGAAGGGGAATACGTGGATTCTAAGGGTAAGGGGATGAAAAAGCTAATTCTATATCACCACAAATGAACTGACACATAAATGACACCTTGGCTTTTTCCACTCATAGAAACACTCACTTCTTCTAGCTTACACTACTAAATCTAAGGTCGGCTTCATCACAGTTTGGGATATTTACTGTGCTTCTAAAGTAAAGGTGAAAAGCTACATCCTTAATAGTTTTTTTCCTAATTAAATAGATTTGTGTAAGCTGAAAGCCTAAAGTCTAGGGATTCTTTGCATTATTTTATATGTTGGGGGAAACCCTTAAAATTCATCACTGCCATTTTTTTAACCTACAGAATTGAAAGAATATGAAATGGGCAGGGATAAGTAATTACACGAATCATAGACATGGTCAACATGCATCTAATTTTACCCACTGAGCAGAGCGCGAATGGGGGTAAGTTCTTTTGAGAAGAACCAAAATGTGTTTAAAAGGGAAGAATACTACACTAGACTATTTTTTTCCTACATAGAAGAAAAGGATATATGGAATTGAAGGAGGTGAAAAGTGTCCATTAAACAAACACCTATTATTTGTGAAATAATTCTATCAGAGTGGAATTGGGTGTGGACCATTAGTTTATCTCTGGCAGTGATCTTATGTTTTAGGTATCTAGAGTAAGATTATTTAGCTGGGTAATGGCTGGGTAGCATGAATAGTTTTAATTTCAGTTCACAGCAAATGACGATGATCGCAGATTTAGCACCTTAGTTTGTACTTCCTCTGCACCTGAATCATCGATCACTGTGAAGCGTGAGCTGAAGGTCAGAAAGCTGTATTCTTAGATAACTCATCTGTGATTGCTCCAGGACTGCAGTTTACTTCAATCTAAGGGGTGGTTTTCTTATTAGAGAATGTAAGTATTCAATACTAAATATGAGACTGAAGCCTTGAAGACATTTTATAGTGGTGGCAGGTGTTATAGTTCAGGAATAGGCTGTTTAACAAGTCAAATGCATATCATTCCCTCTTAAGCATTAACTTTTTCAAAGCAATGGAATTATATTTTTTGGCTTGAAATGGTGGTTTCTTCTATATTTGATTTCTCGGTTTTCTTAGTAGATATTACTGTCTCCTCTAATATTTCTTCAAAACTTTCCCCTATCTGGGAGGTTTTCTTAGAGGCTACCTTAGATGCCTCCTCCTCCTCCTCCTCTTTCTTAAGTGATAGCCCAGTGGATGAGACTTTGGAGGTTGTAGCACTGAGGATTCTAGGTGGGAGCAGGTAACTTGGATTGGGAAGTGGATTCAGCCCCGAAATGCTTAACCCACTGGTGCTAAAACGTGTCTCCTCGCCTTCCAGCAGTTTCCTGTAAATTCAACAGAGAAAAACTCTTAGGAAGTCAATAACTTTTCCCCCCCAGAACTCAACCCTCCAATCCTGATTCATTTGAGAGAGATTCCAAAGGACTTTGGAGTTTCTTCATGAGATTGAAACCAATAAATATTTAATTTCAAAGCTCAAAGGGTTGGACCACGTGCATACGCATGCGCACACACACACCCCCCTTCAGCACCAGCTATGTTTAAAGCATTGTCAAAGGAAAACCTATCCTGTTCACAAATATATTCCAGGAGGAAAACCTGCAACTCCACTTGGCCACATCACACCCATTTTTGGCAATTAGCAACAAAGCTCTAGGGAGAAGTACTTTTCCTAAGTAACACCTTAGCTGCAATAGGGATAAGGAGGTGAGATGTCCACAAAGGTGGTAGAAACTGTCTTACTCAACCTGGATTTGAGATTTGTACTTTTTCAGTGTATACGGGTACAAAGGGAATAGAACCAGCAATAACAAAAACCAGTGAATGACACTGTTTCAGATAACAGATTTTTATCAGCGTGACGAAAACAGTCTTATAAAAGAGTGGCCCCAAACCATGTTTCTCATAACTCTTAATAGTTTTTAATTATCCTTTTTTTTTTTTTTTTTTTTTAGACAGAGTCTCACTGTCTCCCAGGCTGGAGTGCAGTGACATGATCACAGCTCACTGCAACCTCCACCTCCCAGGTTCAAGCGATTCTCTTGCCTCAGCCTCCAGAGTAGCTGGGACTGCAGGTGTGTGCCACCACGCCTGGCCAATTTTTGTGTTTTTAGTAGAGACTGGGTTTCACCATGTTGGCCAGGCTGGTCTTGAACTCCTGATCTCAAGTGATCCACCCACCTTGGCCTCCCAAAGTGCTGGGATTATAGGAGTGAGCTACTGCACTTGGCCCCAAACCCTATTTTTAAAGTTACGAGTCTCATGGGTTTTTATTTTAACCTCTGTGTACTCACATTATCCCCTTAAATCCTTTCAGAGGTACACAGAATACTCTGGGACTAGTCAGATGGAGCTGGATTATATCTAAGTAGAGGGACAGAGCAGTCAGCTCACCTGAAAGGGGCCAGTGATGCCCTTCTTCCCTCCCTCACCAGTCAGAAGCCAGAGAGACTAGATCCACTTATTTGGGCAGCATTGCCCCTAGGTGACTGGATTTACTCGGGTAAGCAGGTCCTTTGCAGTACCTGTAAGCTGCTATCTCAATGTCAAGAGCCATTTTGACATTGAGCAAGTCCTGGTATTCCCGAAGGTGGCGTGCCATCTCACTCTTGGTGTTCCTCAGATCATTCTCCAGCTGCCCAATGCTATCCTGAAAAGTAACATATCCAAAATAGTTAGGCCAAACCAGCTGAAATTCCTCAAGATTTCCAGAAGGCAAGGATTCCCAGCCCTGACTACACATTAAAATCATCTAATGAACTTATAACTTGCTTATATCCAGGTCTGTCCCTGAGTCCAGATCCAGATTCACTGGTTCTGGGGTGGGGTCCCAGCATTTGCATTTTTTTCATAAAGGTCCCCAGGAGATTTGGACTCATGGTGAGGACTGGGAACTTTTACCCAGAGGGCAAGTGAACACCTGCCCTTTTCAGGATAGCCACACGGCATATAGTTCTGAACTGAACATGGAGATGATTTTTTTTTTTTTTACACTTACCATCCCTCCCTTGCTTGTTGTGTTGCTGCTAAATAACTCTGTTGTAGCATGTGCTTTCCAAAACCCAAAGCCTCAGGTTAGCAGCTTAGATTCAGAAAATTCCGAATGTGGAAAGCACAGAGAGCTTTCCAGGAAGACCTCTCTGCCTCCATTCATTTTGATGATTTCCTAGAAGCCTGCTAATCAGTCACTTTACTGAGAGCATTTTACATTATAGGTAAGGAGAAAGCAGAAATACTCCACAGAATTTTTAAAACACCGAGGCATGGAAGAGAAATCGCTTTATATTTATATATTTATAGTCCTTGAGCAGCCAGAAGGAATTCTTTTTTTTTTTTTTTTTTTTTTTTTGAGACAAGGTCTTGCTCTGTTGCCTAGGCTGGAGTACAGTGGTGTGATCACAGCTCACTGCAGCCTCAAAATTCCTGGGCTCAAGCGATCTTCCTGTCTCAGCCTCCCAAGCAGTTGGGACTAACAGGTGTACACTACCATGCCTGGCTAGTTAAAAAAGATTTTTGTTTTGTAAAGATGAGGTCTCATTATGTTGTCCAGGCTGGTCTTGAACTCCTGGCCTCAAGAGACACTCCTGCCTTTACCTCCTAAAGTGCTTAGATTACATGTATGAGCCACCATGCCCAGCCTGGTCTTTTCTTTTACTCCTTAACTATACCAAGTTCATTGCTGTCCCAGGCCCTTCAGGCTTGTTATTTCCTCTATCTAAAATGCCGGTCTTTACATGGCCGACTCCTTGTCATAGAAGATTCAGTTCACCCGGGTGTGGTGGCTCACACCTGTAATCCTAGCACTTTGGGAGGCTGAGGCAGGCAGATCACCTGAGATCAGGAGTTCAAGACTAGCCTGGCTAACATGGCAAAACTCCGTCTCTACTAAAAATACAAAAATTAGCTGGGTGCAGTGGCATGCACCTGTAATCCCAGCTACTTGGGAGGCTGAGGCAGGAGAATCGCTTGAACCCAGGAGGGGGAGGTTGCAGTGAGACGAGATCGCGCCACTGCATTCCAGCTGGGCAACAAGAGCGAAACTCCATCTCAAAAAAAAAAAAAAAAAGATTCAGTTCAAATGTCCTCTCCTGCCAGGCATGATGGCTCATGCCTGTAATCCCAGCACTTTGGGAGGCTGAGGTAGGAGGATCACCTGGAGTCGGGAGTTCGAGACCAGCCAGACCAACAAGGAGAAACCCCGTCTCTACTAAAAGTACAAAAATTAGCTGTGTGCAGTGGCAAGCGCCTGTAATCCCACCTACTTGGGAGGCTGAGGCAGGAGAATCGCTTGAATCTGGAAGGCAGAGGTTGCAGTGAGCTGAGATCGTACCACCGCACTCCAGCTTGGGCAACAAGAGCAAAACTCTGTCTCAAAAAAGATTCAGTTCAAATGTCCTCTCCTGCCAGGCACGATGGCTCATGCCTGTAATCCCAGCACTTTGGGAGGCTGAGGCGGGAGGATCACCTGGGGTTGGGAGTTCGAGACCAGCCAGACCAATATGGAGAAACTCTGTCTCTACTAAAAATACAAAAATTAGCCGGGCGTGGTGGTGCATGCCTATAATCCCAGCTACTAGGGAGGCTGAAGCAGGAGAATTGTTTGAATCTGGGAGGCGGAGGTTGCAGTGAGCCGAGATCGTGCCATTGCACTCCAGCCTGGACAACAAGAATGAAACTCCATCTCAAAAAATAAAATAAAATAAAATAAAATAAAATATAATGTCCTCTCCTCAGACAGGTCTTCATTTGCATCCAATTTAAGTATCCATCCTCGACCAACCCAGCACTTTATTTTACCTTAAGCCAGAGCAGCTACTGGCCCATGCAGGAACCTTGTGCAAATTAGAAAAAAAGCACTCAGTTGAATGCAGCCACCCTGCTCTCAGCTCTTACCATTATATGAAATTATCTTCTTCTTTTTTTTTTTTTCCGAGATGGAGTCTTGCTCTGTTACCCAGGCTGGAGTGCAGTGGCGCAATCTCAGCTCACTGCAACCTCCACCACCTGGGTTCAAGTAATTCTCCTGCCTCAGCCTCCTGAGTAGCTGGGATTACAGGTGTGCACCACCACACCTGGCTAATTTTTGTATTTTTAGTAGAGATGGGGTTTCACCATGTTGGCCAGGCTGGTCTTGAACTCCTAACCTCGTGATCCGCCCGCCTCAGCCTCCCAAAGTGCTGGGATAACAGGCATGAGTCACAGTGTCCGGCCCCGGCAATTTACTGGTTTATACTAGTTTATTTTCTGTTGCTTTCCTCTATAACAGAGTTTTACAACTTTGGCAGTGTTGATGTTTTAGGCTGGCTAATTATTTGTTATTGTGAAATGCGGGATATTTAGTAACATCCCTGGCTAGATGCCAGAAGCACATACTTCCCTCTCCCAGTTGCGATAACAAGAAAACATCTCTAGGGCATCCCAGCACTTTGGGTAGCTGAGGCAGGCGAATCACTTGAGGCTGAGCTGAGAGAATTGCTCGAGCCCGGTAGGCGGAGGTTGAAGTGAGCTATGATGGCGCCACTGTGCTCCAGCCTGGGCGACACAGCAAGACCCCGTCTTAAAAAAAAAAAAAAAGACACAATGATTGGGGGTTATTTTTAAGAAACAGTCATGCAGGGCCGGGCATGGTGGCTCATGCCTGTAATCCCAGCACTTTGGGAGGCTGAGGCGGGTGGATCACCTGAGGTCAGGAGTTCAGGTCAATCAAGAGACTGAGACTATGCTGGCCAACATGGTGAAACTATGGTCTCTACTAAAAATACAAAAATTAGCTGGGCGTGGTGGCGTGTGCCTGTAATCCCAGCTACTCTGGAGGCTGAGGTAGGAGAATCACTTGAACCTGGGAGGCAGAGGTTGCAGTGAGCTGAGATCGTGCCATTGCACTCCAGCCTGGGCAACAAGAGCAAAACTCCATCTCAAAAAAAAAAAAAAAAAAAGAAACAGTGATGCAGATAAACATATCAGAAACCTCAAGAAAGTAAGTGTTGACAGGCCCTTGAAACTCCCCTTGTGTGAGAATGATAAAGCAATGGTGAAAGGTAGGGCTGAGACATCAGGGGGTACAAACTTCCAAATCAAGAGAATTTGCAGAATTAAAATTCATACCACCTACCTGTTCTATAAATATTGACAGGAATACTGCAAAGAGGAGTCTCAATTGACTGATGGGTACAGAACAAGGAATGACAGTCAGTAGGAAAAATACGTATTATACTGGACCGTGATGCATATATTTCAAAGTGTGTTAAGAGATCATGAGGCCTTAAAGAGATTTTTACCAAGAAATTTTACCTGATAGTTCCTATTTGAGGTTATAATCAATTCTGCTACTGACATAGAATCACTGACATAGACCCTCTAGCTACTGACAAGAGAATCAATATTACTGTGGTAAGAGGGAAAAGAGTCTAGAGTGAGGGAAAAAGGAGAAAGAAGAAAATATGATTATGCAAAGAAGGAGGAGGAATGCTATATGAAGATAAGAGGAGGATTTCATCAGGAACTTGGGTTGCAGTTTTTGCTCTGCCACTAACATCCATTGGACCTCAGCCAGTTTTCTACATTTTAGTTCCTTCCAATCTTCTACTTCTGCATACGGAAAGTTATGTTTACTCTTTTTCTAAGGTGTTCTGAGATCCTCAAATTAGGATTTCAATTTAATATATCTCACATATACATTAATATATGATGAGTCCATTATCTGTTAAATTAGTAGGCATCAGAACAGCATGGCACACAGGAAGAACTCAATAAATGTTAGTGATTTTTATTCTTGATAATATCATACCACATGGCCCTCTATCCTTTTGATGATATAGACAAATTAATCACAAGCCCTCACTATTACCAACCCCTTAGATAACTACGAAAAGTAACATATAACAACACTTTAATATTGGATAGTTGGAGGCATATACCTTAAAGCACCAGATTTTTTTTTTTAATAACAATTTTGAATAAAAAGCCTTTCTAAAGTGGCTTATACCACTCACAATCAGGACACTAAACATAATGCCACCTTCCACAGCAATTAAGGGTCATGATAATAATCAATTTTAAAAATAATTCGGTGACATCTTTTAGGTCATTCGAGGTATATCAGGCTGTTTAATTCTACCCTAAATGGCCCCAAAGTGCGGTGTTTGGATTAGTGTTGATGCTCATTGATTTTCTTTGTTCTGAAAGATGAACGGATCTGCTGCTGCTCATTCTTAACAATGCCTGACTCCAGTGGTCCCCATTCTCCATCTTGCTGCAGTCTTGAAACCAAATAAAAAAGCATTTTGAAATCGTGTTAAGAATGAATAGGCTGGGGGCAGTAGAGGTGCCAAGTTCCTAATGTTTGGCTTAGAGATAGATGATATGTCTCATCAGCAGGTTAATTAGGTCCTTGCTTAAAACATTATTTTTGTTTCACAGCTGTGTTTTCTGAATAAGAGGTGGTTGGGGAGCTGAGTTCTAGACAGATGAGATTTCCTTGAACTTCTATGTTGCAGATTTCATATATCTATTTTACAGATCACTGTAGAGAAAAGCACAACTTTGCTCCTTTCAGAAGGAAGTGTGCTGTGTTCTGACCATTGATTGCTCTTCAATGTCTGGTCTCTTTGTTTGTGCTCTCCTCCCCACATCAGGCTGTGTCTTGCATTGCCCTTCAGAAGCCCTGCCAAAGATGGCCTCCAGCTCGAGATCTGAGCAGAGCGCTGCAGTCTGTCCCCTCCCCCAACCACGCAGCTGCTGCCGGCTTAGCCTGAGGGAACCGGAGAGCGGCACGCCCAGCTCCAGCTGGGGTCTCTCCTGGAGGAGCTAAGACAAACGCTGAGCATCGTCTTAGCTCGTCTGAGCATCGCAGCCCGTGGCTGGAAGGATGCCGGGTGGAGTAAGAGAAATGAATGGCCACACTAACATCTGCAGTGGTGAAGAAGAACGACAGAGCTGTGGATTTCAGCACGTTTGGGGGCCCTGGGTCAGGGAGGCAGTAGTGAGTGCCCCACAGTCTGATTGAAAGAGGCTATTTAGAATTACTGCTCTGCATAATCAACTTGAGTGGGGACGGAGGATTTTTATTTGTGGTTCACCATGCGTGCTTTATTCTCACTCCTACCTTTCCTTTGTCCCCATCTTTTTCTTTCCTCCACCACACTCGAAAATCCTGTATTATACGTATCTCCGTAAACTACTTTACTGGAAGAAGTGGTTTAGATCAATGTACTCCAAAGTCAGTCTGAGGACCAACAGGATGCAGCACTTTTATTGAAAAATGCATATTCCCGGGCCCTACCTGTGAACTGCTGAATCCATATCTTTGGGAGTGGGCCTGATAATTTTTTTAAGCCCCCAATTGACCTTAGAGTGTCACTGGGTTTAGGATCCACTAGTTTAAATTTTTTTCTATAAAGATGCTATCATGGTAGCCCAGGTGACAGTAATACAGTAAGATAGGGAGGGGCAAACAAAACAAAATGAAACAAAAACCAGGTGGAAGAGCTTAAAAAAGATCAAATGTAGCTAATTTTAGAAATGGATCTATCAAGCTATGGATTTATATGCAGCCACTGTCACCTCCAGTCTCCAAGGGGCCAGCCCCTTCCTGCTATTTAATTAGGCTGTACTCCAATCTCATAATGGAGAAAAAAGAGAAGACTTGGCTTGTCTCCCTGGAGAGCATTAACCTGCGGTGATCTTGATCATTCAGCAAGGTCTTTCAAGGAAAGCTTCAACTTTCCAAGACTGACCACAGTAGAGGTCTGAGACCCTGAGTACCCTCCAAGAATGTCTTTGGACATCTTTAACAGAACTAGGACTCTAATGGTGCCGAAGTGGCTATGTAGGCACCAGCATTGCCCTATGTCAGAAATGGAAACCCCATCAGCTTTTTATGCAGAGGGGAGTTGCATTTGGCTTTTGAAGACAATAGCCTTAGCTCTTCCTAATCTCTTCTCTTGCCTGATTCAGACTCTCTCATCCACTATTGTGTACTTACTGTGTCACCGTGAATCATTTTTTACCCTTTCAAAAGTGTAAGAAGCTTTCTCTCCTTAAATAGGCTATCAGCTATCTGGGGCAGAGAAGATGGGACTTTAATGGGGCCTTCCTATGTTTCATAGAGGGTGCCAAGTTTGAAAAGAAAAATGGCCCTACCACTAATCTCTGTAGCAGAAGAAGGAGAACAGCCTCCCATTACTGCAGTGAAAGGTGGGGATGAGATGAGAGGGCAAGAAAACAATGGCTAAATCTCACTGTAGAAAGGGAGGCTTTTCACCTTGGTCAGCACTGCTAAGATTGTTAGAACAGTCAGAGACACCCTTGTGGCATCAGGCCGTTAGGATCTGCAGGTAAGACTTGAGCTCCACCTTAGCCTTAGGTCCCAAGGAGTAGGGAACCAGCTCTCTGTTGTCTGACCTCCTCTTCCACTCCCATCAGCAGGTCCTCTGTGGCTCTAAAGGCTCAAGCTGATGGGGGCAGCACCGCAGAGCTGCAGATGCTGCAGTTTCTCTGTTGTTGTTTTTTGTTTGTTTCCTGTAGACCATGTCTGGATGACGCTACCATTGTCTAATGATGAAAGCCTTTTACAGCAAACAAGCCAGGCAAAACTGTCACTACTTCTTAGAATGTATGGGCTATAACAAGCAGAGAAAATGGAGAAGCCCAATTCAGCTGGCAGCTCTGAGTAAGTTATCCTTTTTTTGTAGAAATACTGGGCTAGCCCTCCAGAAGACCACCTAGCTCGTACTTGGAGGCTTCTAGAAGAAAAAAATGAAGTCTCAATTAGCCAAATGTGATTAATTCAGGCCATCCAGGGGTTAGGGTACATAATGAAAAGTTCAAGTTATGGATTTTGAGGCAGAAATGGAAGTACTTATTTGAATGATAATGCAATACCAAACTAACCTAAACAGTCCAAGCAGGCTTTTTTCCTTTATCAAAGGAAGTTATTGTAACAAACAGCAAATACCTGCACATCAATAAGAATTCTTTAGCTTCTGATTAAAATGTTACTTTTGAGATTTCATTCCTTTCTTGGTTCTATTTTACCAATGTTCCAAGCCCTATTAATCTCACCAAATGTAAACTTTAATCCTAGCTAGAATTATTGCAAGTTTCTGAATTATAGTCATTCTATTCAAAGGAGCTTTTATTGTACCTTGAAACCGAACCACACTATTCCAATTCTTTTCTACACCTTCCATTTACCCTGTCCCCTGCCTCTGTGCCATTTGCGGTCATAATCCCAGAATTTCTTATATAGTAAAACTGAAGACACAGTGGCCTTTGTTGGGAAGAAATAGCCAATCAATACCATCACAGGAGCTTAGAGGACAGGGAAATATGGAAAAAATACATACACTAGAACAAAGAAAAACCATCTCTGTGACTTATCACATGCACTTACAATGAAAAAAATACTAACAAAACAGGAATTTTCAAGTGGGACCTCACAGCTGCTGAGCAAATTAAGTGTTTTTTGTTTAGTGCTAAGCCATCCATGAAAGCCAAAACTGATGTTGTCTATGAGGTGACCTTTGATTGCAGGTAGCCAAGACTGATGTGTTGGTGTTGCAGGAAAAAAAAAATCAAAGCAGTTAATTGCCTAGAGATTCATAACTGGGACACGAGACAGGAGAGACATAATTTCTGAGATGGGAAGAACTCGAGATCAGCACCGTGGACAGCGCCCCGACCTTTCACGTTTTGCCAACCGGCGAACGCTTTCTTAAGGAGGAAATGTCAGCTGGTGGACAAGGGAATCGTGTGTGTGTGTGTGTGTGTGTGTGTGTGTGCTGGTGGACAAGGGAATCGTGTGTGTGTGTGTGTTGGGGAGGTGGGTAGAGCAGGGTGGTTACTACTAGCTCAAGCATCGCTCAGCTTGTTGGCTCCCAATCTCTACTTTTTGGAGCGCGAAAGTCAAGAAAATGGGATAGGACTCTTCCCAGTTCAGGATCGCATTCTTCCTTCAGCCCTGAAGCAGACCATACTCCATAAATAACTTCTAGGGCGCACAGAAAGCTTTTCAAAGTCAACCAAACAAGCCAGATAGCCGAGACAGCACCGCCCACGTAACCTGCCCCGTTGGGCTCAGTCTTACTTTGGGTGGGGCACTGTTCTCCGGGTCGCCGGTGTGTGTAGGCCCGCTTGCTGACAGACAGGCAGAGTTGGGTTTTCGAACCTCAAATAAATTTAAGGGCTTCTTTGTTTGAAGGGCTGGGGCAGGGACATAAATGAGGGGCGTTCCCTAAAATTAACATTAAAGACTCCAGGGTTTTTTGTTAACCAGCGCCTCCAGCCGCGGCTCTTCTCTCCTCTCTTTTGCCCTCCCCTTAAGTCCTGGGGCCCAGTTTTACCAGAGGAAGAGGGTACGCGCGGAAGAGGGCAGGGCACCCCTCCCCACGCCCAGCCCCGGCCCTTACCTGGTAGCCAGCTACCTCGGCACTGTGCCGCTCCTCCAGCTCCAGGATCTGCCTCTCCAAGGACTCGTTGGCCCCGCGCAGGCCCTCGATCTCGATGGTGCGCGCCTGCAGCTGGCGCCGATACTCGTGGATCTCCTCGCGGCTGGCCCGGATGGCCTCGGTGCTGCGCGCCGCCTGCTCGTTCAGGTTGGCAAACTTGGACTTGTACCATTCTTCCGCGGACTGCAGGTTCTTAGCGGCCAGGGACTCATACTGGGCGCGGATCTCCCTCAGAGCCGAGGTCAGGTCTGGTTTAGCCACAGTCACGTCCACCTCGGCCGCGGCCTGCGACGACGCCTGCAGCGTGGCCAGCAGCTCGGCTACCTCCTCGTCGTGCACCTGGCGTACGAAGGCCAGCTCGTCCAGCAGCGACTCCACCTTCTTCTCCAGGTCCAGGCGGGCCAGCGTGGCGCCGTCCACGTCGCGCTGCTGCGCCTTCAGGGCGCGCTCGGCGCCTTCGCGTCCGCGGCTCTCCTCCTCGCAGCGCGCCCGCAGCCGCTGCACCTCCTCCGCCAGCCCGTCGCGCTCCAGCAGGGCCTGCGAGCGAGCCGAGCTGGCCTCCTCCAGCTGCGCGCGCAGGTCGCGCAGCTCGCGCTGGAAGAGCTCGCCGACGCGCGACGGCTCAGCGTGGCGCTGTCGCAGCGCGGCCAGCTCGGCCTCCAACGCGCGGTTCTGCGTCTCCAGCTGATGCACCTTCTCGATGAACACGGCGAAGCGGTCGTTGAGGCCCTGCAGCTGCTCCTTCTCGTTGGTGCGGATGATCTTGTACTCGTTGGTGCGCGCCGCCGCCTGGCTCAGGTCCAGCCCGTCGGACGCCGGCGGCCGGCGATAGGCCAGGCCGAGGCCGAGCGACGAGGCCGAGGAGCAGGCGGCCGAGGAGGCCACATTGCTGCGGGACAGCGACTGCGAGCGGAAGCCGCCCGCGCCGCCGGCCCCAGAGAGGCGGGCGGACAGGCGAGAGCCATCCCCGAACACCTTGCGGTAGGAGGAGGAGGAGCACAGGTAGTGCTCCGAGCCGAAGCTCATGGTGCCGGGATCGGGGCCGGACGTGCGGCTTCAACGCGAGCTACAGAAGAAAGGAGAGGTGCGGCAGGCAGGGCGCGGCGGGGCGGTGCGCCCGGCTTTTAAGGCGCCGGGGCTGGGGCGGCGCGCTGGGGGCGGAGCTCCTGCTCAGAGTCTGGCCGGGAGAGGGAAGGGGGGCATCCAGGAGTGGGGGCGGGGAGGCGCAGTGACTACCGCAGCTGCGCGCGCGACGACCTGGGGCGCCGGGACAGGGCCATCTGCATCGGAGTCGCCCCTTTCCGCAGCGCTTCTCCCCAAGAATCGACTGCTTCGGAAGTGACTCGAGCGGAGGGGTGCCTAAACGACTGAGGTTTCCCATCCGGAAACCACACAGCTCTGTCGCATCCCTTGACCCTATCCCCTCTTCTTTAACCGACTGGGAGGTTAGGGGTTTCTGGGAGGTGTCCCCTACACCCACCCTCATCCTGAGGTGAGGCGCACAGAAAGCCTTCCCGAGGGCGAGGTCGTGTTTTTCCAGTTACAGTGAGGACCTGCAGAGCGAGCCCTTGTCCCCTTCCTCAGGGTCCCCAAGGAGAAAGGTGGGAGATGCTACGTCAGAAAGCATCTCTCCAGCTGCCCCTCTGCAGCTCCTGGGGAGGCTCCGGGCGGAAAGATGTTCAGCAAGTGCCTCTCCCAGAAGAGAGGGGAGATCAGTAAAGAAAGTGACCCCGAGCTGCGGAGAGTGGGGAGAAGCGGCGGTACAGAGGGGAAAAGAGGCCAGACTTGGAGAAGCAGGAGGCGCTGGGAATTGCTGGGGCTCATCGTTAGGGCACTAAAGCATGGCACAGGCCAGGACCACAAGCTGCTGGAAAGGGGGCTGCAGACTTTTGTGTTTAGAGCATTATATTTTAAAATATTTCGAAAGGAGCATTTTTAAACCAGGAGATTTCACCTGTAAAGAAATTGGATTTCTGGCTTCTTCTGAAAATGGGAAGAGCTGGGATGCCCACAGTGGCAGAGGTGAGTTGCCCTTGCCATTTGTATAAGAAGTGTGCTCTCCTGTTCACTACAGTCCCTGCCATTCTCCACTGAATTACGCCCCCCTTCTTAATTCATTTACTTTACCTCTCTGACCCTGTGGGCATTTGAGATTTCAGTTTGTGTAAATCCAGCAGGGCAGGTTCTCAACTGGCTTCAGAGAGCCACTCCCTGTGCAGATCTCTTTTTGGAGAAAAGAGATCCCTGCAAAAAGATTAAACTCCAGGAGTGGGGGAGAGTGCTGGTGACTGAGCCGGCCTCTTCTGCCACATGGTAGGGTTGGTGGGGCAGGGGGTGAGAATCAAAGAATGGAATCTGAAAAGATGAAGGCTGGGAGGGGTCAGTGTGGCGTCTGTAATATGTACCCACTTGCAAGCTTCTAATATCATTCAGGATGTGGATATGGCTTTGGAGAGGGAGTAGGAAGACCTTTTTAGTTATATCCCAGAATTCCAGACTGAGGGCCTTTTATTGATATTGGAATCTTCAAGGACGTAGTTCTAGGATAAGTTTTACTTCATGGGGAAAGGGGAATATGCTTGGGACAGGCCACTAAAGGAAGGGTGAAAAGGGATCTTATGGGACTTTGGAGCATATCTCTTGGCTTTGTGCTTGATGTCATGGAAGATGGTCAGGCCCTGCCACAGCCTGCCCCTCTGGTTCCTCATCACAGACCAAAGCCTTGAGTTGGAGGGACTCAATTCTGAGGTCTTTGGGCTTAGAAAGACCTGGTAAGGTGAACAATAAAAGATTGCTAACACTGCTGAGTAATGATTGTCTGCCAGTACTTGTGCTGGCACTTTTGCATAGGTTTACCTCTGAACCATGCTTCAAGGTGGCCCTCACCTCCATCTTATAGATAAGGCACCGAGGTGCGGGTGCAGCACAAGGTCACCAGCAAGCAAAGACAAGCATACATTCTCTCTTCACTACATAATTCTGCTTAGTGCAGTGAGACTCTTTTTTTTTTTTTTTTTTTTCTGAGACGGAGTTGGCCGGGTGCAGTGGCTCACACCTGTAATCCCAGCACTTTGGGAGGCCGAGATGGGCGGATCACTTGAGGTGAGGAGTTTGAGACCAGCCTGACCAACATGGTGAAACCCTGTCTCTATTAAAAATATAAAAATGAGCCGGGTGTGGTGGCACGGGCCTGTAATCCCAGCTCCTCAGGAGGCTGAGGCAGGAGAATTGCTTGAACTCGGGAGGTGGAGGTTTTAGTGAGCCGAAATCATGCGACTGCACTCCAGCCTGGGTGACAGAGCGAGACTCCATCAAAAAAAAAAAAAAAAAGAGAGACGGAGTTGCGCTCTTCTTGCCCAGGCTGGAGGGCAGTAGCGTGATCTTGGCTCACCACAGGTCAGCGGGTAGGTGTCTGCCACAACATCTGGCTATTTTTTGTATTTTTTTTTTTTTTTGAGATGGAGTCTCGCTCTGTCGCCCAAGCCGGAATGCAGTGGCACAATCTCGGCTCACTGCAACCTTTGCCTCCTGGGTTCAAGCAGTTCTCTGCCTCAGGCTCCCGAGTAGCTGGGATTACAGGTGCCCACCACCACACCTGGCTAATTTTTGTATTTTTAGTAGAGATGGGGTTTCACCATGTTGGCCAGGCTGGTCTTGAACTCCTGACCTCGTGATCCACCTGCTTTGGCCTCCCGAAGTGCTGGGATTACAGGCATGAGCCACCACGCCTGGCCAATTTTTTGTATTTTTACTAGAGACGGGGTTTCATCATGTTTTCCAGGCTCGTCTTGAACTTGACCTCAGGTGATCCACCTGCCTTGGCCTCCCAAAGTGCAGGGATTACAGACGTCAGCCACTGCGCCCAGCCTGCAGTGAGACTCTTGAAGTCTTGTTAATTTCCATGCAGCACGGCCGGCTGCCGTGGCTCCTGCCTGTAATCTCAGCACTTTGGGAGGCCGAGGCGAGTGGATCACCTGAGGTCAGGAGTTCGAGACCAGCCTGACCAACATGGAGAAACCTGTCTCTACTAAAAATACAAAATTAGCTGAGGGTGGTGGCACATGCCTGTAATCCCAGCTACTCTGGAGGCCAAGGCAGAAGAATCACTTGAACCCGGGAGGCGGAGGTTGTGGTGAGCCAAGATCGCACCATTGCACTCCAGCCTGGGCAACAAGGGTGAAACTGTCTCAAAAAAACAAAATATTTCTGTGCAGCCAGAATAGGACTAAGTGGGCTTTGGAAGAGTTTTGGCTGATAACAAATCAGCATGCTGGTTTGTAATTGAAAGAACATTGGACTCAGAGTCAGAGGCAATGGGTTTGAATTGTGGCTTCTGCCACTTACTAAGCATGTAGGGATAACAACACCTACCTCCCAAGAGTCATGAAAGCTTGAGCTGATGCATGTGAAGGTGCTTTTAAGCTGTAGGTATAAAGAGTTATGGTCATCATCATCCTCTTTCAAATGAAAGGAACGGTTTCACATCCATCAGCAACAGGATATGAATTGGGTTTAGGGAGGGGATTGCAGGAAATAGTCCATCACACCCTTGCACAGGTCTCCAGGCTACTACTACTGAAAGTCAGCAAAATGTCCTGGTTGGAGTTCCGCTTTCTTTCCCTTCCCATCCTCCAGTGGAATCAGTACCCCAAAGGCAAAACACACATAGAACAGAAGAAAGTGAGGCAAAAGGCCTAAATATTTCAGCAGAGTGACAGTTGCCCTGGCAAAGATGCATTTTGCATTTTCTCAACAGCTTATCTGAGATTCCAAACTGGTATTCCCCTGTGGGACTTATGCCTCCTCTTTCTTGGCATCCCACCCCACAGGCCCAGATGTTTGGCTTTAATAATTTTAGCACAAAGCTATCCTGCGAAGGAGTGATCTTGGCTGAGCCTCAATCCATAACTCCTTCCAGCTGGCCAGGCCTCCTGAGGGAGTTCCCTGTGTGTGCCAGGGCTGTGTCTTCATCTTCCTCTGATGGCACACTCAGACACCACAGACACGTTGTCAGTCATCCCCAGTTCTCCCTAAGGCCACATTCTCCAGTCTCTCTGTGGCATTTGGCAGTGCTGACCACTCTCCTTGGTTTTAATGACTCAGTTCTTAGCCTTCCGCTCTTCCTTTGTAAACTCTTTTTTTAGGCCAGGCACCGTGACTCATGCCTGTAATCCCAGCACTTTGGGAGGCTGAGGTGGGAGGAGCACTTGAGCCCAGGAGTTTGAGACTAGCCTGGGCAACATGGCAAAACCCCATCTCTACCAAAAATACAAAAATTAGCTGAGTGTGGTGGTACATGCCTGTGGTCCCAGCTTCTCAGGAGGCTGAGGCAGGAGAATTGCTTGAACCCGGGAGGCAGAGGTTGCAGTGAGCAGAGATCGCGCCATTGCACTCCAGCCTGGGCAATAAGAGCGAAACTCTGTCTCAAAATAATAATAATAATAATAATAATAATAATAATAATAATAATATAATAATAATAAACAACTCTCTTTTTACGATATTAGATCTCCCAGAAGCAGGGAGGCTTATAAAGTTTTCTCCCTGAGAAATCTAGTTTTGCATCTAGCCAGGTGACCTCAAACACATTACTATTATTTGCTGAGCCGTAATTTCTTGAAATTGTCTGTGAAATTTCAATAAAACAATCCACCAGAGTGCTCTGCAAACCTGGCTGATCATTAGAATTACCTGAGAACTTAAATTTAGATTCCTGGGCTTTACCCATAACCCACTTAATCTAAGGGATTGAGATCCCTAGACCTACCTCTCGTGAAATGACTGTGCAGTTTAAATGAGATTATGTATACAAAGCAGACATCACAGTGCCTGCTGTGTGCATGTTCAGTAAATGGTAGCTGTTAGAAGTATCAACTTCTTTAATTAATTCATTCACCAAATAGTTACTGAATGTTTATGTCCAAGGCCCCTGGAGTAGGTGCCTTCTCCATAGGAATAAGGCAGATGTGGGCTCTGCCTCCATGGGAGTGGCATTCTAGTAGGAGAGACAGAGATTAAGCAGCTAATTACACCATTAATTGTTAATTACACTTATGACAAGTGCTCTGAAGGCAAGTACAAGTTGCTGTGGGGCATACAACTAAGGCCCTGACCTATGCCAATGAGTCCCAAACCCCTATTTCCAATTTCCACCTCCAAACACATATCTAACTGCCTGTTGGATATCTCCTCGTGAATGCTTGCTGGTCTTCAAATACCATAGATCTGAAAGTGAACTTATTATCTCCCTCTTCTCCTCCCCCCTCCCCTTGCTTCTTGATCTTCACTTTGTCCCACTCGTTCCTCTGCTTACACAGTTCCTTCTTCCTGGAATTTCACCCCCAGCCCTACTTCAACTGTTGAGATCCTTAAGGCTCAAATGCCGCCCCTCCTTGAAGCCTTCCTTGGTATCTCCAGTGGAAGGTGATCCATCCTTCCCTTGAACTCTCCTCCTCAAACCCATAGCCTTTGCAGCACTCACATGGCTCATAATGAACATAGTCTTCTACTGTAATTATTTGTATGCTTGTCTGAGTTGAAATGGGAGCTGTGTGCAGTAGTGCACACCTATAGGCCCAGCTACTTGGGCTGAGGCAGGAAGATCTCTTGAGCCCAGGAGTTCGAGGCTGTAGTGTACTATGATTGCACCTGTGAATAACCGCTGCACTCCAGCCTGGGCAACATAGTGAGACTCCATTTCTAAATATTAAAATAAATAAATAAATAGATGAATAGAACTGGAAGCTCCTTGAGCACAACTCATCTTCTACATCTATATATATCTCTCAGCACCTATCACAGTATTAAACACATGTGAGGTGAAAAAAGGGGTTGAAAATGCTTTCTCATATAACCACTTGGGAAAAGTCTTTGGCATGACACCAAGAGTGAGATTCATAAAAAAAAAAATGCTTTTAACTTCATCAAAATTAAAATCTTTTGCTCTGCAAAAGATCCTGTTAAGAAGATGAAGGCAGTCAGGCACCATGGCTCACGCCTGTAATCCCAGCACTTTGGGAGGCTGAGGCAGGCAGATCACGAGGTCAGGAGATCGAGACCATCCTGGCTAACACGGTGAAACTCCGTCTGTACTAAAAATACAAAAATTAGCCAGACGTGGTGGCGGGCGCCTGTAATCCCAGCCACTCGGGAGGCTGAGGCAGGAGAATGGCATGAACCCAGGAGGCAGAGCTTGCAGTGAGCCAAGATCGCGCCACTGCACTCCAGCCTGGGCAACAGAGCGAGACTGTGTCTCAAAAAAAAAAAAAAAAAAAGGAAGATGAAGGCTGGGCATGGTGGCTCAGCACTTTGGGAGGCCAAGGCAGGCAGATCACGAGGTCAGAAGTTCGAGACAAGCCTAGCCATCTCTACTAAAAAATTAGCTGAGCATGGTGGCACGTGCCTGTAGTCCCAGCTATTCGGGAGGCTGAGGCAGGAGAATTGCTTGAACCCGGCAGGCAGAGGTTGCAGTGAGCCGAGACTGTGCCATTGCACTCCAGCCTGGGCAACAGGCGACAGAGTGAGACTCCATCTCAAAAAAAAAAAAGAAGAAGATGAAAAGACAAGCCAAAAATATTTACAAATGACAACAAATGTATCCAGAATGTGTATCCAGAATTTGTAAAGAACTTTCTAGCCAGGCGTGGTGGCTCACGCCTGTAATCCCAGCACCTTGGGAGGCCAAGGTGGGTGGATCACTTGAGGTCAGGAGTTCAAGACCAGCCTGGCCAGCATGGTGAAACCCCGTCTCTACTAAAAATACAAAAAAATTAGCAGGGCCTGGTGGCATGCTCCTGTAATCCCAGCTACTAGGGAGGCTGAGGCATGAGAATCGCTTGAACCCAGGAGGCGGAGGTTGCAGTGAGCCGAGATCACGCCACTGCACTTCAGCCTGAGTGACAGAGCGAGATTCCATCTCAAAAAAAAAAAAAAAAAAAAAGAACTGTCTAAACATAACAGAAAGGAAATGAACATTCCAATTAGAAAATGGGCAAATGACTTGAATAGGCATTTTACCAGAGGGAATATACAAATGGCAAATAAGTAGATGAAAATATGTTCAACATAACTAGCCATCAGGAAATCAAATTCAAAGCACAATTATGTGACACTACATACCTACTAGAGTGGCTTAAACACAAAATACTGACAATACTAAGTGCTTACAAGGATGGAGAACAGCTGGATCTCTAATTTATTCCCGCCAGAAAAGCTGGTGGGGATGTAAAATGGTACACATACTCTGGAAAAACACTTTAGTAGTTTCTTATAAAGTTAATATACATTTGGCCAGGCACAGTGGCTCAAGCCATTACTGTAATCTTAGCACTTTGGGAGGCCAAGGTGGGCAGATGACCTGAGCTCAGGAGTTCAAGTCCAGCCTGGTCAACATGGTGAGACTCCATCTCTCTTAAAAATACAAAAATTTAGCCAATCATGGTGGTGTGCGCCTGTAATCTCAGCTACTCGGGAGGCTGAGGTGGGAGAATCACATGAATCTAGGAGGCAGAGGTTGCAGTGAGCTGGGATCGCACCACTGCACTCGAGCCTGGGCAGCAGACCGAGACTCTGCCTCCAAAATAAATAAATTAATGAATTAATTAAATAAATTAATATATATTTACCATGTGACTCAGCAATTTCACTCCTGAGTATTTCGCCCAGAAAAGGGAAAACCTATGTTCACACAAAAATGAGTACATGAAAGTTCATAGCAGCTTTCTATATGATGTACTAAAACAGGAGACAACCCACATGTCTTTCAGCAGGTGAATGGATAAACAAACTAAAATACATTCATACAATGGAATACTGTTCACCATTAGAAAGAATGAACTATTGACACATGAAACAACTTGGGTGAATTATAAGGGCATTTTGCTGAGTAAAAGCTAATCTCAAAATGTTACATATTACATGATTCCATTTATAAAACATTCTTGAAGCAAAGAAATCATAGTGATGGGGAAAAGATCAATGGTTGACAGCAATTAAGGTTGTAGGGTTGTGGGAGGATGTAACTATAAAGGGGCTAACAGGAGGAAATTTTTGTGGTAATGGAACATTTCTGCTACTCAAATCTGTACACATGATAAAAATTCAGAGGGTGGGAGAGAGAAGAGAGAAACCTAATGAAATCCAAATAAGGTCTCTAGTGAATTAAGGTGTTGTATCAATGTCATTTTCCTGGTTTTGATAATGTACTATAGTTATATAAGATGGTATCATAGGGGGGAGCTGGGTAAATTGTACATGGGAACTTTCTGTACTATTTTTGCAATTTTTTTATGTCTTAAACTATTTCAAAGTAAGACATATATAAAAATAGGCAAATGTTCTTAGGAGATACATACTGAAGTTTTAGGGTTGCGGTATCATAATTTATGTAACTTACTCTTAGATGATTTGGCAAAAATGCTGTCCACACATACCACACACACAAATGCACACAGAAGGGGGAGGTAAAACAAATGCGTCAAAAAGTTGACCATTGGTGAGTTTAGGTGAAAAATGTACAGTTGTTTATTGTATTAGCCTTGCAACTTCTCTAGGTTTAAAATTTCCAAATTAAAAATTCAGGAAAAAAAATTTTTTTTTTGAGACAGAATCTTGTTCTGTTGCCCAGGCTGGAGTGCAGTGGCACGATCTCGGCTCACTGCAGCCTCTGCCTCCCAAGTTCAAGCATTTCTCCTGCCTCAGCCTCACAAGAGTAGCTGGGTGTACAGGTGTGTACCACCAAGCCAGGCTAATTTTTCTTTTGTATTTTTCTTTTTTTGGGTGGAGTTTTGCCCTTGTTGCCCAGGCTGGAGTGCAATGGTATGATCTTGGCTCACTGTAACCTCTGCCTCCCAGGTTCAAGCGATTCTCCTGCCTCAGCCTCCCAAGTAGCTGGGATTACAGGTGCCCACCACCACGCCCAGCTAATTTTTGTAGTTTTAGTAGAGGTGGGGTTTTACCATGTTGGCCAGGCTGGTCTTGAACTCCAGAGCCTCCTAAAGTGCTGGGATTACAGGCATGAGCCACCGCTCCCAGTCTTTTTTTGGTGTTTTAGTAGAGACAAGGTTTCACCAGGTTGGCAAGGCTGATCTCGAACTCCTGACCTCAGGTGATCTGCCTGCTTCAGCCTCCCAAAGTGCTGGGATTACAGGCATGAGCCACTGTGCCCAGCTAAGAAGTTAGGAAAATTGGTTAATAGATACATAGATGAGAGAGAGAGAGAGAGAGCAAAAAGGAAAGTATCACTCAAATCTGGGCTTGAACCAGTGACCTTCAGTCTAACACTCTTTTAACTTGGGCTAACTGTAAAGACCTCTCCCCCTTCCTTCTTGCCCACCAATAGGAAAATCCTGCTTGTTTTGAAGTAACAGAAAAAGGTCAGAATTCACACTATGTTGGGAGTATTTTAAGTGCTACTCTGAGTCCTTGGTATTGCCATAGTCATCTCACACACATTTACTGAACCCTGGCTATATGCCAGCCGCTGGGATCCTAGAGATGAATATAGCTAGAAGTGACAAATGGTGTCATTTCTCTCAGATTAATTTAATTTTTAAAAATATGGAATTATATATAGTATGTAATGTGCTGCGACTTTATTTCTTCACTTCATAAATCATAAACATTTTTCCACATTAGTTATATACATCTATTTACTTCTTTTTACAGTTCAGTATAGCATTTACTTGTAAGGATGTGCCATAATATTCGTTTTTCTCTAATAAAAACACCACTCTTGATTTTTTTTCTTTGTCTTATGATTACCACAAGTGCATATGAGATTTTTACAAAAAGAAAGAAAAAAAACAAGGTAGACATGGTAGCTTACACCTGTAATCCCAACACTTTGGGAGGCCGAGGTGAGTGGATTTCTTTGAGCTCAGGAGTTCGAGACCAGCATGGGCAACATGGCAAAACCCCATTTCTACATAAAATATTAATACAAAAATTAGCCGAGTGTGGTGGCACGCGCCTGTAGTCCCAGCTACTCAGGAGGCTGAGGCTGGAGAATTGCTTGAGCCCAGGAAGCAGAGGTTGCAGTGAACCGAGATTGCACCACTGCACTCCAGCCTGGGCAGCACAGTGAGACTCTGTCTGAGAAAAAGAAAAAAGAAAAAAAAAAAAAAGAAAAGAAAAGAAAGAAAAGAAAAAAGAGAAAAGAAAAGAAAAATACATTGCCTGAGTGAAATCCAGCCTTCATCTCTACTTTGCCATAATCACACACACACACCTGCTGTGTGTCCAGCTGCATGCTTGGTACTTTTTATGTCTGTATGGTAAAAGACACGAGACATAGTCACACTCCCAAAAAATTACAATCAGTTGAAGAGGTTTGACTAACTTGAGATTTTAACTTAAGGACCAGGCAGTATGCACTTGATTACAGACCATACATTCTAAGTACTCAGAGGGAAACCTACCCTTTTTTTGTCTGATTTCAGACTATTTTTTCAGCTAGATTTCTTTAGCCTCTACGAAAATATATTGCATGAGCATATCATTAAGGAAGATGAGGGAGAATCATGCCCCAAACTTTCTAGAAGAAAGGGGAATGTTTTTAACAAAGAAACATGAAAGAACATGACATGAAGCTAAATCATACTCCTGTTTGTCCTTCATTTATAAAACCTCAACTGTTTCTATGTACATAGAAGATAAAAACAAACAATAGGCTGGGCGCAGTGGCTCACGCCTGTAATCCCAGCACTTTGGGAGGCCAAGGCGGGCAGATCACGAGGTCAAGACATCGAGACCATCCTGGCCAACATGGTGAAACCCAGTCTCTACTAAAA
Organism: Homo sapiens; assembly: GCF_000001405.40. Lineage (NCBI taxonomy): Eukaryota > Metazoa > Chordata > Mammalia > Primates > Hominidae > Homo > Homo sapiens. The sequence goes on along the minus strand of NC_000010.11, from coordinate 103,266,448 downwards.
ATACGAAAATAAACTGGGCATGGTGGTGCACGCCTGTAGTCCCAGCTACTCAGGCGGCTGAGGCAGGGAATTGCTTGAACCTGGGAGGCAGAGGTTGTGGTGAGCCAAGATCACGCCACTGCACTCCAGGCTGTTGACAGAGCGAGACTCCGTCTCCAAAAAAAAGGTTCTTTGGGTGGATTAGTTGATAGTAACAGTTCGTCCTATGTGGTTGTAGTTGTGCACACAAAATTGTGTTTGCACAGTTTTGCATTGCATTGTTTGATGTGCAGCGTTTGTTTTTCCATATTTTTGCTTAAGGAATTTGGGGTTTCTATGTTTTGGCTTTAGCAGTATCTCAGTGCTTAAGCCTATTTCTGTGTTCTCTTTCTCTCCCTATTTTTCTTTCTCCCTCTCTTTCTTTCCCCTTCCCAGAATGTTCTCTTTATTCACTTACTTCTAAGTCTGAGGCTAGGCTGAACCAGAGTTTCCAGAACCCCAGGATTAGGAGAAACAGGGACTTGCCTGTTCAGTTACACTTCAAGACCATGGACAGCTCCCCAGCCGTCCTGGTGTCGGCGCCTGCTTTATAGACTTCACCGATTCTGAGAATGGAAACGAATCTGAGAAACCATTTGGCCTACCTCCTCCTACCTTTTGCTGTTTCCCAGAGAAAGGATCCTAGTCGGCAAATAGTCCAGGATTATTAACTGCCTGGCTGGGGGGAGATACAAAGGACCTGGAGGGCGCCTTCACCCAGCGTTTCCTGCACTCAAATCTGCTAATGCTTGGAAAAATCCTTCAGTTCAACTCAGCAGACTTGTGTGGACCAAGCCTTTCCCTCCCTGGAGAGATAAGGCCTAAATACAGATACTGTCTCGGAGAGGGAACAAAGGAACTCTAGTTTAATAAGAAAATAATCCCTCCTAAAGGCTGTTCTCCACGGGAAATAGAGGAAGAGACAGCCCAGAGCATTGGGAGCCGAAAGGGCTGGAGAGGGAGTGGCGAAATGGAATGGAAGAGGGGCATTCAGGGACTTCTGGGGACTCTGAAGTCAGTCTTGGTGAGCTCCACACAGTTCACACCAGTGTGCCCTGAGCACACAGTCAAAGATATGCCTCACACTTTCCCAAAATGAGAATACAGAGGTCTCCCACTGTCTCCTCTTCCAAACTAATTTTTTTTCTTTTCTTTCTTTTTCTTTTCTTTTCTTTTCTTTTTTTTTTTTTTCTTGAGACAGGGTCCCGCTATGTCAACCAGGCTGGAATGCAGTGGTGCAAACATGGCTCAGTGAAGCCTCAACCTCCTGGGCTCAAGCGATCCTTCTGCCTCAGCCTCTCAAGGCAGCCTGAGACTGTAGGCACATGCCACCATGACCAAATAATTTTTTTTTTTTTTTTTTTTTTTTTTTTTTTTTTTTGTAGAGATGTGGTTTCATCACAGCACCTAGGCTGGTCTCAAACTCCTGAGCTCAAGCCATCCACCCACTTTGGCATCCCAAAATGCTGGGATTACATGTGTGAGCCACCATGCCCAGCCAACTAATTTCCAAAAGATAATTTATGCAATGATTTGATGTATTTTGTCTTCTTTTATTCTTCATGACAAATTTAGGGTTTTATTATTCCCATTTTCCAAATGAATAAACTGAGACTCTGAGAGATTAGGGAACTTGTCCAAAGTGACACATCCAGAAATTGGCAGAGCTGGGTCTTGAACCAAGTTCCTCTGACTCCAAGCTGGTGTTCCTTTCATCACACTTTATCGCTAATTGGGTCTTTTTATGTGTGGTAAAATGCATATAACAGGAAGTTTACTATTTTAATCATTTTAAGTGTATAGTTCAGTAGTGTTACATTGACAATGTTGTACAGCCATCTCTATTATTTCTAAAACCTTTTCACCATCCCAAAAGAAACTCTGTACTCATTAAGCAATAACTCCACATTTCCCCCATCACTGTCTTTGGCAACCCCTGTTTTATTTTCTGTCTCTACGAATTTGACCATTCTGTGTACCTCACAGGAAAGGAATCATACAATATTTGTCCTTTTGTGCCTGGCTTATTTCACTTAATGTAACTTCAAGGTTTATCTATGTTATATCATGTGTTAGAACTTCATCTCTTTTTTTCTTTTTTTCTTTTTTTGAGATAGGGTCTTGCTCTGTTGCCCAGGCAGGAGTGCAGTGGCACAATCTTGGCTCACTGCAACCTCCGCCTCCCAGGTTCAAGCGATTCTCATGCCTCAGCCTCCCAAGTAGCTGAGATTACAGGTGTGCACCACCATGCCTGGCTAATTTTTATATTTTTAGTAGAGATGGAGTTTCGCCGTGTTGGCCAGGATGGTCTTGAACTCCTGACTTCAGGTGATCCACCCACCTCAGCCTCCCAACGTGCTGGGATTACAGGTGTGAGCTACCATGCCTGGCCAGAACTTCATCTCTTTTTATGACCTGGTACAATCTTGTGGTTGCAGAGGACAGAGATTCACTCAGGCCACCAGAAGGAATGAAGGGTTATTGTAAGCAGCCTTAACAGAATTCAGGAAGACAGAAATCTCAGCCACATGCTGAAGTTTAGGAATAGCCATGTGGCTGGGTTTATTAGGACTTAAATATAGTTTGGAATCTGATCAGCACAGCTCTGGGGACCAAGATAGCTCATTGATTTCTTAGTGGCAGGAAGTTGTTGTTTTCTGATACTTACCCATTATGTCAACATAGTGATGCTCTACTTAGCAATATTCTCCTTGTGGTCTGGCACCACCAATGAACTACTTCATATCCTGTGAAAAGCAACCCTCAGGCTTTTGCTAACCCCACATTTCTACCATTTTAATGATATGCTATATTTTTTCCCTTTGTGGCTTTCATCTCCTGCTCCCACTGCCAGTTGACAAACTTTCCATAAATCTCTGGCTCTAAGCCACCTGCCTACCTAGAAATTATCTGCCCTTGAGATGAGCATCTTCTCCTGCTCTGATCTGTTGTACCCAGGGTGACAAGTCACATGCTGTTGAACATGACTCCTAATGGTAAAGACCTGCCTCTCTCAGGAGGAAGTTGAGTGCATGGCATGCGGATGCACAGAGAGGCATTGCCTTCATCCCTCTGCATGAGCTCTCTGGTGCTCTCCCATCAGGCTGTTTATCGTACTTTAACCCTATGAATTTACTTCTGTGACTTTACAAATCTCAGAGCAGAGATTTGTAGAGAGGTGTATTTGGCTGAGTTGATGTGTACTATGCAGGTATTTTTGCTCATATTTTTAGATTATACAAATCATTGCTATATGGTGATACGGAGTTTGGAATTGCTTGAAATATGCTTAGCTTATGTCAAGGTGCCTACTTGTGGTTTCTGAATGGGGCTCTTTTCCTTTCTTTTCTTTTCTTTTTTTTTTTTTTTTTTGAGACAGTCTTGCTCTGTCACCCAGGTTGGAATGCATGATCTTGGTTCACTGCAACCTCTGCCTCCCCAGTTCAAGTGATTTTCCTGCCTAACTCAGCCTCCCAAGTAGCTGGGATTACAGGCCAATGCCACCATTCCTGGCTAATTTTTGTATTTTTGATAGAGACGGGGTTTCACCACGTTGGCCAGGCTGGTCTCGAACTCCTGACCTCAGGTGATTCACCCACCTCGGCCTCCCAAAGTGCTGAGATTATAGGCATCATCCACCGTGCCCGGCCAGTGAATGGGGTTGTTTCTTTAACACTGAAAATCTGTTTTCAATTCCCATGCCAAGTCTGCAGTAACAGGAAGATCTTCAGAACACAAGACACACCGAGGTGCTAGCAAATCCATGAGGTGGATCCCACCTTTCAGTAAGCAGTGGGTAAAAGGACTGGATTGTGGGAATCAGGCCATTCCTAGTTCCGTGACTGTGACAAAGAATGTGGTGCTCATCACACATCACACAAACATCTCATGTCCTCTGCCTCCACTACGTTTCCCAGCTTCCCTTGTAGTTAGGTTGGAGCATGTGACTAATTTTGGCCAACAGGCTGTGAGAGGAGGTGACACATGTTCTCCACACTTTCTCTTCTTGGAAGGCATGAGTTTAGTTGACAGAACCCTCAAGGTAGAAGCAGACTGGATCCCTGAGTCATCGTCTGAAACAGTGCTGCCCTGGAGAGCCTCCTGATCTTTTGTGAGTAGGAAATAAACCTCTGTAGGTTAGGCCCTGGAGACCTTGTTGTTTGACTGTTACTGCAGTATAGCCTGGGTCACCCTGATTAGTACAGTCACCAACCAGCAGTGTGACCTTGGGTAAGTAACAGTGTCTTCAGTCCTCATCTTCCTCTTCTGAAACATAAGAGAATTGCCCCAAATAATCTCAAAGGTTACCTTCATGATTCCTAATTTACCATGTCCTGTTGACTTTTCCTGGGTGGAGTTTCCATTTACTTCTTTCCATTCTTACTGCCACTGAGGTATATACTTTCTCACTTGAGCCTCCTGATCGGCCACATGCATCTGTCTTTCCACTTCCTTATATAGATCATGTTCCCTTCTTACTCAACAGCCTTCACTGGCTACTCACTGCCTGCTGAAAAAAGCCCATTTGGGCTGGGCATGGTGGCTTACACCTGTAATCCCAGCACTTAAGGAGGCTGAGGTGGGTGGATTGCTTGAGCCTAGGAGTGCGAGACCAATATGGGCAATATGGTGGAACCCTGTATCTACAAAAAAAAGAAAAGAAAAGAAACTTAGCCAGGCATGGTGGTGCACACCTGTAGTCCCAGCTACTTGGGAGGCTGGGGCAGGAAGATTGCTTAAGCTTAGGAGGCCAAGGCTGCAGTGAGCCACGATCATGCCACTGTACTATAGCCTGGGTGACAGAGCAAGACTCTGTCTCAAAAATAAATAAATAAATAAACAAAAACTGTGTGATATCAGGCCTTTGAGGTCCTTGATAATCTGTGTTTGGTTATTTCTGCAGAATTCTCTCTCATCCACTGTACTGTAGGCTTCTCAAGGCCCAGTATCACATTTGATTCAGTTCATAGCCTCCCACACAGTTACTGCCTATTGAAGTGAAAAGTCAAATATCTCCAAACTAGGAAGGAAGCCCTAGTAGGAAGATAGAAACTACTAAATGAATTGCAATGATGAAGTTTGCTAGTAGAACACTGTATTGGTCCATTTTCACACTGCAGATAAAGACATACCTGAGACTGGGCAATTTACAAAAGAAAGAAGTTTATTAGGCTTACAGTGCCACATGCCACCACAGTCATGGTGGAAGGCAAAAGGCATGTCTCACATGACAGCAAACAAGAGAAGAGAGCTTGTGCAGGGAAACTCCCATTTTTAAAACCATCAGATCTTGTGAGACTTACTCACTATCATAAGAACAGCATGGGAAAGACCCACCCCCATGATTCAATTACCTCACTCCAGGTTCCTCCCATAACACGTGGGAATTCAAGATGAGATTTGGGTGGGGACACAGCCAAACCATATCATTCCCCCCTGGCCCCTCCCAAATCTCATGTCCTCACATTTCAAAACCAATCATGCCTTCCCAACAGTCCCCCAAAGTCTTAACTCATTTCAGCATTTACTCCAAAGTCCACAGTCCAAAGTCTCATCTGAGACAAGGCAAGTCCTGTCTGCCTATGAACCTGTAAAATCAAAAACAAGTTAGTTACTTCCTACATATAATGGGGGTACAGGCACTGGGTAAATACAGTTGTTGCAAATTGGAGAAATTGGCCAAAACAAAGGGGCTACAGGCCCTAGGCAAGTTTGAAATCCAGTGGGGCAGTCATATCTTTTGTGTGTGTGTGTGTGTGTGATGGAGTCTCGGTCTGTCGCCCAGGCTGGAGTGCAGTGGCAGGATCTCGGCTCGCTGCAAGCTCCGCCTCCTGGGTTCACACTATTCTCCTGCCTCAGCCTCCAGAGTAGCTGGGACTACAGGCACCCACCACCACGCCCGGCTAATTTTTTGTATTTTTAGTAGAGATGGGGTTTCACTGTGTTAGCCAGGGTGGTCTTGATCTCCTGACCTCATGATCCACCTGCCTCAGCCTCCCAAAGTGCTGGGATTACAGGTGTGATCTACCACGCCCGGCCCCCAGTCATATCTTAAAGCTCCAAAATGATCTCCTTTGACTCTGTGACTCACTTCCAGGACATGCTGATGCGAGAGGTAGGCTCCCATGGCTTTGGGAAGCTCTGCCTCTGTGGTTTTGCAGGGTATATCCGCCCTCTTGGCTGCTTTCACAGGCTGATGTTGAATGTCCGATTTTTCCAGGTGCAAAGTGCAAGCTGTCGGTTGATCTATTCTGGAGTCTGGAGGATGGTGGCCCTCTTCTCACAGCTCCACTAGGTGGTGCTCCAGCAGGGACTCTACATGGGGGCTTGGACCCCACATTTCCCTTCTGCACTGTCCTAGAAGAGGTTCTCCATGAGGGCCCCGCCCCTGCAGCAAACTTCTGCCTGGGCATTCAGACATTTCCATACATTTTCTGAAATCTAGGCAGAGGTTCCCAAACCTCAATTCTTGACTTCTGTTCACCTGCAGGCTCAACACCACGTAGAAGCTGCCAGGGCTTGGGGCTTCCACCCTCTAAAGCAACAACCTGAGCTGCAACTTGGCCCCTTTTAGTCACAGCTGCAGCAGCTGGGTTGCAGGGCACAAAGTCCCTAGACTGCACACATCAGAGGGACCCTGGGCCTGGCCCACTAAACTATTTTTTTTCTCCTAAACCTCCAGGCCTGTGATTGGGGGTGGGGGGTCTGCTGTGAGGACCTCTGACCTGCCCTGGAGACATTTTTCCCACTGTCAGAGATTAATATTAGGCTCCTTATTACTTAAGCAAATTTCTGCAGCTGGCTTGAATTGCTCCTCAGAAAATGGGTTTTTCTTCTTTATTGCTTGTCAGACTACAAATTTTGCAAACTTTTATGCTCTGTTTCCCTTTTAAAACTGAATGCTTTTAACAACACCCAAGTCACCTCTTGAATGCTTTGCTGCTTAGAAATTTCTTCTGCCAGAAACCCTAAATCACCTTTCTCAAGTTCAAAGTTCCACAAATCTCCAGGGCAGGGGCAAAATGCCACCAGTCTCTTTGCTAAAACATAACAAGAGTCACCTTTGCTCTAGTTCCCAATAACTTCCTCATCTCCATCTGAGACCATCTCAGCCTGGATTTCATTGTCCATATCATTATCAGCATATTGGTCAAAGCCATTCAACAAGTCTCTAGGGAGTTCCAAACTTTCCCACATTTTCCTGTCTTCTTCTGAGCCCTCCAAATTATTCCAACCTCTGCCTGTTACCCAGTTCCAAAGTTGCTTCCACATTTTCGGGTATCTTTTCAGTAGCACCCCACTCTCGGTACCAATTTACTGTATTAGTCCATTTTCACACTGCTGATAAAGACATACCCGAGACTGGACAATTTACTAAAGAAAGAGGTTTATTGGACTTACAGTTTCACATGGGTGGGGAGGCCTCACAATCATGGCGGAAGGTAAAAGGCATGTCTCACATGGCAGCAGACAAGAGTGGAGAGCTTGTTCAGGGAAACTCCCATTTTTTAAAACCATCAGATCTTGTGAGACTTACTCATTATCATCAGAACAGCACAAGAAAGACCCACCCCCATGATTCAATCACCTCCCACCATGTTCCTCCCATAACATGTGGGAATTCAAGATGAGATTTGGGTGGGGGCAGAGCCAAGCCATATCAAATATCTACTGGCAACATGTAGAATGTGTATTAAAATGCAGAATATGGGCCAGGCATGGTGGCTCATGCCTGTAATCCCAGCACTTTGGGAGGCCGAGGCAGGCAGATCACCTGAGGTCGGGAGTTTGAGACCAGCCTGGCCAACATGGTGAAACCCTGTCTCTACTAAAAAAAAAAAACAGAATTAGCCAGGCGTGGTGGCACATGCCTGTAATCCCGGCTACTTGGGAGGCTGAGGCAGGAGAATCACTTGAACCCAGGAGGCAGAGGTTGCAGTGAGCCGAGATCACGCCATTGCACTCCAGCCTGGGCAACAAGACCGAAACTCCGTCTCAAAAAAAAAAAAAAAATGCAGAATATGTGTGTGTTAAAATCTGCATCCAAGGTTGACATCTAAAGACTATTTGGAAAGCCTTGTGCAGTAAGGGAGGGGAGGGGGTTACAAAGATGTAATATGTAAAGCACAGCCCCTGCCCTTCATTGGGTGGTGGGAGGAAATGTGTGAAAGAAGCAGTCTGCTTAGAACAGCAAGGGAGTCCTTAACGTGGCTTTCTGGGGACAACAGAAAAAGGAATTTGGCTATGTGGGCTGGTCCTGGTGCAATCCTTCTTTATAAGAAGTGTTATGACTTAGACCCCACTGGTTTCACTTGTAGTGCTATAGGGGGCCCCTGGTGGGCCCAAAACACAGACAGAGGAGAAAAAAGGTAGGACCAGAAAAAAAGAAGGAAAGTGGGAAGGAAAGAAAGTGAAGAAGAAAGTGAGAGTAAAGGATGTGCATTACCAAAGAATCTAGCATTTACATCCTACTTCCTAATATAAACAACATTTTCACAAGAATCCTGTGAGGTGACCATTGATATTTTTATTCTGTGGATAAAAGTAAAAAAGGGAGAGAGGTCAAGGGACTTGCCCAAGGTCATAAATTTAGGTTTCTAACTCAAGACCTTGTACTGTGTTCTCCATTGCACCAGTTGTCTCTACACCAAGAGAAAGTGCCTCAACTCCTGAACTATGGGTTTCTTTTCCCAGTTTATAAGGCTATTTAAAATCTTCTTTAAAACTATATGCCAGGCGCGGTGGCTCACTCCTGTAATCCCAGCACTTTGGGAGGCCGAAGCCAGAGGATGACCTGAGGTCAGGAGTTTGAGACCAATCTGGCCAATATGGTGAAACCCCGTCTCTACTAAAAATACAAAAGTTAGCCAGGCGTGATGGTGGCCACCTGTAATCCCAGCTACTCAGGAGGCTGAGCCAGGAGAATTGCTTGAACCCGGGAGGCAGAGGTTGCAGTGAGCTGAGATGGCGTCACTGCACTCCAGCCTGGGTGACAGAGTGAGACTCTGTCCTTAAAAAACAAACAAAAAAAATAGCTGGGCATTGTGGCAGACACCTGTAATCCCAGCTACTCAGGAGGCTGAGGCAGGAGAATCGCTTCAACCCAGGAAGTGGAGGCTGAGGTGAGCAGAGGTCATGCCACTGCACTCTAGCCTGGGTGACAGAGTGAGACTTTGTCTCCAAAAAAAAAAAAAAAAAAAAAAAAAAAAATGGGAATGAAGGAAACAGAAAATTAGAACACCACAGTAATAATTGCTGCAGATAAAGTCCACTGATGAAGCTAATATTAGTGGGCAAAACTCTAAGGAGGACCAGGATATTTACATAGCATCTAAGTATAAACCTCCAAATATGCATTAATTATCTTGTTTTTAACATATGTCCCCAAATGTTTTGATACCCCTCCCTCCACAATGGAAAGCTTAATTCTCCTTCCCTTAAGTGTGGGCTGATTTAGTGGTGCACTTCTAACAAATCATGCAGGGGTCAGCGTAGACCCAAATAGGAAATATATTAGGCTGTTTAAGCCATATGATCTCTTTTGCAACAACTCACCCCTACTGATGTAGCATGAAAGCAGCCATAAAAAATATGTGAATGAATGAATGTGGCTGTATGCCAATAAAACTTTATTTATAAAAACAGGCAGTGGGCTGGATTTGGGCCTCCAGCCATGGTTTGCTGACCTCTAGAATAGCATATGAAAAAGAAAAAATAGTAACTCTGCAGTGAAGAAACTTGGCAGACACTACCTTAACTGAGTGATCAAAGTTAACATTACCAGTAATAAGGAATACTGAAGTGTTATCAGTGAAAAATGGCAGAGTAAGGAAATCCAAAAGTTTATCCCTCCATAAATGCAACCAAAAGGTTGGTTAAAACTGTTAGAATTGGCTGGGCACGGTGGCTCACGCCTGTAATCCCAGCACTTTGGGAGGCCGAGGCGGGCTGATCACGAGGTCAAGAGATCGAGACCATCCTGGCCAACATGGTGAAACCCTGTCTCTACTAAAAATACAAAAATTAGCCACGCATGGTGGCACATGCCTCTAGTCCCAGCTGCTCGGGAGACTGAGGCAGAAGAATCACTTGAACCTGAGAGGCAGAGGTTGCAGTGAGCCCAGATCGTGCCACTGCACTCCAGCCTGGCGACAGAGCGAGACTCCATCTAAACAAACAAACAAACAAACAAAAAACAAAAAAACTGTTAGAATCAACTTTTCAGAACTCTAGACACTAACCAAAAGGCCTGCAGCAGCCAGTGAAATGTTTTCATAAAAAAGACAGCTGATTCTTAGTAAGAATAGCAAGCTTTGTAGTATTTTAACTTACCCTGGTCCCATCCCCAGGTTAGCAGTGAATTTGGAGAAAATAGCTACAGTCCCAGTATAGGTACCAGTACTAGAGGGAAGAGAATGGACCTAATTCGCAAGAAATTGTTTTTGTTTTGTTTTGACCTGTATGGTGGCTCCCTGGAGGACTTTCTCAAGTGCTTACCTTTATCTTTGTTTTGACCTGTATGGTGGCTCCCTGGAGGACTTTCTCAAGTGCTTACCTTTATCTTGTCTAACTTGGAACTCTCTAGTGGTGAGTGTGGCTACCCAAGGAGCATTTGTTGAAGATATTTACAGGCAAATGTTTTGGTTATTGCTGCCTGGGGCATTGGATAACAGTTGGGGCAAACAATAGACTAATATAAAGCTTGGGAGAGAAGACTGAAGAATGAGATGCTTTGGAGAAGAAGGACTTTGAAAAACTGACATATCCCTGGGAAACCGGAAAGCCACTTGCATGCCGAGGCCTATGCACATGTTCAGGAAAGATCTGAGAATGCCCTAAGTGTTCTGGCTGATCTTCAGGCTCTTCACAAGCATGAAGCAAAGGCTAAGGCAAAGAGCTAGATTCCATCTAAAAAAAAAAAAAAAGATAGAGCAGACAGAAGAAAATATCAATGAATTTAAAAATAAATCAATTGAGATTATCAAGTCTGAGGAACAGAAAAAGAAAAGAATGAAGATATATGAAGAGAGCCTAAGTGAACTTCTGGAGTTCCAGAAGGAGAGGAGAGGAAAAAAAGGAGCAGAAAGAATATTTAAAGAAATAATGGCTGAAAACTTGAAAACTTTCTAAATTTAATTTAAAACATTGATCTATACATCTGGAAAGCTCAATAAAATCCAAGTAAAATAAACTCAAAGAGATTCACACCAAGACACATCGTAGTCAAATTGTTATAAGCCAAAGGCAGGAGAGCGAATCTTGAAATCAGTAAGACAATGGTGACTCATCACAAGCTGGGTGTGGTGTGCATGCCTGTAGTCCCAGCTACTCAGAAGGCTGAGGTGGGAGGATAGTTTGGGCCCAGGAGTTCGACTTTAGCTTGGGTAATATAGTGAGACTCCATCTCAAATTTAAAAAAAGAAAGCAGCTGGGCATGGTGGCCTGTAATCCAGCAGCAGTTTGGGAGACTGAGGCAAGAGGATCACCTGAGGGGCCAGGAGGTCAAGATCAACCTGAGATACATAGTGAGATCCTGTCTCTCCAAAAAAAAAAAAAAAAAAAGCCAGACTCAGTGGCATGTGCCTGTAGTCCTAGCTACTTGGGAGGCTGAGGCAGAAGAATTGATTGAGCCCAGGAGTTTGAGGCTGCAGCAAGGCATGATCATGCCACTGTACTGAAGCCTGGGTAGCAGAGTGGGACCTTGCTTCTTTAAAAAAAAAAAAAAAAAAAAAAAAGTAGGCTGGGCGTGGTGATTCATGCCTGTAATTCCAGCACTTTGGGAGGCTGAGGCAGGTAGATTGCTTGAGCCCAGGAGTTCAAGACCAGCCCAGGAGTTCAAGACCAGTTCAAGACATGGTGAGGCCCTGTCTCTACAAAAAATACAAAAATTAGCTGGGCATGGTGGTGCATGTCTGTATTCCCAGCTACCCGAGAGGCTGAGGTGGGAGGATTGATTGAGCCTGAGAGGCCAGGCTATAGTGAGCCATGATCACTGCACTCCAGCCTGGGTGACAGAGTGAGACCCTGTCTCACAAAAAAGAAAGAAAGAGAAAGAGAGAAAGAGAAGAAAGAAAGAGAAAGAAAGAAAGAGAAAGGAAGGAAAGGAAGAAAGAAGGAAAAAGGAAGGAAGGAAAGAAGAAAGAAAGAAAAAGGAAGGAAGGAAGAAAAGAAAAGAAAAAAAGGAGGGAGGGAGGAAGGAAGGACTCATCGTGTACAATGGATGCTCGATAAGATTAACATCCTATTTCTCATCAGAAACCATAAAGGCCAAAAGGCAGTAAGATGACATATATTAAGAGTGCTGAAAGAAAAAAACACCCCCTGTCACCCCAGAATTCTCTATCTAACGAAACTATTCTTCAAAAATGAAGGAGGGAAAGAAGACATTAAAACATTCTAAGATAAAGACTGGAAGATTTCATCACTAGTAAACCTGACGTATAAGAAATCCTAGGCCAGGCACGGTGGCTCACCCCTGTAATCTCAGCACTTTGGGAGGCCGAGGCAGGTGGATCATCTGAGGTCAGGAATTTGAGATCAGCCTGGCCAACATGGTGAAACCTCGTCTCTACTAAAAATAAAAAAAACTTAGCCAGGCGTAGTGGCACGCACCTGTAATCCCAGCTACTTGGGAGGCCGAGGCATAAGAATTGCTTGAACCTAGGAGGCAGAGGTTATAGTGAGCCGAGATTGCGCCACTACACTCCAGACTGGGCAACAGAGCAAGACTCTGTCTCAAAAACAAAAAAACAAAAAAGGAAATCCTAGAGGAGGTCTTTCAGACTGAAATGACAGTAGACAGTAATTTGAATCTACATGAAGAAATAAAATAAACCATTAAAGGTAACTCCATAGGTAAATATAAAAGGTAGCATAAATGTATTCTTGTTTAATTTTGTTTAATTTTTTCCTATCCTATTTAAAAGATAAGTACATAATGCAGTAATTATAAACCTGCATTGATAATGCACACAATGTATTAAGATGTATTTTGTGTGACAATAATAGCACAAAGAAGGAGAAAGGGAACCAAAGCTATATAGGAGCACATTTTTTGTGTAATAATGAAATTAAGTTGGCATTTATCTAAACTAAGTTGTTATTAAATAAGATGTTAATTGTAATTCCCAGGACAATGACTAAGAAATTAACTCAAAATATAGTAAAAAGGCTGGGCACAGTGGCTCATGTCTATAATCCCAGCACTTCGGGAGGCCAAGGTGGGCAGATCACTTGAGGTCAGGAGTTCAAGACCAGCTTGGCCAACATGGCGAAACCCCATCTTTACCAAAAATATAAAAATTAGCTGGATGTCATGGTGCATGCCTGTAGTCCCAGCTACTTGGGAGGCTGGGGCAGGAGAATTGCTTGAACCCAGGAGCAGAGGTTGCAGTGAGCTGAGATTGTGCCACTATACTCCAGCCTGGGTGACAGAACAAGAATCTGTCTCAAAAAAAAAAAAAAAAAAAAAAAAAAATTAGTATTCTTCCTAATATGCTTAACTTCAATTTAATCATGAGAAAATGTCAGACAAACTCAAATTGAAGACTATCCAACAAAATACTTAACCAATACTCTTTTTTTTTTTTCTTTTTTCTGAGATGGAGTTTCTCTCTTGTTGCCCAGGCTGGAGTGTAGAGGCATGATCTCAGCTCACTGCAACCTCCACCTCCCAGGTTCAAGGCATTCTCCTGCCTCAGCCTCCCGAGTAGCTGGGATTACAGGTGCCCACCACTATGCCTGGCTAATTTTTGTATTTTTAGTAGAGATGGGGTTTCACCATGTTGGCCAGGCTGTTCTTGAACTCCTGACCTCAGGTGATTCGCTCACCTCTGCCTCCCAAAGCGTTGGGATTACAGGCGTGAGCCACTGCGCCCGGCCAACTTAACCAATACTCTTAAAATAAATAAATAAATAAATAATTAAAAAAAAATCAGGCAATGGGCTGGGTGCGGTGGCTCACGTCTGTAATCCCAGCACTTTGGGAGGCCAAGGTGGGCAGATCACCTGAGGTCAAGAGTTTGAGACCAGCCTGGCCAACATGGTGAAACCCCATCTCTACTAAAAATACAAAAATTAGGTGGGCGCCTGTAATCCCAGCCATTTGGGAAGCTGAGACAGGAGAATTGCTTAAACCTGGGAGGCGAAGGTTGAAGTTAGCCAAGATCGCACCATTGCATTCCAGCCTGGACGACAACAGCGAGATTCCATCTCCAAAAAAAGAAAAATAGTTGTAGAAAAAACCTATAAATTGAAAACTGTAAAATTTCACTGAAAGAAATTAAAGTCCAGGCACAATGGCTCACGCCTGTAATCCCAACATATTGGGAGGCCAAGGTGGGCAGATCACTTGAGCCCAGGAGTTCAAGACCAGCCTGGGCCACACAGTGAGACCTTGTTCCTACAGAAAATTAGCCAGGCTTGATGGCACATGGCTGTAGTCCTAGTTACTTGGAAGGCTGAAGTGGGAAGATCACTTGAGCCCAAGAGTTTGAGGCTGCAGTGAGCTGTGATTGTGCCATTGCACTCCAGCCTGGGTGACAGAGGGTGGAGTACAATGGCACAATCACAGCTCATTACAAACACAAAACAAACCAATCTGAAAGCCAAGATTAAATGTCTCAGGGGCCTGATTGGGTGGATCTTTAAAGGTGTCTGTCACTTCTGTAAGTGGAGGCAAGACCACTTGCCACAGATTTTGTGTCCAGTGTTAAGACACCTGAGTCCCTGCCATCCATCCTTAGTTATATCAGCAGAAGGCAAGGAGGCACCCACTGCCATAGGGCAGATTATGAAATGGAATGCTTTTTGCAGCCTGATGATGGTAAATAAAAGGGCAAGGGGTAAGGAAATTTGGGCAAAATAAAAGCCATGGCGTCTCCTGTGGAGATGAGGATTGAGACTATATCACTTCTCTTTTGAGAGTTCCTGCTCTTAGAACTTATCAGATGGATTGAGATGGTGTTGAATAAGATTCACTGGCAGGACAGTGGGCTAAGAGAATCCACTGGGAAGAGTTAGCCCTGGTGACAAGTGTGAGCACATAGTGGTTGTGGTGGGGGTAGAGGTGAAGGTGGTGATGGCGGTGGAGGTGGTGGTGGTGAATGGCGGTAGAGGTGGTGGTGATGGTGGTGGTGGTGGTGGTCATGATGGAAGAAGTTGAGGTGGTGATGGTGGAGATGGTGATGGTGGTGGAGGTGGTGATGGCGGTGGAGGTGGTGATGGCAGTGGAGGTGGTGGAGGTGGTGGTGGTGATGGTGGTGGTGGTGATGGTGGTGGTGATGGTGGTGGTGGAGGTGGTGGTGGTGGTAGTGGAGGTGGTGATGGTGGTGGAGGTGGTGATGGTGGTGGTGGTGATCGTGGTGGAGGTGGTGATGGTGGTGGTGGTGGTGATGGTGGTGGTGGTGGTGGTGATGGTGGTGGTGGTGATGGTGGTGGAGGTGGTGATGGTGGTGGTGGTGATGGTGGTGGTGGTGGTGATGGTGGTGGTGGTGATGGTGGTGGAGGTGGTGATGGTGGTGGTGATGGTGGTGGTAGTGGTGGTGGTAGTGGAGTGGCAGGGAGTTCTGGCACAACATATGCTGAGGCTGGAAACCTTCTGACCCAGTCATTGCCACCTAACCCCAGGAAAAATGGCCAAGCATGTGAGGGTGACCTTAGGAGCCTAGCATTGAACATCACAGACATCCAGAGCAGCAGGGTCCCTGCAGCAGGGGAAGGGGCATGTCAGGCTGTGCAGACAGGGTGTTCATCAGCCACACATGTGGCAATGACGGCAGCAGTGGTTCCCCAAAACAGATTCTCTGATGAGTGGAAATGTGTCTTCAGTTCTCTGTCCTTCAAGCACTTGGAAACAAAGCTGGCCCCTTGGATGGAGTAAACACCAGGGATGTTGGACAGCTCAAGAGGAGGAGAAGGGATATTGGACTTTCTGCTAACCTGGCACATGGGTGGTCAAGGTGGTTTTGTTTTGAAAAGTAGAAGGGCCGTGTGTGGTAGTGCAAGCCATAGTCTCAGCTACTTGGGAAGCTGAGGTGAGAGGATCACTTGAGCACAGGAAGTCAAGGCTGCAGTGAGCTCTGATCATGCCTCTGCACTCTAGCCTGGGTGACAGAGCGAGATCCCATCTCAAAAAAGAGAAAGAGAGAGAGACAAAAGAAAAGAACAATGGAAGAGATGTGACCTGATTTGTGCCCCAGGGTTGGTGATGCAGGTTGTTTCAGGTCGCGCTGGTTCCATGAATTAAAGACTGAGCTTCTGAGAAGTCACAGCATCCTATGTTCTGTCATGATTTCTTTTGCGTTTTTTTGTTTTGTTTTGTTTTTGTTTTTTTACATCAGAACCAGCGTGGAGGAAAACAGGAATCCTAACGTGAATAGAAGGGGCCTGATCCTTCAGAGAGCACCAGCTCTGTAACCAGCCCCCCACACGCCCCCACTGCCATGTATGCTAGCTTTCTGTTGAACAGCACCATGCCCCCTTCCCACCCACTGTGGATACACGATTTTCTTATCACTTGATTCTATTTGCTTTCCTCATTACTTCTTCTCAGAGCCCAGAAGTGGACTCACAAATGCTTAATGTTCTGTAATGAATGTTTAGTAATCCATAGTTTCTATTACTCAAATAAATTTATTTTTAGCCTGGGCAACATGGTGAAACCCCATCTCTACAAAATAAAACAAATACAAAAATTACCTGGGTATGGTAGCGTGCACCTGTAGTCCCAGCTACTTTGGAGGCTGAGGTGGGAGAATCACTTGAGCCCGGGAGGTAGAGGCTATAGTGAGCTGTGATTGCGCCACTGCACTCCAGCCTGGGCAAGAGTGAGACCCTGTCTCCAAAAATAAATTTGTTTTTAAGAAATTAATTAGAATGGCTTATTCCTGCTCTAAAAGCTTGTGATTAATGACTTGGTGCTCTTAAAGCGTTTCCTGGACATGGAGGCAGTGTCAGGGCCTAATTCAAAGGCTTTTCTTTCCTTATTTCTTCAATAAGAACAATGCCCTCCCGCCACCCCAACCCATGCCAAATGGGTTCAAAATGTTGGGAGATTATAGCTACCCTTTCAGAGATTCACTCAGAATTAGAGCTCTTGTTATAATTAAAGAACTAAGTCTAAGACTAAGTTTTCATTCAGCCTTGTCAAAAGAACAAAGGTAAATTTTTTTCTCCTGGTTGTTTTGCTGTAATTTTCTATTCTTTTTAAATAAATTTTAACTTTGATTTTATTATTTTTCATGTTGTTATACAGTCTTAAGGTATTAAAAATATTGTTTATAATTTTCACTTTTAATAGCTGCATTATATTCCATCAAGTTGACATAATTTAGTCATTCTTCAATAGCTAGACATTTAGGGGTTTTCCCCCCTAATTTTTATCATTGTAAAAAACATTGCAGTGGGCCAGGTGTGGTGGCTCACGCCTGTAATCCTAGCACTTTGGGAGCACTTTGATTACTCAAGTAATCAAGATTACTTGAGGCCAGGAGTTCGAGACCAGCCTGGCCAACATGGTGAAACCCCAACTCTATTAAAATTAGCCGGGTGTGATGGCAGGCGACTGTAGTCCCAGCTACTTGGGAGGCTGAGGCAGGAGAATCGCTTGAACTTCAGAGGCGGGGTTGCAGTGAGCCAAGAGTGTGCCACTGCACTCCCGCCTGGGTGACAGAGCGATGGGAGGGGGAGGGAAGTAACACCAGTTGAGTACTTACTCTATGCCAGGAACCATGCCAGGAGCATTTACAGAATTAATCCCATTAAAACCTCATAACAACCCAGAGATTATTATGCATATTTAACACAAATGGAATGTAAGGCTTCAACATTCAACAGGCCAAGTAACTGCTCAAAGTTCTAAAAACAAATGAGCTGGGTTTTAATACAGGTCAGTCTTAACATTAGAGCTCATGCCTACTCAACATATCATTCCTTTTTTTGTTTGTTTTAGTTTATTTTTTGAGACAAAGTCTCACTCTGTCACCCAGGCTGGAGTGCAGTGGTGTGATCTCAGCTCACTGCAGCCTCGACCTCCCATACTCAAGTGGTCCTCCCACCTCAGCCTCCCGAGTGGCTGGGACCACAGGCACATGCTACCACATCTGGAGAATTTTTGTATTTTTTGTAGAGATGGGGTTTTACATTGTTGCCCAGGCTGGATCATTCTTTCTTAAAACCATGTTCAGAATCAAGTTGAGTAGCCTCCTGTAGAACTATCTGGCATGGGGTAATGGGAAAATGGCAAATACCAGGCTTGTACATCACCACTCACCATTCCTCACTCATGGCAGCCACAACTAATCAAACCTGGCACTTTACCCTCTTAATTCAATAATTAAGAATTCAAAACCTAGGAATTCTTTCTCAAGTCACTGTTTCAGGCAGGTGCTACCAATGGATAGGAGTTGGCATGGGAGACGTAATCAGGCAGGTGGGTTCGAACCTATACTGCACCCTTACTAGCTATATGACCTTGAGCAGGTCAGGCAACCTTCCTGAGACTCAGTTTTTGTCAACTGTAAATTAAGATAGTATCTCATTTGCAGTAGAATTGCCTTAGAATTATCCTGAGGATTTGTTGACAACATATATGTAAAAGTAGCCAGCACTGTACCTGGAAGAGACAAGGCCATGAAAAGTGTATAGCCTTTGAGGAGCCCGTCAATCCCTTCAGCTCGTGCTCTGGAAACTGTTAGGGAACACTTTTTTTTTTTTTTAAATGGGGACAAAAATATCTGCTTTATTATTACCACTTACTTATAGAGGTGATTTACAGATTTAATGAGAATATATCAAAGTACTTTATAACTCACAAAAATATAAACTTATATAATGCTATCTACTTTGTATTGAGCATATTCTAAATTCTGGGACTAGTACTAGAAACTTTACATATATAGTGTTACCTCTTAATTCTCAACACAACCCCACAGTTGTTATAATTACATTTAATGTATAAATGACTTCAGAGAAACACAAAAAAGACTGGGTGATTTGTTAAAGGTCCAGCTAGAAAAGGGCAGTCAGAATTCAACCCAATATTACTTCCATACAGAGGTTTTTACTTTTTCCTTTCTACTCAGAGCTAACACAACAGCATTATTTAACGTCCTTAAGAATGGTGGGGAGGAATCACTGAATAACCTGCTTTGACAAAAACACCCTGATAAAATCTATGCTTGTATTTTAGAACCCCTGGGTTTCACGCATTGTTTTTATAGTTTTTACACATTAAGTGTAAGGTGAAAAGTGATAGATTTTAAGAACCAAGAATATGGTATGCCATCCCACCCAAACTTATAAACAAATCACAAATAACATGAAATAGAAAAAAGCCATAAAGACTTCCTTTGCTTTTGGAAAACAGCTGAGAAACAACAAAATTCTTTTCAGAAGTACAGACAAAATTTGTTTTTGTAGTGTAGCTAATATGCCCTCCTTAGGCATTAAGACACTTTTCTGTTTGTAACCTTAATGCAGCCGTATTTTTACTCTTTATAAAAATCAAGTCTCTCAATAAAAACAGTATCTTACTCACTAATCATTAAATTGCATCACTAAAAATGTAGTTATACACACCAATTTCTGACCTCTTAGAATATTCTGCACAATCAGTTTTAATCACTGGAATGAATAACTGCTCAAAAAAGCAGTACAGCTTCAATTTCATGATGATTTGGTAGTCAATATTCCTGTTTTCCAGTAAAAGGGAGATTTCATGAACAGAAACATTGGGCTCCTTATGGTTTCATCGATCAAGAGAACGTTTCTGAGCAGCTTCTGAGCAAATATTTCTTAATAGGTTGATCACAGATCTGGGGTCTTCACTCCTCATAATAGCACTGCCAGATACAGTCATGTTAGCTCCTGCCTCTGCACACTTATGGACAGTGTCAGAACCTACTCCACCATCGCCCTCTATATCCAAAGATGGGAACTGGGTCCTCAACCAGTGAACCTTTGGCATCATATCTTCCATGAATTTCTGCTCTCCAAACCCCGGTTCCACTGTCATAACCAAGGCCATATCTATTTGATTAGCCCATGGTGCCAAATACTCAACTGAGGTTCCTGGTTTGATGGCAAGGCCAACCTTCATCCCATTCTCCCGAATGTCTTTAATCAAAGTCCCTGGGTTCTCAGTAGCCTCGAGATGAAAGGTGTACTGATTGGCTTCTGCTACAGCCATTGGCTTTACCCACTGTTCTGGCTTGGACACCATCATGTGCATGTCAAAGAAAGGGTCCTGGCCTAGCTGCTTTCGAAGGCTTTCTACCACAGGGTGACCAAAGGTGATGTTGGGAACAAAATGCCCATCCATTACATCCAGATGCAGATAATCGGCCCCAGAGTCTAGCATCTGGAGGCACTTGGCCCCTAAATTGGCCAGGTCGCTGTTGAGGATGGACGGGCCAATCTTGCAGCCCGACGCCATACCGCTGGCTCCCAAGAACAAGTTACCCCACGAGTCCCCGGCAAGACTAGAGCCCACTTTTTTTTTTTTTAAAACCAGGAAATTCTACCAAAGAACCACAGTTTGGCCAGGCACAGTGGCTCATGCCTGTAATCCCAGCACTTCAGGAAACCAATGCAGAAGGATCACTTGAGCCCAGGTGTTTGAGACCAGCCTAGGCAACATAATAGGAACCCGTTTTTACAAAGTAAAAAATTTGCCTGTGTGATGGCACATGCCTGTGGTCCCAGGTACTCGGGAGGCTGAGGCAGGAGAATTGCTTGAGCCGGGGAGGCTGAGACTTCAGTGAGCCATGATTGCGCCACTGCACTCCAGCCTGGGCGACAGAGTGAGGCCCTGTCTCAAACAAGAGACAGAAAACAAACAAAAAAGAAACCCCGAAACATAGTTTGGAGAGAACTATATAATAGCAGTCAAGTACAGGCTGTGAATTCTGTAGGTTTAAAAAAATGGTGAGGGATGGCCAGGTGTGGTGGCTCACGCCTGTAATCCCAGCACTTTGGGAGGCCAAGGCAGGTGGATCAGCTGAGGTCAGGAGTTCGAGATCAGCCTGGCCAACATGGTGAAACCCTGTCTCTACTAAGAATACAAAAATTAGCTGGGCGTGGTGGCACGTGCCTGTAACCTTTGCTACTCGGGAGGGTGAGACAAGAGAATCACTTGAAGCCGCGAGGTGGAGGCTGCAGTGAGCGGAGATAATGCCATTGCACTCAGCCTGGGTGACAGAGCAAGACTCCGTCTCAAACAAACAAACAAAAATGGTGCGGGATACCCTGGGAGGCATGGTTCAGGGATCCCTTCTGGAAGAGTTGGATATGAGAAGGTCTGAAGATTTAGGGTTTGGAAGAGGCACCAGTTGGAAGGTGGAACAGCATAAGCAAAAGCAGTAAGAGAAAGTTGAGAGCACAGAGAGGAGACTGACTCTTCCATCGTCAAGGGACTGGCCTGGGGAGTGTCTTCAGCGGGGAAGGAAAAATACCCTCCCTGGCCGGGTACTTTGGGTTTTCCTCACATTCTCGGCCAGCTCCTGATCTTACCCAACCAACCCCAGGAGCACCCCAAGCAGCAAAGACTCTGCACGTTTCATGACTACCACCAGGAGGCAGTATGGCCCAACAACTTGGAGCATCAGGGTTCATTCAGTTCCTAGTTTGTTCCAAGAGCTGATCTAGGAGCATGAAAGTGTCCACCAATCTAATATTTGTGGAGCACTTTGCATGGAGTTTTCAAAGTACTTTAACCCCGGTGATCTGATAGAATACTAACTACAACCCTGTGTGGTCTCTATGTGTTGGTATTATCTACCTAGAGGAACCGATGTTGAGGATTTAAGTGAATTATTCAAGTTCATTTAGACTGTGCGGGAATCTGAATTTGAACCAAGGGCCAAAATCTCTACCTCGTGCCCTCTACTACAACTTACTGCCTTTTGTTAAGGAGACAGGAGCATACAAATATTTAGCATAATAATAAAAGCTTATATTAATAACTATTAAGAACCAATGGCAGTTTCAGTTTGATAAGATGAAAAAATTCTGGAGATGGATGGTGGTGATGGTTGCACAACAATATGAATACATTTAATATCGCTGAACTGTATATTTAAAAGTGGTCAAAATGGCAATTTTTTTTTTTTGAGAGAAGTCTCACTCTTGTCCCCCAGTTTTGAGTGCAATGGCTTTATGTTGGTTTACTGCAACCTCTGCCTCCCGGATTCAAACGATTCTCCTGCCTCTGCCTCCCAAGTAGCTGGGATTAAGGCACCTGCCAGCATGCCTGGCTAAGTTTTGTATTTTTTAGTAGAGAGGGGGTTTCACCATGTTGGCCAGGCTGGTCTCCAACTTCTGAGCTCAGATGATCCACCCGCCTCGGCCTCCCAAAGTGCTGGGATTACAGGCGTGAGCCACTGCGCCCGGTCGGTTTTTAGGCAGGGTCTCACTCTGTCCCCCAGGCTGGAGTGCAGTGGTGGAATCTTGGCTTACTGCAGCCTCAAAATCCTGGGCTCAAGCGATCCTCCCACCTCAGCCCCCCAAAGTAGCTGGGATCACAGGCATGCCACCACACCCAGCTATTTTTCTGGAGAGATGGGATTTTGCTATGTTGCCCAGGCTGGTCTCAAACTCCTGAGCTCAAGCAATCTGCCTGCCTTAGCCTCCCAAAGTGCTGGGATTACAGGCATGAGCCACTGCACCCAGCCTAAGATGGCAATTTTTTTTTTTTTGGATACAGAGTTTCACTCTTATTGTCCGGGCTA
Source organism: Homo sapiens (assembly GCF_000001405.40). Lineage (NCBI taxonomy): Eukaryota > Metazoa > Chordata > Mammalia > Primates > Hominidae > Homo > Homo sapiens. Next base: position 103,243,703 of record NC_000010.11, on the reverse strand, counting down.
GAGTGCAATGGCATGATCTCGGCTCACTGCAACCTCCACCTCCTGGGTTCAAGTAATTCTCCTGCCTCATCCTCCTGAGTAGCTGGGATTACAGGCATGCGCCACCATGCCTGGCTAATTTTGTATTTTTAGTAGAGACGGGATTTCTCCGTGTTGCTCAGGCTGGTCTCGAACTCCCAACCTCCGGTGATCTGCCTGCCTCATCCTCCCAAAGTGCTGGGATTACAGGCGAGAGCCACCGCGCCTGGCAAGATGGCAAATTTTATGTTATGTGTATGTTAACACAGTTTAAAAAATGACAACTACATAAATGGTTATATAGCATTTATTAATAACAATAGTTACTGTTATATATCACTAGCTGCCTTTAAAAGCACTTATGAACTTATTATTTCTTTAATTCTCACAATCATCAATTGAAGCAGTCACCATTATTATTCTCATTCAATAAATAATTTCAGGCCGGGCGTGGTGGCTCATGCCTGTAATCCTAGCACTTTGGGAGGTGGAGGCGGGTGGATCACGAGGTCAGGAGTTCAAGACCAGCCTGGCCAATATAGTGAAACCCCGTCTCTACTAAAAATACAAAAATTAGTTGGGTGTGGTGGCGTGTGCCTGTAGTCCCAGCTGCTTGGGAGGCTGAGGCAGGAGAATCACTTGAACCCGGGAGGTGGAGGTTGCAGTGAGCTGAGATCGTGCCACTGCACTCTACCCTGGGTGACAGAGCGAGACTCTGTCTCAAAATAAATAAATAAATAAATAAATAAATAAAAATAATTTCATCACTGGGTCTATCTTTACTCCCCTCCCTCTCCCCAGGCCCCACCCCAACCCCCTTCCCCAGCAACCCTGGTAGAGGCTGTGATCTGCACTTCACTGGTCCTTGGTTAACCAGTGTTGTAAGTGTGATAGAATGGAAAGACCATGGGCTTTGGAGTTTACTGACCTGGAGCTGATAGGGTCTCAGCTGTTTTACTGGCTGAATGTTCTTGGACAAGTTACTTAATTTATCTGAGCCTCAATTTTTTCATTTATGAAATAATAATAGTATTTACTTCACAGAGTTGTTGTGATGAGCAAATAAGATAATGTATAAATATGAGATGCTTAACAGTGCCTGACACATAGAATGGACTAAAAAATGTTGGCTGTTATTAATTGCTCCTAGTAGTAATTGCTCAGACAGCAATAAATAAATAGGCCAGGAGCAGAGGCTCACGCCTGTAATCTCACGCCTGTAATTCCAGCACTTTGGGAGGCCAAGGCAGGCGGATCACCTGAGGTCAGGAGTTTGAGACCAGCCTGACCAACATGGTGAAACCCCATCTCTACTAAAAATACAAAAATTAGCCAGGCACAGTGGCAGGAGCCTGTAATCCCAGCTACTTGGGAGGCTGAAGCAGGAGAATCACTTGAACCCGGGAGGCAGAAGTTGCAGTGAGCTGAGATTGCAACACTGCACTCCAACCTGGGTGACAGAGTAAGACTCATCTCAAAAAAAAAAAAAAAAAAAATTGAAAAGAAAACAATAAATAAATAGATGGGTATGTCCCGAGGGGATCCGAAATACCTCCTGGCCCTCGTGAGGGTGGGATGTTGGAGGAAAGCAGCACCCAGCAGAGAATGTTTAGCCCCAATCAGCTGAGCTCATGGAATGATAGGACGAGGTGCGGTTCTTGGAGTCCAACTTCATCATCTTACAGAGGAGGAAATCGAAACCCAAGAAAGGGAATAGTGTTATGCAGTCACCCCTTTGTGCCAGTCAACTGGGAAATTACCCTGAGAAACAGTCTGGTGTGGTGAGAGCCCCTCCCTGGAAGTCAGGCCCAGGCAGTCATGTGAGTTCTCCTTAGCCAGCTCTAGGGCCCCTCCCAGAAAAACAGCAGGTTACCACCAAGTCCTCTCCAGCCTCAGGGCTGCTCTGAGAGGTGCTCACCTCTGTCCCTTTTCTGCAGGATCAGCCAAGATGATCATGAAACCGGGAGATCAGCAGTTTATTGTAGCTTCTAGGGCAGGGGGTACGGGGAGAGAAGGAAAGGGAGGGGCCCTGGGCACCCTGCCACAGCCGTACCTTTGGTTAATATTTATTCTTTCTTCTTCCTTGGCCTGGAAGCCAAGGGAAGGTTAGTAACAGCCTGTAAAACAGGATCCCAGAGACTTGAGAAGCTGGTTCCTGTGAAAGATGACTCAGCACAGGCCTTTAGAATGCCAGGCAGTGTCCCCTGCCTGGATGCTGCACAGCCCCGCGAGTGCCATGTGGGCCACTTTGGCTGTTACAAAGTCCAGGCTATTTGTCTGCTCAGCAGGGTACTTGTCTCCTAGGAGCTGGGGCATGTCCTGCAGCCCCTAGCTCATGAGTGGGTATTAGCATCAGGGTCCTTGTTGTGGTTTGATCTCTGAATCCTTTCCGTTACAGAGATCCTTCATGCCTTCCCTACATACAGTGACCCTCTTTTTCTCCAGGCCGTCATTGATACTGCCTCTAGACTGGGCTTTCCAATGCATTTCATCAGGGCTTTCCCAAAGGATGCCTCACTGCCTATAAACTCAGCTCCCATTTCCTTAGCACAATGTGGTCCTGACCAAAATTTCTGCTTCGGGCCAGGCGCAGTGGCTCACGCCTGTAATCCCAGCACTTTGGGAGGCCAAGGAGGGTGTATCACCTGAGGCCAGGAGTTCAAGACCAGCCTGGCGAACATGGTGAAACCCCATCTCTACTAAAAATACAAAAATTAGCCAGGCGTGGTGGTGCACGCCCGTAGTCCCAACTACTTGGGAGGCTGAGGCAGGAGAATCGCTGGAATCCGGGAGGTGGAGGTTGCAGTGAGCTGAGATTACGCTACTGCACTCTAGCCTGGGCGACAGAGCAAGACTCTGTCTCAAAAAATAAAAATAAAAATAATTTTCTTCTTCATCCCAATCCCCTCTCCTTCCTCCTGCCATGTGCCCCGTACTCTAGCCCAGTGTTTCTCAGTGTAGTCTGTGGACCATCTTCTTCAGAATCATTCAGGACATGATTCCTGGGCACGAGACCTACTGAATGGAAAATGCAAATTCCTGTGCTCCAGAACTACTGAGCCAGCTGTTGCTGATACCTCGGAACCTGCATTTTAATGATACCGGGGCTGATTTTTGTGTAGAATACAGTTTAAGAACTACTGCTCTGCCAAACCAGATTGTTGAGTTTCCTGACTGTATCTGGGTAGTCACACCTTTCTCACTTCCTGCATTTTGCAGCCTGGTGCACTCTGCTTCTCCTTTAAGCTTCGTCTCACACATCAGCTCTTCTGTGCTGCTTTCCCCGAATCCAGGTTGCTTTCTCTGTGTCCACGTGATCCATTGCACTTTCTACCCACCTCTGCTATAGTATCTTCTTATGTCGTCAGAGCTAATTATTGGCTCCTTCACTTGTTTGTGAACTCCCTAAGGACCATGGATGTTTCATTTTGAATCCCCAGAGCCTAGCAAAATACCTGGCAGGGAGAGGGCATTTAATGCATGTTGCTGAATGAATGAATGAATGAATGAATGAATGAAGAATGAATGGAGACCAGGTCATAGTCTAAATCAGAAAAGTAGATTAAGGCCAGGCATGGTGGCTCACGCCTGTAATCCCAGCACTTTGGGAGACCAAGGCGGGAGAATGGTTTGAGCCTAGGAGTTTGAGACCAACCTGGGCAACATAGTGAGACCTCATCCCTACAGAAAATAAAAAAAGGCCGGGCACAGTGGCTCACACCTGTAATCCCAGCACTTTGGGAGACTGAGGCAGGCGGATCAAGAGGTGAAGAGATCGAGACCATCCTGGCCAACATGGTGAAATCCCATCTCTACTAAAAATACAAAAATTAGCTGGGCATGGTGGGGCGTGCCTGTAATCCCAGCTACTCAGGAGGCCGAGGCAGGAGAATCGCTTGAACCCAGGTGGTGGAGGTTGCAGTAAGCCGGGATCGTGCCACTGTGCTCCAGCCTGGCAACAGAGCGAGACTTTGTCCCCCCCCCAAAAAAAAAAAAATTAGATGGGCATGGTGGCACCTGCCTGTAGTCCCAGCTACTCAGGAGGCTGAGGTGGGAGGATCGCTGAAACCCAGGAAGTCAAGGTTGCAGTGAGCTGTGATTGTGCCACTGCACTCCACCCTGGGCAACAGAGCAAGACCCTGTCTCAACAAAAAAAAAAAAAAAAAAAAAAGGAAATGTAGATTAAACCCATTATGTAGTGGACAGAGCCACATTTATCAGGCAGACTCCTGCTTCACAGTTTCAGTCTAACTTTTTCTAAATGTTTGATCTTTTCTTGAGGAAGCTATGGGTTTACACTGTGGCAAAAGTAGTTAGGTAAGTTATGAGCTAGGACTAAGAAATATTTTTTAAAATCCCAATGTGTTTGTGTGGGAGGCCAAGAAACAGCTTTCTCTTGATCTGTCTCTGAGGATAGATCCTACCAGACTTTTTCTCCACCCTAGACCTGTTCCCGAGGATTATCCATTTCAGAATTCTTGACCTTCTAACTCTAGTGACGTAACTGCCTCAGTCAGGCACGCCCTGGACCTTGTCATGATTGTCCAGCTCAGAAATGCCAACAAACTGGTCTCTGGCCGGAACTTCCTTGCCATCGGTTTACTCCCTTCCCCTACTCCCAGCTCCCTGTATCTCTTTCCCAAACCCCAGCCCATGAGTGCCTCCTTTCTTCATTCTTGTCCACAGGGTGGTGCTCCTCTTGCTGTCTGAGGCCAGTCCCTCAGTGTGTGCTGGATTCCATCCTTCCCAATTCCTCGGCGCTCGGCTCCATCCTCAGCAGCACACTTCCCTCCATCCTCACTCTCTCCTTTCTGGCTTTTCCTTCCATACATAAACAGTCAAGCTTCTCTCACCTCAGAAAGGTACCTCTCTCTAGCTATAAGCCAGTCTTGGAAGTTCACTTCACAGCAGAGCTTATCAAAAGAGCAGGCCCTGTTTGCTACCCACTCACCCTTAACTCCATTTCTGGCCCCACCTCTCCAGTTGTTCTTCCCAAGGCCACAGCAACCTCCTAATTGCACAATCTAGCAAGTAGCTTTTTGTTTGTTTCTTTGTTTGTTTGTTTTTGAGATGGAATTTCACTCTTGTTGCCCAGGCTGGAGTGCAATGGCACGATCTCGGTTCACTGCAGCCTCAGCCTCCCGGGTTCAAGCAATTCTCCTGCCTCAGCCTCTCAAGTAGCTGGGACTACAGGCGCCCGCCACCATGCCCAGATAATTTTGTGTATATTTTTTAGTAGAGACAGGGTTTCACCATGTTGGCCAGGCTGGTCTTGAACTTCTAGCCTCAGGTGATCCGCCTGCCTGGGCCTCCCAAAGTGCTGGGATTACAGGCGTGAGCCACCGCACCCGGCTGCAGGTAGTTTTCAATTGCTATTTTGCTTGCACTTTGTGTGGCATTTGACACTATGAACTACTCCTGTCTTCTGGAACCTCTGTTGTTCTTTTGTTCTTCCTTCGTTTGCAAAGCACTCTCTTTGTTCCTTTTTTTTTTTTTTGAGACGGAGTCTCACTCTGTCACCCAGGCTGAAAGGTAGTGGTGCAATCTTAGCTCATAGCAACTTCTGCCTCCCAGGTTCAAATGATTCTCATGCCTCAGCCTCCCGAGTAGCTGGGACTACAAGTGCCCACCACCAATCCTGGCTACTTTTTGTATTTTTAGTAGAGATGGGTTTTCGCCATGTTGGCCAGGCTGGTCTTGAACTCCTGACCTTAGGTGATCTATCTGTCTGCTTTGGCCTCTCAAAGTGTTGGGATTACAGGCGTAAAAAAAAGACTGCACCCAGTCTTTTTTTTTTAGAGACAGGGCCTGGCCGGGCCTGGTGGCTCACGCCCGTAATCCCGACACTTTGGGAGGCCGAGGTGGGCGGATCACGAGGTCAGGAGGTCGAGACCAACCTGGCTAATACGGTGAAACCTCGTCTCTACTAAAAATACAAAAAATTAGCTGGGCGTGGTGGTGGGGACCTGTAGTCCCAGCTACTTGGGAGGCTGAAGCAGGAGAATGGCGTGAACCCGGGAAGCGGAGCTTGCAGTGAGCTGAGATTGCGCCACTGCACTCCAGCCTGGGCGACAGAGAGAGACTCCATCTCAAAAAAAAAAAAAAAAAAAAAAGAGACAGGGCCTGATTCTGTCATCTAGGCTGGAGTGCAGTGGTGTGATCTTAGCTCACTGTAGCCTTGAACTCCTGAGCTCAAGCAATCCTTCTGCTTGAGCCTCCTGAGTAGCTGAAACTACAGACATGCACCACCATGCTTGGCTAATTAAAAACAAAAAGATTCTTTGGTGGAGACGGGGTTTTGTTATATTGCCCAGGCTAATCTTGAACTCCTGGCCTCAAGTGATCCTCCCGACTCACCCTCCTAAAGCTCTGAAACTGCAAGCATGAGCCACCGTGCCTGACCCATCTACTACCTTCTTTGTGGCGTCCTCTTCCTATTCCCAAATGTCAGCAGTCCATACTTTTCCTTGTTTAGTTCTTTTATCGTCTTTTATTTGCTTTGTCTGCTATAGCTTGTAGAATCTAATGCTTACCACTTACTGTGGAAGACATCTAACATCTGTGAATCTTAATAAAATGGGGATTGTCATGAAAAATACAATTTATGCACATAAAGGGCCCAGCAAAGCCCCTGGCATAACGTAGAGGCTCACTAAATGGCAGTAATTTGTATTATTATCATTAATAATAAAATAATGTCTCAGTCTCCAGCCTATAGGTTTATATCTTTATTATTATTTTAAACACTTTTTATTATGGTGAATTTTGAACAGAATTGCATCATGAATTTCCATGTACTTATGATCCAGCCCCAATAACCATCAACCCATAACCAATCCTGCCCCATTCACCCCATCCTCTATAAAAAGGTACAAACTTTAAAAAAAAAAAACCCACAATACTATTATCATACTTTAAAAATCCAATCATTTGGCCTGGCGCGGTGGCTCACGCCTGTAATCCCAGCACTTTGGGAGGCAGAAGCGGGCGGATCACGAGGTCAGGAGATCGAGACCATCCTGGCTAACATGATGAAACCCCGTCTCTACTAAAAAAAATACAAAAAAATTAGCCAGGCGTGGTGGCGGGCGCCTGTAGTCCCAGCTACTCAGGAGGCTGAGGCAGGAGAATGGCGTGAACCCGGGAGGCAGAGCTTGCAGTGAGCCGAGATGGTGCCACTGCACTCCAGCCTGGGCAACAGAGCGAGACTCCATCTCAAACAAACAAACAAAAATCCAATCATTTGCAATCCAGGTGGTATATCTGATTCCTTTGAGATATTGCCACCTGGATGTTTCCCAGGCACTTCAAACTCAACGTGTCCAAAGCTGAACTCATCACCTTCTCAGAATTCTGTTCTTCCCTGCTCCCTTGTGGTCCCTGTCTTAGTGATGGACACCCCTGTTGCCCAGTCCCTCAAGTCAGAACCCTGGGAGTAGCCCTTGGCTCCTCGTTCTTCCTCACACTGCATCCAGCCAGTCCCTGAAAAACTCTAGTATCTCTTCCCTGCAGCTCTCCTGCCGGTGTCTAATAGTACAGGCCCTTGTCAGGTCTCTGCCTCTGGGCATTGGCTCTCTAACTGATGTGCCTCTATTGAGTCTTTTACTTCTCTAAATCTGTTAACACTCTTGCCAATTATTTTTCTCCAAGGATTATGTTTTGTTTTGTTTTTTCACTTTTTTGTAGAGATGGGGTCTTGCTATGTTGCCCAGGCTGGTCTCTAATTCCTGGACTCAAGTGATCCTCCCACCTTGGCCTCTCAAAGTGTTGGGATTACAGGTGTGAGCCACCATGCCCAGCTGACCATTTTTTTATTGCGGTAAAATAGACATAACAAAATTTATTATTTAATCATTTTAAAGTGTACACTTCAGTTCACATTGTTGTGCAACCATTATCACCATCTATCTACAGATCCTTTTTTTTTTTTTTTTTGAGATGGAGTCTTGCTCTGTCACCCAGGCTGGAGTGCGTAGCGCAATCTCGGCTCACTGCAAGCTCCACCTCCCAGGTTCACGCCATTCTCCTGCCTCCGCCTCTCAAGTAGCTGGGACAACAGGTGCCCGCCACCACGCCTGGCTAATTTGTTAATTTTTAGTAGAGATGGGGTTTCACCATGTTAGCCAGGATGGTCTTGATCTCCTGACCTCATGATCTGCCCGCCTCGGCCTCCCAAAGTGCTGGGATTACAGGCGTGAGCCACTGCACCCGGCCTCTACAGATCCCTTTCATCTTCACAAACTGAAGCTCTATCAGAGCTTCAGAAAGTCTCCATTCCTCCTCCCCCAGCCCCTGGCAACTGCTGTCATCTACTTTCTTTTTGTTGTTGTTTGTTTTTGAGATGGAGTTTCATTCTTCTTGCCCAGGCTGGAGTGCAGTGGTGCAGTCTTGGCTCACTGTAACCTCCGCCTCCAGGGTTCAAACAATTCTCCTGCCTCAGTTTCCCAAGTAGCTGGCATTACAGGCACCCACCACCACTCCCAGCTAGTTTTTTTTGTATTTTAGTAGAGATGGGGTTTCACCATGTTGGCCAGGCTACTCTCGAATTCCTGACCTTAGGTGATCTGCCTGCCTCAGCCTCCCAAAGTGCTGGGATTACAGGTGTGAGCAACTGCACCCAGCTCCATCATCTGCTTTCTATCTCCATACATTTGACTGCTCTAGGTACCTCATGTAAGCAGAGCTATACAGGATGCATCCTTTTGTTACTGGGTTATTTCACTTAGCATAATGTCTTCAAGGTTTAGAATATCCTTCCTTTTTAAGGCTGAATAATCCAGCGGTTTGGGTGTGTATGTATATGTCAAATTTTGTTTATCCATTCATCTGCTGATGGGCACTTGAGTTGCTTCTACCTTTTGGCTATCATGAATAATGCTGTTAGGAACATAAGTATACAGTGTCTCTTCAAGACCCTGCTTTCTTTGTTTTTTTTTGTTTTTGTTTTTGTTTTTGTTTTTGAGACAGAGTCTTGCTCTGTTGCCCAGGCTGGAGTGCAGTGGTGCAATCTTGGCTCACTGCAACCTCCACCTCCTGGATCCAAGTGTTTCTCCTGCCTCAGCCCCCCAAGTAGCTGGGACTACAGGCATGCACCACCACAGCTGGCTAATTTTTTTTTTTTTTTTGTATTTTTAGTAGAGACAGGATTTCACCATGTTGGTCAGGCTGGTCTCGAACTCCTGATCTCAGATGATCCACCTGCCTCAGCCTCCCAAAGTATTGGAATTACAGGCGTGAGCCACCATGCCAGGCCAAGACCCTGCTTTCTTTTTGGGATGTGTCCAGAAGTGGAATTGCTGGATCATATGGCAATTTTATTTTTAATTTTTTGAGGAGCCACCATACACAGTGGTTTGTACCGCTTTACATTCCCACCAGCACTATGCAGGGATCCAGTTCCTCTACATCCTTATCAACACTTGTTATTTTGTTTTTTTTTGTTGTTGTTTGTCTTTAAAATAGCCATCATACTGCATGTGAGGCGACACTGTATCTTGTGGTTTTCATTTGCATTTCCCTAATGATTACTGATGTTGAACATCTTTTCATGTGCTTATTGGCCATTTGTATATCTTATTTGGAGAAATGTCTAAACTAAGGACTTTGGCAATTTTTTTTTTTTTTTGAGATGGAGTCTTGCTCTGTCACCCAGACTGGAGTGCACTGGTGCGATCTCAGCTCACTGCAACCTCTGCCTCCCATGTTCAAGCTATTCTGCTGCCTCAGCTTCCTGAGTAGCTGGGACTACAGGCATGCGCCACCACGCCTGTCTAATTTTTGTATTTTTAGTAGAGATGGGTTTTCGCCGTGTTGGCCAGGCTGGTCTAGAACTCCTGAGCTCAGGTGATTCACCTGCCCCAGCCTCCCAAAGTGCTGGGATCATAGGTGTGAGGCACCGCACCTGGCCGACATTGCCCATTTTTAAATTGGGCTGTTCGGTTTTTTTTTTATTTTTGTAGGGGTCCTCTATGTATTCTGGATATTAGCCCTTATCAGATATATGATTTGCAAATATTTTCTCCCATTATGTGAGTTGCCCTTTTATTCTGTTGATAGTATACTTTGATGTCCAAAAGTCCTTAAGTTTTTATATAGCCTATTTTGCCTGTTTTTTTCTGTTGTTACCTATGTTTTTGGTGTCATATCCTCCAGTAATCAATCTTTCTTTTTATTTTATTTTATTTTTTTGAGACAGGGTCTCACTCTGTTGCCCAGGCTGGAGTGCAGTGGCACGATCATGGCTCACTGCAGCTCCACCTCCCCAGGCTCAGGTGATCCTCCCACCTCAGCCTCCCTAGTAGCTAGGACTACAGGGGCATGCCACAACACCCAGCTAATTTTTGTACTTTTTGTAGAGATGGGATTTCATCATGTTGCCCCTTTTTTTTGAACTCCCAAGCTCAAGCGATCTGCCTGTCTCAACCTCCCAAAGTGCTGGCCGCAATAGGCATGAGTCACCATGCCCAACCTCCAATAATCTTTTAAATACACACTTGTATATAGTTGATCCTTTCACTGTCCTCTTTGTAATCCTGGAATGCTTCTTTCTTTTAAACTTCTTAACCTGAACGACCTGGTCTCCATACTTCCTCAGTCTCATCTCTCACTAACAAGGTAATCCGTTGTCATTCTGAATTTCCTGCACAGCTGCAAGCATTCACCTTGCTCTCCGAAGTCACCTTTCCACTTGCTAGGCCCACTTCCTCCCTACCTTGCTGTTCACTAAACTAAGTTCCACTCAACCTTTAAAGCTTCCTTCAAGTACTTCCTCCTCTGGGAGGCTTCTTTGGCTGTTCCACAAGTTAAGTGCCTTCCTTGGTAACCTTTAATTTAATTTAATTTAATTTAATTTATTTATTTATTTTTGAGACAGAGTCTTGCTCTGTCGCCCAAGCTGGAGTGCAGTGGTGCAATGTTGGCTCACTGCAACCTCCGCCTCCCGGGTTCAAACAATTCTCTGCCTCAGCCTCCCGAGTGGCTGGGATTACAGCTACCCGCCACCATGCCTGGCTAATTTTTGTATTTTTAGTAGAGATGGGGTTTCACCATCTTGGCCAGGCTGGTCTTGAACTCCTGACTTTGTGATCCACCTGCCTCGGCCTCCCAAAGTGTTGGGTTTACACCCAGCCAACCTTTAATTTTATGGTAACCCTTATCAGATTGTGTTTTAATTGTTGGCTCACCGGCTTCCTGTCCCTCCCACTAGACTCTACATTCCTTAAGGGCAGGGTTACTATTCCTATCTTGTCATCTGCATGCTGCTCAAACAATTGAACTCGATCTCTGCCACTATTTAGTTGCTTTGACATTCAGCAAACTAGTCAAACTCTCTGGGCCTCAGTTTTCTCATAGGATCATTGTGAAAATTAATTAAGATTGTGTTTGTAAAGTGCTTAGTGCTTACTCTGGATCAGAGTAAAATGCCCAACAAAAATTAGCCATTGCTTCCATCAGCTTGTTGAATTGAGATCTCAAACTCTAATCAGCTGTATGACTTTAGACAAAAATCTTAAGTTCCTAAGGCCTGTTTTTCCTTCTCCCTGGATCACCTAGAGTCGTGATTCCCAAAGTAGGCTACACTTTGTAATCACCTGGGGAGCTTTAAGAATGCTAATATTGGCCAGACGCGGTGGCTCTCACCTGTAATCCCAGCACTTTGGGAGGTTGAGGCAGGTGGATTATGAGGTCAACAGATCGAGACCATCCTGGTCAACAATGGTGAAACCCCGTCTCTACTAAAAATACAAAAATTAGCTTGGTGTGGTGGCTCATGACTATAATCCCAGCACTTTGGGAGGACAAGGCAAGCGGATCACAAAGTCAGGAGTTTGAGACCAGCCTGACCAATATAGTGAAACGAAAATACAAAAATACAAAAACTACGAAAAATACAAAAAATTATCCGAGTATGGTGGTGGGCGCCTGTAGTCCCAGCTACTTGGGAGGCTGAGGCAGGGGAATTGGTTGAACCCAGAGGTGGAGGTTGCAGTGAGCAGAAATCGTGCCTCTGTACTCCAGCCTGGGTGACAGAGCAAGACTCTGTCTCAAAAAAAAAAAAAAAAAAAAGCTAATATCTGGGTCCCTCTGCTAAAAATTCTGACTTAATTGGTGTGAGGTACAACTTGGGCATGGGCATTTTGCAGAGGCTCCCCTGGTGATTCTAATGTTCAGCCAGAATTGAGAAACACCAATCTAAAGTTTCTTTCTAATGTAACACACTAGAAAGTTGAGCTGCAGAATTCCGTGGACGCAGGGGAATGGAATGTCTCTGGGCATTCTTCTGCTATCACCCTTTGTTAGTTTAACAGGAAGCATTATTGAACAAGCTCACTAAGCTGGAATTCCAAGAGTATTTGTGGATTCCTGAGTGTTTAAATTTAGCAGCTCACTTCATCCAGGAGAAACCTGGGGACCAGTGCTCTGAGAAAGAGAAAACAATGGTTCTTCCCTACTCTACAGCTCTAACCCAAGGCCTGGGAGTCTAGATACCCTGGAGTTCTGTATTATGGTTAAAGGAAAGGGAGGAGGAAAGAGTCCTTGGTAATCGGTATAATCCTTTTTTTTTTCCCCAAGGGACAGAGTCCTGCTCTGTCGCCCAGGCTGGAATACAGTGGTGCAATCATAGCTCACTGAAACCTTGAACTCCTCCTTCAGCCTCCTGAGCAGCTAGACCTACATATACGTGCTACCACGCCTGGCTAATCTTTTTTCTTTTTTTAATGTTTGTACCAATGGGGGTCTCACTATGTTGCCCAGGCTAGCTGGAAATCCTGGCCTCAAGTGATCCTCCCACCTTGGCCTCCCAAAGTGCTGGGATTACAGGCGTGAGCCATTGTGCCTGGCCCCTTGCTATAATCGTAGTGGGGGCACCTGGGGCCCTGACTAGAACAGGGTAGGGGCTGAGATTTACAAATATTCATTCCCTTATCACTGTACTGTGCTTTAAAACCACATTCACAGCCATTACTTGAGTCTCCGCATAATCTTGAGAAATGCAGAGCAGATATTACTGCCTCTACTTTGTGGATAAGCAAACCAAGTCTGAATGGTTAAGGGCCTTGCCAAAAGTCACAGTGCATTAACACGAAGGGTCAGCATAGAGTCCCTATATCCTGACTCTCTGTTGGGGGCAGAAAAACTCTTCACACCCAGGTAGCTCAGAGTCCTTCTTGGCTTCTTGGACTTGGAGTCAAGGTTCTAAGTGGTCCCATTAAATGCTACAGGGAATGACTAAAATACCTCTTCCTGGCCGGGCGCAGTGGCTCACGCCTGTAATCCCAGCACTTTGGGAGGCCGAGGCGGGCGGATCACGAGGTCAGGAGATAGAGACCATCCTGGCTAACATGGTGAAGCCCTGTCTCTACTAAAAATACAAAAAAAAAAAAAAAAAAAAAATTAGCCGGGCATGGTGGCAGGCGCCTGTAGTCCCAGCTACTCGGGAGGCTGAGGCAGGAGAATGGCGGGAACCCGGGAGGCGGAGCTTGCAGTGAGCCGAGATTGCGCCACTGCACTCCAGCCTGGGTGACAGAGCGAGACTCCGTGTCATAAATAAATAAATAAATACCTCTTCCTGATGCCCTGTGGTCAGCCACCTCTGAGCACAGTTGCACTCTCTGGGATCATGAGCAAAACCCTCACTTTTGCAAAGTGTGATGCTCAGACCAGCTTTGAGGCTTGGTCATTCAGGGAGGCATTTAGTTATAATGCCCAGTGTGTCCAGGAATACTCAGAAGGGCCCAGTAGTGTTGGCCAAATGCTGAGTCACAGATAGGGGTTGGCCCTTGGCCACTGGCTCAAGATGAAATAGAAAAAAAAAAAAATCAGGAAATTATCTTTTACTAAGCTAAATGTGATTAAACTCCTGTCTTATTCTGAGATTATGTTCTTTCTACTTTTTTGGTATTAAAATTACCTTTTGGATGGGCACGGTGGCTCACTCCTGTAATCCCAGCACTTTGGGAGGCTGAGGCGGGTGGATCACCTGAGGTCAGGAGTTCAAGACCAGCCTGGCCAACATGGCGAAACCCCGTCTCTACTAAAAATACAAAAATTACCTGGGCATGGTGGCAGGCGCCTATAATCCCAGCTACTTGGGAGGCTGAAACAGGAGAATCGCTTGAACCCGGGAGACAGAGATGGCAGTGAGCTGAGATGGTGCCACTGCACTCCAGCCTGGGCAACAGAGCTAGACTGCATCTCAAAAAACAAACAAACAAAAAAATTACCTTTCATGAATTAGTGCTGACAGTAGATGGCAGTTTATTTTGATGTGCTGAATGCCAGAGTTAACAGATGGCCATCCTATGTAAATCCTCAAAATTGCTTTTGAAATGTTACTGATCCAAGGAATCCCAATTCTGCTAATCAACTCCCCATTTTGGAGGACCAGGAGTAAGGCCCTATGACTCCAGGATCTTCAGGGTCGTGGGAGGCCTCACCTTGAGAGCAGCAATAGAATATTCAACACTAAAAGAATCAAAATGCCCAGAGTTGGGCCTTGCCACTCATAAGTTCATGTAGAAAGAAAAGAGCCATTGTCACATGGTTTGTGTGTGTGTGTGTGTGTGTGTGTGTGTGTGTGTGTGTTTGAGACGGAGTTTTGCTCTTGTTGCCCAGGCTGGAGTGCAGTGGTGTGATCTCAGCTCACTGCAACCTCTGCTTCCTAGGTTCAAGCGATTCTCCTGCCTCAGCCTCCTAAGTGGCTGGGATTATAGGTGCGTGCCACCACGCCTAGCTAATTTTTTGTATTTTGAGTAGAGACAGGGTTTCATCATGTTGGTCAGGCTGGTTGTGAACTCCTGACCCCAGGTGATCCACCTGCCTCGGCCTCCCAAAGTGCAGGGATTACAGGCACGAGCCACCATGCCCGGCCTTTTTGTGTATTTGTTGCTGTTTTGAAATGGAGTCCCACTCTGTCATCCAGGCTGTAGTGCAGTGGCCCAATCTCAGCTCACTGCAGCCTCTTGTCTCTTGGGTTCGATTCTCCTGCCTCAGCCCCCCAAATAGCTGGGATTACAGGCATCTGCCACCACACCTGGCTAATTTTTGTATTTTTAGTAGAGACGAGGTTTCACCATGTTGGCCAGGCTAGTCTCGAAGCTCTGACCTCAAGTGATCCGCCCTCCTCGGCCTGCCAAAGTGCTGGGATTACATGTGTGAGCCACCGCGCCCAGACACATTGGTTTTATTTAACAAACATTATTATCTTCACTTCCATTTTAAAGATGAGGAAACTAAGACACGAGGGTGTTAAGAAACTTGCCCAAGGCCACAGCTAGTTAGCAGCAGAGCCAAGAGTTGAAGCCAGGGAGTCTGGCTGTGGAATCCATGCTCTTAATCCCTTCACTACACTGCCTGGTTGGAAGCAATTTAAGACTTTGTGGCATGTAATGGTCTATTTTCAGCCTGTGATTCCAAAGATGGCAAGTGCCTGTGGACTAAGCCGCCTGATCTGTGTTGAGCTACTGTCAGTGATCCCTTTTTGAGCCCCCTCCACAACACCACTTGGAAAATCAGAACAGGTGGACAGCCCTTTGACAGTCTGGAAAGACATCAGCAGCAAAAGCAATGAACTTTGGGTAAGGTTAGCAAGCCCTTGTAGCTTGGAACCTGAGAGGTCCTTTAGAGCCTAGGCTGGTAGCTTTCAAAAACAGTTTTAAAAGCAACCAAACCCTTTTTTCCAATATAGACCTATTTTCAGCTAATAGTATACATAGAAAATAGGTAAGATATGTAACATGTATGTATATGTACATATATACATACACATATATCCTTAGGTGGAACCCCTTCATAAAACAGATTAAAGTGGAGGTGTTGTGTGGAAGAACTAGGGATCCAGTTGGCCTTATTCTCATCCCTCATGTAACACTGAGCCACTATCTGGGACCCTAGAGCTTTGAGGAACAGTCTGAAGACCATTGCTCCAGACCAGCTTTTTCTAGGGAAGATATTAGTCTCATAGAATGTGTTATGGAAAAAAACAATTTCATGTTCAAATGCATCTGGGAAACCCTGGATGTGCTAACTTTGTTTTGAGGTTTGCAACTATAGGTATACCTCAGAGATATCGTGGATTCCATTCCAGACAATCATAATAAAGCAATAAAGTGAGTCACATGATTTTTGTTTCTTAGTCCATATAAAAGCTATGTTATTGTAGTCTATTAAGTGTGCAATAGTTTAATTGTGTAATAGCATTATGTCTTTTAAAACTATACCTTAATTTAAAAATACTTTGTTGCTAAATAGTGCTAACAATCATCTGAGCCTTTAATCTTTTTGCTGGTGGAGGGTCTTGCTCGATGTTGATGGCTGCTGACTTATCAGACCAGTGGTTTCGCTCTTGTTGCCCAGGCTGGAGTGCAATGGCTCGATCTCGGCTCACTGCAACCTCTGCCTCCCGGGTTCAAGCAATTTTCCTGCCTCAGCCTCATGAGTAGCTGGGATTACAGGCACCCACCACTACATCCAGCTAATTTTTGTATATTTAGTAGAGACAGGGTTTCACCATGTTGACCAGTCTGTTCTTGAACTTCTGACCTCAGGTTATCTACCTGCCTTGGCCTCCCAAAGTGCTGGATTACAGGCATGAGTCACCGCGCCCAGCCCAAGCTTCTTTCAAAATTGGAGTCAATCCTCTCAAACCCTACTGCTTTACCAACTAAGTTTATGTAATAATCTTTTTTTTTTTTTTGAGATGGAGTTTCACTCTGTCACCCAGACTGGAGTGCCATGGCACGATCTTGGCTCACTGTAACCTCTGCATCCCGAGTTCAAGCAATTTTCCTGCGTCAGCCTCCCGAGTAGCTGGGATTATAGCTATGTGCCACCACACCGGCTAAATTTTATATTTTTAGTAGAGACAGGGTTTCACCATGTTGGCCAGGCTGGTCTCAAACTCCTGACCTCAAGTGATCTGCCTGCCTTGGCCCGCCAAAGTGCTGGGATTACAGGCATGTGCCAAAGCCACCGTGCCCAGCATAATAAACTTTTTAATGTAATATTCTCTTTTTTTTGAGACAAAGTCCCACTCCGTCACCTAGGTTGGAGTGCAGTGGCGCCATCTCGGCTCACTGAAACTTCTGCCTTCTGGGCTCAAGTGATCCTCCCACTTCAGCCTCCTGAGTAGCTTGGACGACAGGCATGCACCACCACACCTGGCTAATTTTGATATATTTTGTAGAGATGGAGTTTTGCCATGTTGCCTAGGCTTGTCTCGAACTCCTGGGCTCAAGCAATTTGCCTGCCTCAGCCTCCCAAAGTGCTGGGATTACAGGTGTAAGCCACCACCCCTTGGCTAGTTTATGTAATATTCTAAATGCTTTGTTAACATTTCCACAATGTTCACAGCATGTTCACCAGGAATAGAGTCTATCTCAAGTAATCACTTTCTTTGCTTGTCCATATGAAGCAACTCCTCATCTATTCAAGTTTTATTATGAGATTACAGCAATTCAGTCACATCTGAATCACTCCACTTCTAATTCTAGTTCTGTTTCTATTTCCTCACATCTGCAGTAACTTCCTTCACTGAACTCTTGAATCCCTCAAAGTCATCCTTGAGGGTTGGGATCAACTTCTTCCCAGCTTCTGTTAATGTTGATATTTTGACCTCCTCCCATGGAGAATGAATTTTTTTTTTTTTTTAAGACAGCATCTTGTTCTGTCACCCAGGCTGGAGTGTAGTGGTATGATCTTGGCTCCCTGCAACCTCTGTCTCTGCCTTCTGGGCTGAAGCAATTCTCTTACTTCAGCTTCCTGAGTAGCTGGGACTACTGGCATGTGCCACCACACCCAGCTAATTTTTATATTTTTTGTAGAGACAGGGTTTCCCTGTGTTGCCCAGGTTGTCTTGAACTCCTGGGCTCAAGTGATCCGCCTGCCTTGGCCTCCCAAAGTGCTGGGCATACAGGAATGATATAGTTTGGATCTGTGTTCCTGCCCAAATGTCATGTTGAATGGTAATCCCCAACATGGGAGGTGGGAACTGATGGGAAATAATTGGGCCATGGGGTCGGATTTCCCCCTTTGGTGGTATGCTCATGATAGAGTTCTCACGAGATCTGGTTTTTTAAAAGTATGTACCACGGCCAGGTGCGGTGGTTCATGCCTGTAATCCCAGCACTTTGGGAGGCCGAGGCGGGCAGATCACGAGGTCAGGAGATTGAGACCATCCTGGCTAACACGGTGAAACCCCATCTCTACTAAAAATACAAAAAAATTAGCTGGGCGTGGTGGCTGGCACCTGTGGTCCCAGCTACTTGGGAGGCTGAGGCAGGAGAATGGCGTGAAGCCAGGAAGTGGAGCTTGCCATGAGCCAAGATCACACCTCTGCACTCCAGCCTGGGCGACAGAGCAAGACTCTGTCTCAAAACAAAAACGAAAACAAAAAAATGTGTGTACCACTTCCGGCTGGGCGCAGTGGCTCACGCCTGTAATCCCAGCACTTTGGGAGGCCGAGGCAGGTGGATCACGAGGTCAGGAGCTCAAGACCAGCCTGGCCAAGATGGTGAAAACCCATCTCTACTAAAAATACAAAAATTAGCTGAGCTTGGTGACAGGTGCCTGTAATCCCAGCTACTTGGGAGGGTGAGGCAGGAGAATTGCTTGAACCCAGGCAGCAGAGGTTGCAGTGAGCCGAGATCATGCCATTGCACTCCAGCTTGGGCAACAAGGTGAGACTCCGTCTCAAAAAAGAAAAAAAAAATTGTGTACCACTTCCCCCGATCTCTTCCTCTTGCTCCAGCCACGTAAGACATGCCTGCTTCCCTTTTGCCTTCCACCATGATTTAAAGTTTCCTGAGGCCTCCCAGAAGGCTTCATGCTCCTGTACAGGCTGCAGAACCGTGAGCCAATTAAACTTCTTTTCTTTATAAATTACCCAATCTCATGTATTTCTTTATAGCAGGGTGAGAACAGACTAATACAGAAAATTGGTACTGGGAGTGTGGCATTGCTATAAAGATACTTGAAAATGTGGGAGCGGCTTGAGAACTGGATAAGGGGCAGAAGTTAGAACAGCCTGGAAGGCTCAGAAGAAGACAGGAAGATGAGAAAAAAGTTGGAACTTCCTAGAAACTGGTTAAATGGTTGTTACCAAAATGCTGATATTGAGCTGGACAATGAAGTCCAGGCTGAGGAGGTCTCAGATGGAAATGAGGAACTTATTGGAAACTGGAGCAAAGGTCACTTTTGTTATGTGTTAGCAAAGAGGTTGCAGGCATTGTGCCCCTGTCCTAGGGGTCTGTGGAACTTTGAACTTGAGAGTGATGATTTAGGGTATCTGGTGGGGAAATTTCTCAGCAGCAAAGCATTCAAGAAGTGACCTGGCTGCTTCTGACTACCTATGTTCATATGCATGAGCAAAGAAATGACATAAAACTGGAACTTGTATTTAAAAGGGAAGCAGAAGGTAAAAGTTTGGAAAATTTGCAGCCAGGCCCACATAGAAAGGAAAAACCATGCCTGTCGTCCAAGCTACTCAGGAGGCTGAAGTGGGAGGATCGCTTGAGCCCAGAAGGCAGAAGTTTCAGTGAGCCGAGATGGCGCCACTGCACTCCAACCTAGGCGACAGAGTGGGACTTTGTCTCAAAATTCAAGCTCACTACACAAATTTGCTTAAGTAAAGAGGAGCCAAATGCTGATAGCCAAGACAATGGGAAAAAGGCCTCAAAGGCATCTCAGAAACCTTTGCGGCAGCCCCTCTCATCACAGGCCTTGGGGCCTAGGAGGGAAGAATGGCTTTGTGGGCCAGGCCCAGGGCTTTGTCACCCTGTACAGCCTCAGGACACTGCTCCCTGCATCCTAGCCACTCCAGCTCCAGCTGTGGCTAAAAGTGGCTGTAGCTCCAGCCACTGCTCCAGAAGGTGCAAGCCATAAGCCTTGGCAGCTTCCATGTAATGCTAAGCCTACTGGTGCACAGAGTACAAGAGTTGAGGTTTGGGAGCCTCTGCCTAGATTTCAGAGGATTTGTGGAAAAGCCTTGATGTCCAAGCAGAAGCCTGCTGTAGAGGTGGAGCCTTATGGAGAACCTCTACTAGGGCAGTGGAGCCCCTACACAGAATCCCCATTGGGCACTGCTTAATGGAGCTGTGAGAAGAGGACCACCATCCTTCAGACCCCAGAATGGTAGATTCACTGGCAGCTTGCACCCTCCACCTAGAAGAGCTGTAGGCACTCAATTCCAGCCTATGAAAGCCACCATGGGGGCTGTACCCTGGAAAGCCTCAGGGGTGGAGTTGCCCAAGGCCTTGGGAGCCCACCCATAGCACCAGTGTGCACTAGATGTGAGACATGGAGTCAAAGGAAATTATTTTGGAGTTTTAAGATTCAGCTGGGCACAGTGGCTCATGCCTGTAATCCCAGCACTTTGGGAGGCCAAGGTGGGCGGATCATGAGGTCAGGAGTTCGAGACCAGCCTGGCCAATATGGTGAATACAAAAATATTCTACTAAAAATACAAAAATTAGCCAGGCACTTGCTAGTGGCGGCACTTGCCTGTAGTCCCAGCTACTTGGGAGGCTGAGACAGAAGAATTGCTTGAATCCAGGAGGCAGAGGTTGAAGTGAGATGAGATTGTGCCACTGCACTCCATGCACTCCAGCCTGGGTGACAGAGCAAGACTCCATCTCAAAAAAAAAAAAAAGATTTAATGACTGCCCTGCTGGGTTTCAAACTTGCATGGGGCCTGTAGCCTCTTTCTTTTGGCCAATTTTTCCCTTTTGGAATGGGAATATTTACCCAATGCCTGTACCCTCATTGTATCTTGGGAGTAACTAACCTGTTTTTTATTTTATAGGCTCACAGGCAGAAGGGACTTGCCTTGTCTCAGATGAGATTTGGGACTGTGGACTTTTGAGTTAATGCTGGAATGACTTAAGACTTTGGGGGCCATTGAGAATGCATGATTGTATTTTGAAATGTGAGGACACGAGATTTGGATAAGGCCAGGTGCAGAATGGTATGGTTTGGATCTGTCTCCCCACCCAAATCTCATGTCAAGTTATAATCTGCAGTGTTGGAGGTAGGGCTTGGTGGGAGGTGATTGGATTAGGGGAGTGGATTTTCCCCTTTGGTGCTGTTCTCATGAGACCTGGTTGTTTAACAGTGTGTAGCTGTATTAGTCCTCTCTCACATTGCTATAAAGAACTATCCGAGACTGGGTAATTTCTGAAGAAAAGAGGTTTAATTGACTCACAGTTCTGCAGGCTGTACAGGAAGCATGGCTGAGGAGGCCTTAGGAAACTTACAATCATGGCAGAAGGTGAAGGGGAAGCAGGCACATCTTCACATGGTAGAGCAGGAGAGAGAAAGTGAAGGGGAAAGTGCTACACACTTTTAAACAATCAGATCTCATGAGAACTATCATGAGGACAGCAAGGGGGATGTCTTCCCCCATGATCCAAGTAGCTAGGATTACAGGCATGCACCACCATGCCTGGTTAATTATTATTATTATTTTTTTGAGGTGGAGTTTCGTTCTTGTTGCCCAGCCTGGAGTGTGATGGCGCAGTCTCAGCTCACTGCAACCTCTGTCTTCTGGGTTCAAATGATTCTCCTGCCTCAGCCTCCCGAATAGCTGGGATTACAGGCACCCACCACCACATCTGGCTAATTTTTTTTTTGAGACAGAGTCTTGCCCTGTTGCCAGGCTGGAGTGCAGTGGCGTGATCTTGGCTCACTGTAACCTCCGCCTCCTGGGTTCAAGCGATTCTCCTGCTTCAGCCTCCCAAGTAGCTGGGATTACAAGTGCACACCACCATGCCCAGCTAATTTTTGTATTTTTAGTAGAAACTGGGTTTCACCATGTTGGCCAGGATGGTCTTGATCTCCTGACATCATGATCCATCCGCCTTGGCCTCCCAAAGTGCTGGGATTACAGGCGTGAGCCACCACGCCTGGCCTGTCTGGCTAATTTTTTGTATTTTCTGTAGTGATGGAGTTTCACCATATTGGCCAGGCTGGTCTTGAATTCCTGACCTCAGGTGATCCACCCACCTCGGCTTCCCAAAGTGCTGGGATTACAGGCATAAGCCACCATGCCAGGCCATAGTTTAAAAAAAAAATGAATAAATTCATACAATGGAATACTACAGAGCAATGAAAATATACGATTGCTACACTTCTTACAAATATAATGTTAAGTGAAAGAAGCCAGACAGAACCTGGGAGGCAGAGGTTACAGTGAGCCAAGATTGTGCCATTGCACTCCAGCCTGCGCAACAAGAGCAGAACTCCTTAAAAAAAAAGAAAAAAAGAAAGAAGCCAGACAAAGGCATGCATACTCTATGAGTCTATTTATATAAAATTCAAAAACAGGCAAAAAACCCACATCTTTGGAACTGGAAATCAGACTAGTGATTATTCATGACTAGTCTGAATGATTAGTAGTAGGAGGTGAAGCATTATCTGGGAAGAGTCATGTGGTGAGTTTTGAAGCTTCTGATTGTATTTTTTTGTTGTTGTTTATTTATTTTTTGATACAGGGTCTTGCTTTGTAATCCAGGCTGGAGAACAGTGGCCAAATATTGGCTTGCTGCAGCCTTGACCTCCTAGGCTCAAGCCATCCTCCCACCTCAGCCTCTGGAGCAGCTGGGACTACAGGCATGAGGCATCATAACTGGCTAATTTTTAAAAATTTTATTTTTTGTAGAGACAAGGTCTCACTATGTGGCCCAGGCTGGTCTAGAACTCCTGGGCTCAAACAACCCTCCCCACTCAGCCTCCTGAAGTACTGATATTATGGGAATAAGCCATGGCATCCAGCCAGGTTTTATTTTATATCATGATTTGGGTGGTGGTTACATAGACGTGTTTATTTTGTGAAAATAATATATGCATTTTTCTTCTTTCTTTCTTTGTCTTTTTCTTTCCTCTTTTTTTCTTCCTTTTTTTTTTTTTTTTCTTTCAGAGTCCTGCTCTGTCACCCAGGTTGGAAATGCAGTGGCATGATCATGGCTCACTGCAGTCTTGACCTCCAGGCCTCAAGGGATCCTCCCAGCTCAGCTTCCCAAGTAGTTGAGACTATAGGCCTGTACCACCACACCAGGCTAATTTTTTGTAACATTTTTCTGTGTGTGTGTGTGTGTGTGTGTGTGTGTGTGTGTGTATATATATATCTATAATATACATACACACATAATATATATATATTCTAAATATATATAGAATATATATATTCTAAATATATATAGAATATATATATTCTAAATATATATAGAATATATATAGAATATATATATAGAATATATATATATTCTATATATATAGAATATATATGTGTATATATATATTCTATATATATAGAATATATATGTGTATATATATATTCTATATATATAGAATATATATGTGTATATATATATTCTATATATATATAGAATATATATATATGTGTATATATATATTCTAAACCAAAAATAAATTTCTAAGCCTCTCATCTGACTGAGTGGGCCCCTCCTCTTGGTCATGGTGATTCCAAAGTAAACCTGAAAACTAGTTCAAGCCTTGATGGGAAGGGAAGGATCCAACATGCCTCATTATACTCTCCTTTATCTGGAATTCAGGCACAACTAACCAACATTAACATTAAAATAGAGATCTTAAGAGTGACAAAACAGACTCTTTGTAGCAATAAGATACCATATTCTAACTAGACTCTAGTATAGCATCACATGAGAGATAGCAGGCCCTGAAAGAAGTTAAAGTATCTTACCCCAAAATATACTTCTTTGACATATTTTGACATGGCCCTGAAGAGTTGTCTCCAATGGAGAAAATCTACATTCTGTACAGAATCTCCTTTCCTTTCCAGTTTTTTTTCCTGATCCAGGAGAGATTAGCTGAGAATATAGCACCTTTTAAAAGTCTGATTAGATAGCATTTGCCATCTACTGCTTCTAAGGGCAACCACCTATGAAACTTCATCTACATAATAAGAACCTTTGTCTGCACGACACTATATATATATATATATATATATACTTTTTTTTTTTTTTTGAGACGGAGTCTTGCTCTGTCGCCCAGGCTGGAGTGCAGTGGCGCTATCTTGGCTCACTGCAAGCTCTGCCTCCTGGGTTCATGCCATTCTCCTGCCTTACCCTCCTGAGTGGCTGGGATTACAGGCACCCGCCACCACACCTGGCTAATTTTTTGTATTTTTAGTAGAGACGGGGTTTCAGTGTTAGCTAGGATGGTCTCAATCTCCTCACCTCGTGATCCACCTGCCTTGGCCTCCCAAAGTGCTGGGATTGCAGGCATGAGCCACTACGCCTGGCCACAACCCCATATTTTAACTCAGATACTGCTTTCATTGATTCTAGGTCTTTAGATAATAACTTTTTTTTTTTTTTTTGAGATGGAGTCTTGCTCTGTTGCCCAGGCTGGAGTGCAATGGCATTGTCTTGGCTCACTGCAACCTCTGCCTCCTGGGTTCAAGCAATTCTCCTGCCTCAGCCTCCCGAGTAGCTGGGATTATAGGCCTGTGCCACCATACCCAGCTAATTTTTGTATTTTTAGTAGAGACACGATTTCATCATGTTGGCCAGGCTGGTCTTGAACTCCTGACCTCAAGTGATCTGCCTGCTTCAGCCTCCCAAAGTGCTGGGATTACAGGCATGAGCCACCATGCCTGGCCATTAACTTTTAATTCTTTCAACCAATTGCCAATTAGGAAATCTTTGGATCTGCCTATGACCTGGAAGCCCTTGCTTCAAGTTGTCCTGCCTTTCCAGACCAAGCCAGTGTATACCATACATACATTGATTGATGTCTGGCTGTTACTTCTGTCCCCCTAAAATGTGTAAACCAAAAATAAAATTCTAAGCTCCCCAGCCAACTGAATGGATCCCTCCTCCTGGCCAAGGGGGTTTTAAAGTAGACCTAACAAGCTAGTTCAGGCCATGATGTGAAGTGGTGGTTTGGACATGCCTCATTATACTCTTCCCTTTGGAATTCAGGCACAACCGACCAGCATTAACATTAAAACAGAGATCTTGAGTGACAAAACAGACTCTGTAGCACTAAGATATCAAATTCCAACCTGACTCTAGTATAGCATCACATGATAGATAGCAGTCCCTGAAAGAAATTATTTTACCCAAAAACATGTTTCTTTGACATATTTTGAAATGGCCCTGCAAAGTTGTCTCTTTTGGGGGAAAATATATACATTCTGTAGAGAATCCCTTTCCTTTTCCAGGTCTTTTTCTGATCCAGGAGGGATTAAGAGTCTGGTACTTTTTTGGGTCAGATAAGAGACATTTACCTTCTAGTCTCTCTGCTACCTGCTACCTGGAGGCTTCATCTACATAATAAGAACCTTGGTTTCCACAACCCCTTATTTTAACCCAGACACTCCTTTCTATTGATTCTGGGCTTTTAAATAGTAACAACTTAATTCTTTCAACTAATTATCAGTCAGAAAATTTTTTGAATCCACCTATGACCTGGAACCCCCCACCCCTGCCTCACTTTGAATTGTCCTGCCTTATTGGACCAAACCAATATATATCTTTTTTTCCCCCATGTGGAAATAATATGAAACATTTTTTAGATATACTGGACAAAAACAGAACTAAGTACTCCAACTCTACTGCAGCATTACCAAAAAAAATCATCCTTTCACCACAGTGTAAGATTTAAGGGCAACCTGCCCAAGGATACATGTTATATAAAACACAGCAAGATTGCTGCTGCCCTGCCAAGTAATTCCAGTCCCTACCTAGGTCCTACTGAAATACTGGTGGTCCCAATTAGCTTTTTTTTTTTTTTTTTGAGACAAAGTCTTGCTCTGTTGCGCAGGCTGGAGTGCAGTGGTGCAATCTCAGCTCACTGCAAGCGTCGCCTCCCGGGTTCATGCCATTCTCCTGCCTCAGCCTCCCGAGTAGCTGGGACTACAGGCACCCGCCACTATGCCAGGCTAATTTTTTTGTATTTTTAGTAGAGATGGGGTTTCACCATGTTAGCCAGGATGGTCTCGATCTCCTGACCTCATGATCTGCCCGCCTCAGCCTCCCAAAGTGCTGGGATTACAGGTGTGAGCCACCACACCCAGCCCCAATTAGTTTTATTGAAATAAATCTTTTTTTGTTTTTTGAGACAGAGTCTCACTCTGTCACCCAGGCTGGAGTGCAGTGGCGTGATCTTGGCTCACTGCAAGCTCTGCCTCCCAGGTTCACACCATTCTCCTGCCTCAGCCTCCCGAGTAGCTGGGGCCACAGGCGCCCATCACCATGCCCGCCTAATTTTTTATATTTTTAGTAGAGACAGGGTTTCACCGTGTTAGCCACGATGGTCTCGATCTCCTGGCCTTGTGATCCACCCACCTTGGCCTCCCAAAGTGCTGGGATTATAGGCATGAGCCACCGCGCCCGGCTTGAAATAAATCTTTAAAGAAAAAGATAAAGCATTTAAAAAGACAAGTCAAAGTACTTCAGGAACCACATATCCAACACAAGCTTTTTCCTCAAATGAGTTATGTTTGCCTCGCAGTAATAAACTTTTATTTCACTCAAATTACAGCAATAATCTTCCATACATAAGTATCTTTGCTGCCCAATAATTCAAAGGAAAAAAAATCCAAAATGATTAGTAAAGAAAATTGTGAGAATTAACAGACCCTTTAAATTTGTTTTAAATATTTTTGAGGTTTAAAAAGTGCTTAAAGTTTGCCCTAGTAGGAAAACATTATCTGAATGAATACCCTAATGGCAAACCACTGTAAAATGCTTCTGCTACATTTGGGGGACAGGGGTAGGGATTATCTTCAAAGCACCCCAGCTCTCTTGATGAGAAGGTCAGAGGTACACTGGTTTGTATCATTGCAACATCCATAAGGTGATGTAGGTTGCTTTTCCTTCAGAAAAGGCTTTATCAGAAAGGCATTAATCTTGACCTCCAAATTTGGCTGACAATTTACTGATAAGATTCATAACCTTTGTGTTGCTCTGGTATTTTGACATATTTGCTGGGTTCTGAGCCACATCCTGGAAGGCCACCATAACTTCTGGATCCTGCATGGCTGCAAGAACCTCTGGATCACTAAGAATTTCATTGAGTCCAGGCATTCCGGCCGTTCCAGGCATGCCCCCTCCCATTCCAGGCATTCCTCAGGGAAAATTACCAGGCATTCCCCCAGGAAAGCCACCTGGAAAAGAGCCATACTGAGCTCCTGACTGTTGTCTGGCTTCTTTCTCCCTCTGGGCTCTCTCATGTTCTTCTCAAGCCTTCTTAACTTTTCTATGCTTTCTTTGATCTCTTGCTCTTCACGTTTTCGCTCATACTTTCTCTGATGTTCTGCAATTTTCTGTGCCCTAGGTTGAACTTCTTTCAGCATTACACTAGCATCTTCATCATAATCCAATTTACAGGCAAGGGCAAGATCATGGGCTGCTTCTTCCCAGTGGCCTAGAAGTCTGTGTGCTTTCTCTCATCACTTGTAAGGCTGAGCTGAATCAGGATTTATTTCAATGGCTCTGTCACAGTCTCGGATGGCAGCATTTGGCTTCTGTAATTTGATGAAGACACTGGCCCTCTTAGCATACAAAATAGCCAAGCAAGGATTCAGCTTGATGGCATCTGTGAATAAATCAATGGATTTCCGCAGTTCACCATCATTTAGGGCTTCAATAGCAGCCACTTTCTTATCATTTGCCTGATCCATCATCACCTCTGTTATCCCATTTCTTGAGGGACATCAGTGTCTGGTTCAATCACACCTTAATTATCAATTTCTAGCTCACTTTCCTTACTTGATGTTTTGTCTGCCTTTAAGTCTTCCTCTACCTTCCTACTATCAAGTTTTTCTTCTTTGGTATTTTCTTCTGATTTAGCTTTCTGAGTAGTAGGTGGTACTTTACCCCTGTGCTCTCCACCCACTCCCTCAGGAATCTCATTTCCTCGGTGTGCGGAATGCTCAGATCCTGCTTACAAATTTTCACAAAGGCCCAAAACTCGTTCACTTTGCAGGGGTCCATGGTCAGGAGGCAGTATGCGAAGCTGAGGGGCTGCAGCCCAGTTCCAGGCCCAGATGCTGGCTTGGTGTGACCACGCAGAAGGGCCAAACCAATGTATATCTAAATGTACTGACTGATGTCTACCTGTAATTTCTGATCTCCTAAAATAAATAAAATCAAGCTGCAACCCAACCACCTGGGGCACATGTTCTCAGGACCTCCTGAGGCTGTGTCATGGGTCATGGTCCTCACATTTGGCTCAGAATAAATCTCTTCAAATATTTTATGGAGTTTAGTTTTTTTGTTTTGTTTTGTTTTGTTTTTCCTTTGAGACAGAGTCTCGCTCTGTCAGCCAGGCTGAAGTGCAATGGCACTCTCGAGTAGCTGGGATTACAGGTGCGTACCACCATATCCAGCTAATTTTTGTATTTTTAGTAGAGACAGGGTTTCACCATATTGGCCAGGATGGTCTTGAACTCCTGACTTCATGTGATCCACCCACCTCAGCCTCCAAAAGTGCTGGGATTACAGGCATGAGCCACCAGGCCTGGCCTGAATTTGGCTTTTTTCATCAACAATATTATTCTTCATTTTAAGAAAAAGAGAAAATGGCAACATTGAAGAACCCAAAACAGTACATGAATTTCGCTTATCAAGATACAATTTTTTTTTTAAATCCTGCAGGTTTCCTCAACCAGGTTATATGGTCCAAAGGCAAGTCTCCTGGAAAACTAATAGAATGAAACAGAGGGCTTTTTCTGGACCACCACTAAAGAAAGGGTAGTATGGGCGGGCGCGGTGGCTCACGCCTGTAATCCCAGCACTTTGGGAGGCTGAGGCAGGCAGATCACGAGGTCAGGAGATCGAGACCATCCTGGCTGACACGGTGAAACCCTGTCTCTTCTAAAAATACAAAAAATTAGCCGGGCGTAGTGGCGGGCGCCTGTAGTCCCAGCTACTTGGGAGGCTGAGGCAGGAGAATGGCGTGAACCCGGGAGGTGGAGCTTGCAGTGAGCCGAGATCCCGCCACTGCACTCCAGCCTGGGCAACAGAGCGAGACTCCGTCTCAAAAAAAAAAAAAAAAAAAAAAAAAAAAAGCCAGGCGTGGTGGCTGGCGCCTGTAGTCCAGCTGCTCGGGAGGCTGAGGCAGGAGAATGGTGTGAACCCGGGAGGCAGAGCTTGCAGTGAGCCGAGATCGCGCCACCGCACTTCAGCCTGGGCAACAGAGTGAGACTCCACCTCAAAAAAAAAAAAAAAAAAGAAAGGGTAGTATGGCACTGAACATGGAGGCCTACATTTGTTTGACTCTCTAGTCTGTATCTCTTTCTACCCTTTTGTCCTAATCCTCTGTGTATTAGTTTCCTACTGCTGCTGTAACAAATTATCATAGATTTAGTGGCTTAAAATAACACAAATGTACTATCTTACAGTTCTGGAAGTCAGAAGTCTGAAGTGGGCTTCAATGAGCTGAAATCAGGAAGTCAGCAGGGCTGCATTCCTTCTGGAGACTCTGGGGAGCAATCAGTTTTCTTGTGTCTTCCAGCCTCTAGAAGCCTCCTGCATTCCTTGGTTTGCAGTCTTCTCTCATCTTCCTAGCTTGCAGTGGCAGGTCAGATCTTTCTCACATGCATCACTTGGACCCTGACTCTCTCTTTTCCACTTTCCCATTTTAGGATCCTTGGATCTACCTGGAAAATGCAGGCTCTTCTTCCTATTTAATATCATCTAGTTAGCATAGTTAATTTCATCTGCAGACTTAACTCTCTTTTGCCACGTAATTGTAACATAATCACAGGTCCTGGGGATTAGGCCATTATTCTGCTTACCATGCTGCTAAGGTTAGATGCAGATCCTAGTACTTTACCCATCCTTTTTCTTATAAGCATGGATGGCTAGTATCTGACCAAAGAATTAGTTGAAATGAACTTTTTTGTGTTTGGTGAAAGTAAAAGTTATAAATTCAACTACTTGCCACTCAAATGAAAGAAGATTAATTTATGCTGAACCCAAGATGACTCTTGTTACAACAGGAGTGCTCTAGGTGTCAGGTAAGGGAGGACCCTAGTATCTCACGCTTCCGTGTCAAGAGACCACCAAACAGGCTTTGTGTGAGCAATAAAGCTGTTTATTTCACCTGGGTGCAGGTGGGCTGAGTCCGAAAAAGGAGTCGGCAAGGAAGATAGGGGTGGGGCCGTTTTAAAGGATTTGGGTGGGTAGTGGAAAATTACAGTCAAAGGGGGTTTTTCTCTTGTGGGCAGGGGCGGTGGTCACAAAGTGCTCGGTGGGGGAGTTTCCGAGCCAGGAGAAGGAATTTTACAAGGTTAATCACTCAGTTAAGGTGGGGCAGGAACAAATTACAATGGTAGAATGTCATCAGTTAAGGCAGGAACTGGCCATTTTCACTTCTTTTGTGATTCTTCACTTGTTTCAGGCCATCTGGATGTATATGTGCAGGTCACAGGGGATAAGATGGCTTAGCTTGGGCTCGGAGGCCTGACATTCCTGTTTTCTTATATTAATAAGAAAAAACCATAAAATAATGTTGAAGTGTTGGGGCAGAGAAAATTTGGGGGGGTGGTATGGAGAGATAATTGGCAATGTTTCTCAGGGCTGCTTCGAGCGGGATTAGGAGTGGCGTGGGAATCTAGAGTGGGAGAGATTAAGCTGAAGGAAGATTTTATGGTAAGAGGTGATATTGTGGGGTTGTTAGAAGGAGCATTTGTCATATAGAATGATTGGTGATGGCCTGGATACAGTTTTGGATGAATTGAGAAACTAAACGGAAGACACAAGGTCCGAATAAGAGAAGGAAAAAAACAGGTATTAAAGGACTAAGAATTGGGAGGACCCAGGACATCCAATTAGAGAGTGCCCAAGGGGTTCAGTGTAATTACTTGCTTGCTTGGTGAGTTTTTGGGCTCTATCCTTGAGATTTTTTATGTTGTCATACACCAGGACAGATTGATTTAGGTAAAAACAACACTCTTCATTTAAAAATATAGAGTCCTGTTTTTTTAGCAGTGAGTAAGTCGAGGCCTCGGTGATTTCACAGGAAAGAGAAATGCAAAGCCAGCAATTGTTTGTTAAAGAAGGATTAGAAATGGCTAGGAGAGAGTGGAGTGAGATTGATAGCATGGTGGAGATAGCTAGGGAGAGGTAGAGGGTGGCGTAAGAACAGGAACGAGAAAAAGAGTGAGTATAAAAGTAAAGAATAGGACTTCTTCAGGGTGGAAGTATCAGTGTGCCCTGTCAGCAAAGATCACCCATCCACTCCAAGAGGGAGTCAAGAGTGGCAGACTGGGGATAGTATCAGGAGATATCCGCTACGATGATTTGGAGGAAAAGTGTAAACCGGCAGTATAAACAAGGGCAGGGCATTTACAAGTAGTTGAGAATGGTGAATAGGAGTATGACTAGACGGAAGATAGTAAGGATGACAAATTTTTGGGGTGCAGTCCAAGTAGTGGGGGTGACTGTGTAAAGCCCTGTTATAAAGAGTATGGTAAGGAAGGTGAGACCTAATAAAAATGAAAGGATGTATTAGCCTTATAAGGGTTACTATTATCCTTTAGGAATGCAGGTGAGTTTAAGGGAAGTAGGAGAGAGTACATGTAACTCCCAGGAGGAAGATGAGAGATCAGGCTGGCTGTCCGATGGACACAGCTTTATTCTGGATCAGTGAACCTAATGGGGAGGGCCCTGCAGGCAGACGGCAGTTGGGGTACTATAGATGACTAAGTAGGGTCTGGCCCCTCAAGGTTGTAGAGTTTGAGGGGTCAG
This sequence comes from Homo sapiens, assembly GCF_000001405.40. NCBI lineage: Eukaryota > Metazoa > Chordata > Mammalia > Primates > Hominidae > Homo > Homo sapiens. The sequence continues at coordinate 103,211,949 of NC_000010.11, read as the reverse complement.
ATTCTTAACAAGAACTGATCGTCCAGCTAGGGTGTCTTCATATGGCTGGGAATCTGGAGTAGGCAAGAGAAGATTAGCAGCCTGGCAAATTTCCTGTCTAGCCTGCTGGAGGACTGGAAGATAATCACCTAGAGGGCTGGTGTCTGGAATGAGACTGGGGCCTAATAAAAAGTAGCATCCATACAGAAGCTCAAATGGGCTGTACTCTGTGGCATCTTGAGGACAGGCCTGAATTCTGAGAAGGGCAAGTGGTAAAAGTACTGTTCAGTCCTTTTTTTTTTTTTTGAGACAGAGTCTCACTTGTGTCCCAGGCAGTGGCGTGATCTCAGCTCACTGCAAGCTCTGCCTCCCAGGTTCCCGCCATTCTCCTGCCTCAGCCTCCCGAGTAGCTGGGACTACAGGGGCCTGCCACCATGCCTGGCTAATTTTTTTTGTATTTTTTAGTAGAGACAGGGTTTCACCATGTTAGCCAGGATGTCCTGACCTCGTGATCCGCCCACCTCGGCCTCCCAAAGTGCTGGGATTAAAGGGGTGAGCCACCGCGCCCGGCCTCAGTCCTTTTTAAGTTGGAGGCTGAGTATGGTGAGGTGTGTCTTTAAAAGACCATTAGTTCTTTCTACCTTTCCTGAGGATTGAGGGCAATAAGGAGCATGAAGTTTCCATTGAATGCCTAGGGACTGGGAGACTGCATGAGTGACTTGACTAATAAAGGCTGGTCCGTTATCAGACTGTATAGAGGTAGGAAGGCCAAATTGAGGAATTCTGTCTGATAGAAGGGAAGAAATGATGGCAGTGGCCTTCTCAGACCCTGTGGGAAAGGCCTCTACCCATCCATTACAAGTGTCTACTCAGACCAAGAGGTATTTTAGTTTCCTGACTCAGGGCATGTGAATAAAGTCAATTTGCCAGTCCTGGGCAGGGGCAAATCCCTGAGCTTGATGTGTAGGGAAGGGAGGGGGCCTGAACAATCCCTGAGGAGTAGCAGAACAGCAGATGGAACACTGAGAAGTGATTTCCTTAAGGATAGATTTCCATGATGGAAAGGAAATGAGAGGTTCTAAGAGACAGGCTAGCAGCTTGTAACCTACATGGAAGAGGTTATGAAATGACGGCAGATTAGAATGGGCCTGTGAGGCTGGAAGGAGATATTTTCCTTGGTCCAAGAACCATTTGCCTTGTGTGGGAAGAGATTGATAGGTGGAAGTTTCAGTGGGAGAGTAGGTGGGAGTGATCGATGAGAAGGAGAAAAACTGGCTGTGAGGGATAGAAGTTGGAATGCTAGCTGCTTTTTTAGCTACTTTATCAGCATAAGCATTGCCCTGAGCGATGGGATCTGATGCCTTTTGAGGGCCCTTGCAATGAAGGACTCCAGCTTCCTTTGGAAGTAAAGTGGCCTTGAGAAGAGTTTTTATTAAAGAGACATTAATGATGGAGGACCCTTGCATAGTGAGGAAACCTCTTTCTGCCCATATAACAGCATGGTGGTGCAGGATATGGAAGGCATATTTAGCATCAGTATAAATATTGATGCATAGTCCCTTTGCAAGAGTGAGGGCTCGAGTTAAGGCAATGAGTTCGGCTTGCTGAGAGGTAGTGGAGTGGGGCACAGTGGTAGCCTCAAGGATAGATGTGGAAGATACTATAGCATAGCCTGCCTTTGCTGGTGAGTGGCGATTAGGCCTGGTGGAACTGCTATCAATAAACCAAGTGTGCTCAGGGTGAGGAACAGGAAAGAAGGAAATATGGGGAAATCAAGTGAATGTCAAGTGGATCAGAGAGATACAGTCATGGGGGTCAGGTGTGGCATCCAGAATGAGGTGGGAGGCCGGATTGAAGTCCAGGCCAGTAACAATGGTAATTGTGGGAGACTCAACAAAGAGTGAGTATAGCTGAAGGAACTGGGGAGCATAAAGTATATGCGTCAGATTTGAGGAAAAAAATAGATTTTGGAAGTTATGAGAACTGTAGAGAGTGAGTTGAGCATAGTTTGTGATTTTGAGGGCCTCTAAAAGTATTAATGCAGCAGCAGCTGCCACACACAGATATGAGTGCTAGGCTAAAACAGTAAGGTTACATTGTTTGGACAGAAAGGCTAACGGTGTGGTCCCAGCTTTTGTGTAAGAATTCTTACCGCACAGCCCTGTAGTTTGGCTGTGTGTAATGAAAAGGGTTGGGATGAGTTAGGGAGAGCTAGTGTGGGACAGTTTTTAGGGCTGTTTTTTAAGGAATGGAAAGGGGAGTGGGGAAAGGATTTAGGATTTATGGGGTCAGCTAGGTTTCCTTTTATGAGTTTATATAATGGTTTAGTCAGGATGGTAAAACTAGGTATCCAAAGGCAGAAGTACCTAACCATGCCTAGGAAGGAAAGGAGTTGTTGTTTTGTAGAAGGGGTTGGGGTTTTGGAGATAAGCTGGACATGATCAGCAGGGAGAGCACATGTGTTTTTATGAAGAATTATGCCGAGATAGGTAATGGATGAGGAAGAAATTTGGGCTTTGGAGGGGGATACACAATATCCTTTTGAGAATAGATGTTGGAGGAGCAGAAGGGTGTCCTGTTGGGAAGTTTTGTAGGAGGGGCTATAAAGTAGAAAGTTGTCAAAATATTTAATAAGGTGAGAAGCAGATGGATGGAAAGAAAGTAAATCATGAGAAAGGACTTTACTGAAGTAATGGGGGCTGTCGGTGAAGCCTTGCAGCAGTACAGCCCGGGTAAGTTGCTGAGACTGATGGGTGTCAGGGTCAGTCTATGTGAAAGCGAAGAGAGGCTGGGATGAAGGGTGCAAAGAAATAGTAAAGAAAGCATGTTTGAGATGCAGAACAGAATAATGGGTTGTGGAGGGAGGTATTGAGGATAAGACAGTATATGGGTTTGGCACCACGGGGTGGATAGGCAAAACAATTTGGTTGATAAGGTGCAGATCCTGAAGTAACTTGTAAGACTTGTCCCGTTTTTGGACAGGTAAAATGTGGGAATTGTAAGAAGAGTTTATAGGTTTTAGAAGCCCATGCTGTAGCAGGTGAGTGATAACAGGCTTCAATCCCCTTAAAGCCTGTTGTGGGATAGGATACTGGCGTTCAGTGGGGTAAGGGTGATTAGATTTTAGTGGGATAGTAGTGGGTGTGTGATCGGTTGCCAGGGAGGGGGTAGAGGTGTCCCATACTTGTGGGTTAAGGTAGGGGGATACGAGGGGAAGACATGAAGGAGGCTTTGGGTTGGGAAGAAGGGTGACAATGAGATTTGGCTGTAGTCCAGGAAGAGTCAGGGAAGCAGATAATTTGGTTAAAATGTCTTGGCCTAATAAGGGAACTGGGGCCAGGCACGGTGGCTCACGCCTGTAATCCTAGCACTTTGGGAGGCCGAGGTGGGCGGATCACGAGGTCAGCAGATCGAGACCATCCTCACTAACACGGTGAAACCCCATCTCTACTAAAAATACAAAAAAAAAAAAAATTAGCTGGGCGTGGTGGTGGGCACCTGTAGTTCCAGCTACTCTGGAGGCTGAGGCAGGAGAATGGCATGAACTCAGGAGGCGGAGCTTGCAGTGAGCTGAGATCGCGCCACTGCACTCCAGCCTGGGCGACAGAGCAAGACTCCATCTCAAAAAATAAAAAATAAAAAAATTAAGGGAACTAGGCAGGTGGGGATAACTAAAAAAGAGTGCATAAAATAATGTTGTCCAAGTTGGCACCAGAGTGGGGGAGTTTCAAGGGGTTTTGAAGCTTGGCCGTCAATACCCACAACAGTTATGAGGGCAAGGGAAACAGGCCCTTGAAAAGAAGGTAATGTGGAGTGGGTAGCCCCTGTGTTGATTAAACAGGGGACGGACTTACCCTCCACTGTGAGAGTTACCCAAAGCTCAGCATCCATGATGGTCCAGGGGGCTTCCAAGGTGATCAGGCAGCGTCAGTCTTCAGCTGCCAAGCCAAGCAAATCTGGGAAGCAGTCAGTCAGAGAGCCTTGGGCCAGACCTTTAGGGGCTCTAGGAGTGGCTGCCGGGTGAGCTGGGCAGTCTGATTTCCAGTGGGTCCCTGCACAGATGGGACATGGCTTGGGAGGAATCCTGGGCTGCAGGCATTCCTTGGCCCAGTGGCCAGATTTCTGGCACTTGAAGCAACAGCCTGTTGGAGGAGGTCCTGTAGGAATGCTTGACTGCTGCGGCTTAGGCAGTTTGAAGTTCTTGTGTGCTGGAGGTGTGGCTGGGTTTTGTCTCACAGCAAAGGCAAGTAATTGTAACTCAGAAATGCGTTGCTGTCTGGCTGCCTCCTCTCTATTATTGTACACCTTGAAGGTGAGGTTGATTAATTCCTGTTGTGGGGTTTGAGGGCTGGATTCTAATTTTTGAAGCTTTTTTCTAATGTCAGGAGCTGACTGGGTGATAAAATGCCTATTTAGAATAAGACGGCCTTCTGACCCTTCAGGGTCTAGGGCTGTAAAGCATCTCAGGGTTGCTGCCAAACAAGCCAGGAACTGGGCTAGGTTTTTGTCTTTACCTTGGGTAGTTTCTTTAAGCTTGTCAAAATTAACAGCTTTGTAAACTGCCTTTGTAAGCCCATCAACTAGGCAGGAAATCATGTAATCTCGCCTAATTATACCTGGGGAATCTGCCTGATAGTTCCATTGGGGATCATCTTGGGGAACTGCTCTAATGCCTTCTTGGAGGTCTGGCTTGTGAAGCCGGTGGTTATCAGTGTGAGATTGGGCTAGAGAAAAAACTCTTTCCTGTTCATCTGGGGAAAGGGTAGATGTTAGGATGACATTTAAATCACTCCAGGTTAAATTGCAGGACAGAGTTAGATACTGGAATTCCTATATATAATTAGTGGGGTCTGATGAGAAAGAGCCTAAACACTGACTGATCTGAGAGAGGTCTGATAGAGAAAAAGGCACAAGTACCCTGACTATGCCTTCAGCTCCAGCCACCTCTCTAAGAGGAAATCGTTGGGCAGGTAGGGGAGAGCCAGTCATGGAACAAAACTGTAAGCTGGACTGGGTGTGAGGAGGGGAGGTGATAAAAGGATTATAGGGTGGAGGAGCAGAGGCTGAGGAAGATTTGGAGCCTGATTCAGCCTGGCAGAAAGCAACATAGGGAGCAGTCTGGGGAGGAGGGGAGAGGTCAGATGGCTTGGTAGAAAAGGAAGATTGGAAAGACTCAGCAATGCTTGGGGTTGGGACTGAGGGGACAGGCGGTAGGGAAAGAAGGAGGATTTGGGACGAATTGCATTGGGAACAGAGACTAGGGAGGGAACGAAGTGTGAAAAAATGCCTGTATGTAAGGCATCTCAGGCCATTTACCAATTTTTCGACAAAAATTATCTAGGTCCTGTAGGATGGAGAAATTGAAAGTGCTGTTTTCTGGCCATTTAGAGCATTTATCAAGTTTGTATTGGGGCCAAGCAGTGTTGCAGAAGAAAATAAGGCATTTAGGTTTTAGGTCAGGTGTGAGCTGAAGAGGTTTTAAGTTCTTGAGAACACAGGCTAAGGGAGAAGAGGGAGGAATGGAGGGTGGAAGGTTGCCCATAGTGAAGGAGGCAAGCCCAGAGAAAAGAGAGAGTAGACACATGGAGAGAAGGGGTGGGAGGGTACTTGCCCCCCAGGGGAGGTGGTGCTTGCCACCCAGTGAAAGTGGTACTGGCCACCAAGGTGAAGGATCAAGGCCAGACATCCCCCTGGTGATCAGACACCTCTGAAACGTGGGTAAGCGTCCCCACAGTGATTAAACACCAAGAGAAGACTGTCTTCCTGAGTCCGTGACCAGAGCTGGAGTTTTGGGTTCACAGATAAAACGCATCTCCTCTGTCTCTACCAGAAAAGGAAAGGAACTGAAATTAAGAGAAGGGAGAGATTGAAGGGTGGTGCCAAAATCGAAAGGAGAAAGAGGTTGAAGGATAGTGAGAGAGGTTGGAGAAGAGAGTAAAAATAGGCCACTTACCTGATTTAAAATTGGTGAGATGTTCCTTGGGCTGGTTGGTCTGAGGACCCGAGGTCGTAGGTGAATCTTTCTCATGGAGCAAAGAGCAGGACAGGGTATTGATCGCCCAAGGGAGGTCCCCCAATCTGAGTCATGGCACCAAATGTCATGCATGTCCGTGTGAAGAGACCACCAAACAGGCTTTGTGTGAGCAACAAGGCTGTTTATTTCACCTGGGTGCAGAAGGGCTGAGTCCGAAAAAGGAGTCAGCAAGGAAGATAGGGGTGGGACAGTTTTATAGGATTTGGGTGGGTAGTGGAAAATTACAGTCAAAGGGGGTTTTTCTCTTGTGGGCAGGGGCGGGGGTCACAAAGTGCTCGGTGGGGGAGCTTCTGAGCCAGGAGAAGGAATTTCACAAGGTTAATTGCTCAGTTAAGGTGGGGCAGGAACAAATCACAATGGTTGAATGTCATCAGTTAAGGTAGGAACCAGCCATTTTCACTTCTTTTGTGACTCTTCACTTGCTTCAGGCCATCTGGATGTATACGTGCAAGTCACAGGGGATATGATGGCTTAGCTTGGGCTCAGAGGCCTGACACCTAGATCATGGTGGGCTTGGAAAACTGTCTGAGTTTCAGGGACTGCACCCTATTTATGCCAATGAAATACCAACATTGATGCCTAGCATCTGACATCTGAATTGGAGCCACAAAAGGTGCTGAAGAGACTAATACTCTGAAGGTGAGGTGACATAGGGATTTATAATCCCTGATCCTGCAATAGTGAGTTTCTTTAGGTCAATTGTATAGTTTCTGTAGTACTCAGAAGATTATTTTTCAAAGTGGCCCTTTGGGCTAGCAAACAAGAAAGAGACACATGAAGTCAATGTTGCCTGGGCAGCAGACAGCAGGGGGTGGCTCGGATTGGCTATTACCATGGCAACATTGATTGCTGTCACAAGCACCGGTGAGGCAGATAGTTAACATTTTCAGAGAACACAGGGACTACTTGCATCAGAATTACTTAGGAATTTGTTTAAATTTCGAATTCCTAGGACCCAAGGCCAGAGAGTCACGATTGGTAAGACTGAGATATGGTATGGAATCTGCCTTTTAGAAAACTCCCCAGGCAACCATACCTGATGAAATTTGAGAACCACTGATTAAAAAAATACAGTGCATCCCTGTTACAAATCCCTATATAAACCCATCTCACCAGAGCCATTTTCTTGCTTACAAGGCCTTACAATCTTTAAAAGATGCAGTAAATGTGCTGATCTAGGAATTTATACTGATAAATGCCCAAGTTTTTTGAGTGCTAAATGTTTAAGTAGGTCTTTCAAGTTTTCAGCAAGCATGGAACTTTTTTCTTTCTTTCTTTTTTTCTTTCCTTTCTTTTTTTTTTAAATTGAGACAGGTCTCACTCTGTCACCCAGACTGGAGTGCAGTGGCTTAATCATGGCTCACTGCAGCCTTGACCTCCTGGGCTCAAGCGATCCTCCCACTTTAGCCTCATGAGTGGCTGGGACTACAGCTACAAGCCATCACAGCCAGCTAACTGTTTTTTTTGGTTTTTTGTTTTTTTGGGTTTTTTTTGAGATGGAGTTTCACTCTGTCGCCAGGCTGGAGTGCAGTGGTGCGATCTCAGCTCACTTCAACCTCCACCTCCCGGGTTCAAGTGATTCTCTTGCTTCAGCCTCCCGAGTAGCTGGGACTACAGGCGTGTGCCACCATACCCAGCTAGTTTTTGTGTTTTTAGTAGAGATGGGGTTTCACAATGTTGGCCAGGATGGTCTTGATCTCCTGACCTCGTGATCAGCCCGCCTTAGCCTCCCAAAGTGCTAGGATTACAGGCATGAGCCACCATGCCCGGCTGCCAGCTAACTTTTTAAAAAAATTTTTTGTGGATATGTGGTCTACCTATGTTGCCCAGGCTGGTCTTGAACTTCTGGGCTCAAGCAATACTCCTGCCTCAGCCTTCCAAAGGGCTGGGTTTTCAGGTGTGAGCCACAGTGCCTGGCCTAGAACTTTTTTTCTAAGTAACATCTATTAATATCTCATAGAGCTGTCATACCAAAATGTGCTCTGAGACTCCCAAAGTAAATTTCCCAAATTGGGAAATTCAGCTCAATATCACTGTGAAGGACTAGGGTGGGATCCAAGAAGGGGACAGCATGAACCAGGACTACAGAGGATGGCTAAGGTGCAGGACTAGGTTCTTTATACCACTGAGACATACCATTCTCTCTCTTGCAAGGACAGACTCAGGACATAAAGAACACCACCAAGAATATAGGCTTCCTGATGTTTCTGAGAATCACTGCTGTCATGAGCCAGTCTCTAATGGTGAATTAACCCTCATGAGGGTTAAGAACCAGTTGAGCAGGCCTAGCGCGGTAGCTTACACCTGTAATCCCAGCACTTTGGGAGGCCAAGGCAGGCAGATCACTTGAGCTCAGGAGTTAGAGACCATGCTGGCCATCATAGCAAAACCCCATCTCTACAAAAAATACCAAAATTAGCCGGGTGTGGTGGTGTGTGCCTGTAGTCCCAGCTACTTGGGAGGCTGAGGAGGGAGGATGGCTTGAGCTCAGGAGGCGGAAGTTGCAGTGAGCCGAGATTGTGCCACTGCACTCCAGCCTGGGCAACAGAGCCAGACCTTGTCTCAAAAAAAAAAAAAAAAAAAATTTAAGAACCAGAAGATTAGTGGATATGTGACATCCAGTGTGTTGTTTTTCTATTTCTCTAGTACTACTCTTAACCCAAGGCTTAGGCATATTCAGTTTTGCTAGTTGTAGTGGATACTCTTGGCTGCCTACTTAGCATCCACTCTCCACTCCTTCTGCCCATGAAAAATTCCAGTTTTGCTCAGGTATCCTCTCCATCCCCAGCCCCAGGGACAATATCTAATTTGTTGGTGTATGATCCTTTCTTGGCAATGACTTTTAGTCTGAGGGGTCTGCATGTTTCCTAATTCATTCCAATTAGGTTGAAAGGAAGGACTGTTGTGGAGGAGAGGTGTCTGTGCTTTGTTGACATGAAGGAGGAAACTTGAAGCCATCCTATACATCGTAAGATGAAGCAAACTTTCAGGACTACAGGGCAGAGAGACAAAACTTGGTCCTGTTTTTTTTTTTTTTTTTGAGATAAGGGTGTCATTCTGCCACCCAGGCTGTAGTGTAGTGGGCATATTCTCCTCTCACTGCAGCCTCTACCTCCCAGGCTCAAGTGATCCTTCCATTTTAGCCTCCTGAGTAGCTGGGACTACAGGCACACATGACTACACCCACCTAATCTTAAACATTTTTTGTAGAGTCAGAGTTTTGTCATGTTGCCTAGGCTGGTCTCGAACTCCTGGGCTCAAGCCATCTGCCCACCACAGCCTTTCAAAGTGTTTGGATTACAGGCATGAGCCAGCGCTCCTGGCTGAAACTTGGTCCTTAATGGCAATATTGATTACTGAATATTTACCACAGAGCGTACCATACCTCTGAACTTCCTTATTATGTAAGCCATTTTAACTGGGTTTCTTGTTACTTGTGATCAACAGTTTCCTAATGTCTGTGGTCACCGGTTTGCCTTGCACTCTCTGGTTCATGCAATTTTTTTTTTTTTTTTAGATGGAGTTTCGTTTTGCTCTTGTTGCCCAGGCTGGAGTGCAATGGCACAGTCTTGGCTCACTGCAACCTCCGCCTCCCAGGTTCAAGCGATTCTCCTGTCTCAGCCTCCTGAGTAGCTGAAATTACAGGCACCCACCACCAAGCCCAGCTAATTTTTATATTTTTGTAGAGACAGGGTTTCGCCATGTTGGCCAGGCTGGTCTCGAACTCCTGACCTCAGGTGATCCGCCCACGTCGGCCTCCCAAAGTGCTGGGATTACAGGCTTGAGCCACCATGCCCAGTGGTTCATGCAATTTATATGTAAAATGTAAAAAAGTAAAAGCAGAGAGAAGACAATGGCTTGTGGTCTGAGAGAATCAATGGTATGTGGGCTAAAATGTGTTTAGGTAAAAGCTGTTGTGAGCGAACTGTGTCTTCTTCCTGAGTTGTCACGTTTTTTCAGTTTCCACAAGTGTCCACATCCACAAAACAAATTCATTAAATCAGCTTTTATTTGCATTTCTTATCTCAAAAATAATTATATGTTTGTTTGACTTCTTGTTAGCATAGAAAATTGTTTACTGAGGTAGATATGGAATGCCAAGATGAGAAAATTAAATCGATTAGGAAATGCTCTCACTGACAAATAGTAGAAACTTACCTGTATATACCAGAAGAATTGGCTCTTTAAATAGACAAGTAAATGCACTTTTTCACTCTGACATGAGTTCACCTGAGGCTTTGGTGTTTTTTTTGCTTTGTTTTATTTTGTTTTGTTTGTTTGTTTGTTTTGAGACAGAGTCTCACTTGCTCTGTTGCCCAGGTGAGAGTGCAGTGGCACGATCTCATGATTTCAGCTTACTGCAACCTCCGTCTCCCAGGTTCAAGTGATTCTCCTGCCTCAGCCTCCTGAATAGCTGGGACTACAGGAGCATGCCACCATGCCCAGCTAATTTTTGTATTTTTAGTAGAGATGGAGTTTCACCATGTTAGCCAGGCTGGTCTTGAATTCCTGACCTTAAGTGATCCACCCACCTTGGCCTCCCAAAGTGCTGGGATTACAGGTGTGAGCCACCATGCCCAGCCTGAGGCTTTAGTTCTAATATAAGCGCTGCTAAACCCAAATATGTGAAATGCTCAGGTGGTCTGAACTGCTCTGGTGGAGGGATATGGGTTCTGGTTGCACAGGGAAGAGGTGTTTCATTTTAAGTGCGGCAACTTACCACTTATTTAGATGGATATTTAGAGGCTAAGGTTGGAATGGTTGGTGATATTTTAGATCTACCTGGAAACAAACTGTACTAGTGATTTGCTCAGGTTCCTTCTATGAGAGGGCTGCAGCTTCACAGGGTAGAGGCAGGAACGTAAGAATGAGAGCTGGCTGGGCCTGGTGGCTCACGCCTGTAATCCCAGCACTTTGGGAGGCCAAGGTGGGTGGATTACTTGAGGTTAGGAGTTCGAGACCAGCCTGGCCAACATAGTGAAACACTGTCTCTACTAAAAATACAAAAATTAGCCAAGCGTGGTAGTGTGTGCCTGTAGTCCCAGCTACTTAGGAGGCTGAGGCAGGAGAATTGCTTGAACCCAGGAAGTGGAGGTTGCAGTGAGCTGAGATTGGGCCACTGCACTCCAGCCTGGGCAACAGAGCGAGACTCCATCTCAACAACAACAACAACAAAAATGAGAGCCCTAGTTTGCTTCCTTTTTTTTTTTTTTTTTTTTTTGAGATGGGGTCTCGCACTGTTGCCCGGGCTGGAGTGCAAATGTGGCCATCTCAACTCACTGCAACCTCCACCTCCCGGGTTCAAGCAATTCTCCTGCCTCAGGCTCCTGAGTGGCTGGGATTACAGGGGTCTGCCACCACGCCTGGCTAATTTTTTGTATTTTTAGTAGAGACGGGGTTTCATTATGTTGGCCAGGCTGGGCTTGAACTCCTAACCTCGTGATCCGCCCGCCTTGGCCTCCCAAAGTGCTGGGATTACAGGTGTAAGCCACTGTGCCTGGCTTCTTCTTTTGTTTAAATACTTTAATCCAATTTACAGCATCGTAAAAGGCATTAAAATAAATTCTACTCACAATCCCATCACACCGTCATTTAGTTACTAATTAATTTATTTAAAAGATATATAGGGACTCCCCCAGTGTGTCAGACCCTGGGCTAAGTGCTGTCTCCCTCTCAGTGAACAAGACAGACTGTCCCTGCCCTCTTGGAGTTTACAGGCGATATTGTGAAGGCAGATATTAAAAACATATCACACAAATATTTCTTTCATTGCAACTGTGGTAAGTTAGAGAAGGGAAAGGAAGGTACAGGGCAGCATGAAAGAAAATAACAGGAGGGAATGTCAGGTAGATTGGCTTGGAGATTAGCGAATGCCTCTGAGAAACATTTGAGTTAAGGCCTTCAAGATGAGTATGAGTTAGAAAGGTGAAAAGAGGCTTTCAGGTAGAGAAACAGTTTAACGTAGGGACAACGAGACCTGGGATGTTCTAAGAACTGGAAAATGGAAGTTTGGAAGAAGTCAGGTGAACATGGAGTAAACAGTGCTATTTATGTATTTGATTCCTTTTTTGGAAAGTTAAATTTTTTTTTTTTTTTACTGTGGTAAAATATATATAACATAAAATAGGCCATTTTAACCATTTTTAAGAGTACTATTCAGTGGCGTTAATTACATTCTCAATGTGGTGCAACCCTCACCACTGTCTATGTCCAGAATGTTTTCATCACCCCAAACAGAAACTCTGTCACCATTAAGCAATAATTCTCCACTCCTTTCTTCCCCCAACCCCTGGTGACTGCTAATCTGCTTTCTGTCTCTATGAATTTGCCTATTCTAGCTATTTCATATAAGTAGAATCATGTAATATTTGTCCTTTTGTGTCTGGCTTATTTCTCTTAGCATTTTTTTTCTTTTTCTCTCTGTCCACCAGGCTTGAGTGCAGTGGCACAATCTCGGCTCACTGCAACCTCCGCCTCCTGGGTTCAAGTGGTCATCCCGCCTCAGCCTCCCGAAGTGCTGGGATTACAGGTGTGAGCCACCACACCTGGCTGCGTAATGTTTTCAAGGTTCATCCAAGTTGTAGCATGTATCAAAACTTTATTTATTTATTTCTGAGACAGAGTGTTGCTCTGTCACCCAGGCAGGAGTGCGTGGCATGATCTCAGCTCACTGCCACCTCCACCTCCCAGATTTAAGCCATTCTTGTGCCTCAGCCTCCCTAGTAGCTGGGATTACTGCATGCACCCAGCTAATTTTTGTATTTTTAGTAGAGATAGGGTTTTGCCATATTGGCCAGGCTTGTCTCAAACTCCTGGCCTCAAGTGATCTGCCTGCCTCAGCCTCCCAAAGTGCTGCAATTACAGGCATGAGCCACAGTGCCCAGCCAAAACTTCATTCCTTTTTATGGCCGAATAATATTCCATTGTATGTATATACCATGTCTTGTTTATCCATTCATGTGTTGATGGACACTTGGGTTGTTTCCATCTTTTGGGCATTGTGAAAATGGTGATACGAATATTTGTGTACAAGTATCCGTTTGAGTGCCTATTTTTAATTATTTTGGGTATCTACCTAGCAGCAGAATTGCTGAGTCATTTGTTTAATTTTTTCGAGGAATGACAACAATGCACGAGGGTTCAAATTTCTCCATATCCTTGCCAACACATGTTATTTTCCATTAAAAAAACTATATCCACGCGTATGAAGTGTATGTATTTGATTCTAACTCTCCTATATCCTCGAGAATCCATCTCTTCTGAAACTCTGAAGATCTTTGGGGTCACTAATCTGGCATGAGGCTTACAATGACCTGCCTTCATTTTTTACCCAAGTGTCTGATTTCCTTAATAGATGTTCAGCAACTTTGGAACAAGGTGTGGGTGGGGGATCAATTTGAATCTCCAGTGTCTACTATCTGGTAGATGTTCAACAAATAAAATAATTGCGATAAAGGTCGCAGATCTTGTCTCTCTCACACTGTAGACACCCAGTGGAAGTTTCCAAAAGGCATCTGAGAGATTTTTGCTTAATTCAAATGAATTAATTTTCATGACTATGTGAGGCAGTTAGTTGTTGGTTACATTTAAACTGCTAATCTGATCCCTGCCACTCTGCTTGATGCCCGTCAGTTACTCTCCATTGCACTTAAGGTTGGGGCCCCTGTTCATTAACGTGGTCTGCAGTGCCCTGCCAGGTCTGACCTTGCCTCCCTCCAGGGCTTTCTCCCTTTTTCTTTAGGCTTGGGTTATTCCTTAGATACACAAGACTCATCTCTAGCACCAGCTGTTTTCTCTTTCACTCTTGCAAACAAGTTCCCCCTCACTTTTGCCTCCCTCACTCCCTTCCTTCCTTCCTCTCCCTCTCTTTATTCCTCTCTTTCTCTCTCTCTTTCTTTCCTTTTTTGAAACAGGGTGTTGTTCTGTCACTCAGGCAGGAGTGCAGTGGTCCGGTCATAGCTCACTGAAACCTCAAACTCCTGGGCTCAAGTGACCCTCCTGCTTCAGCCTCCCAAGTAGCTAGGACTATAGGTATGTGCCACCATGCTGGGCTAATTAAAAAAAATTTTTTTTTTGTAGAGATGGGGTCTTGCTACGTTCTCCAGGCTGGTCTTAAACTCCTGGGCTCAAGCGATCCTCCTGTCTCAACCTCCCAAAGTGCTGGGATTACAGGTATGAGCCACTGCACCCGGCCCTCTCACTTTTTCACCTGAGTCCTACTCACCCTTCAGATCTCAGCTGAGATGTCATTTCCTCAGGGAACTGTTTCCTGACCCTCACCCGATCCTAACTCTAAACTCCATTTTGTTCTCCCTCATAGCATCTTTTACTTTTCCTGCATAGCACTTATCAAAATTGTAGTAAAGCAACTTTTTGTTTATTTAGCGTTCATCTTCCAAGTAGTCAGCAGTCTCCATGAGGGCAGCAACTCATGTCTGTATCCGTCAGTGTTAGGCACATAGTAGGCACTCAATGCGTAGTTTTGAGGAGAGCTTCTACCAAGAAGCAGAAAAACTGATGAGTGGCTTGTGAATGCTGCTGATATTCTGGGTGACTCAGAGTTTCTGGGTATTCTGGGGAAAACAGTGTAGGTCAGATTGGATAGGACAGTCACATGAGTGCCTGGCAGGAAGTTGATGAGAGGCCATCCAAGGCCACAGTGGGGTGGCCTCTTTTGCCAAGCAGTGCCCAGGCTCTTCAGCTAATGTCAGGTTAGAGACCTCAAGCAAGCTCTTTATGGTTCCTCAGCCTCCCAGCCCTTTGTTAGAAGGTTGTTTCATGAGTTGGCATGGCTTTTCTTACCCTTGAAAGTCATGAGGCAAAATTGTTCTATCCTTTTGCATTTAAAAGAATTAATTTTTTGTTATAAAAGCAATACATGATTACACTTATCTTCCAAAACATTAAAAGGAAAGCCAATACTCCCTTTGAACATTCTCTCAATAAAATAATGGTCCTTTATCCCTAGCTTAGAGAGAACTTCTGATATATTTTGGGCATGTAGCTTTACAGACCTGTTTTAAAAATCTTTCATAAACCTAATGTATGATAATAGGGAATAATGGTATTATTTATGTGTGTTCTGTTTTAGCTTTTTATTTTGAAATAATTTTAGATTTACAGAGGAGTTGCAGAGCTAGTATAGAAAGTTTCAACATACACTTCACCCAGCTTCTCTTAATGTTAACAATTTATGTAACCCTGGTTCAAAACTAAGAAATTAACAGTAGCACAATACTAATAACAGAACTACAGACCTTATTCCAGTTCAGACCTTATTCCAGTTTCACCAGTTTTTTCACTAATGTCCTTTTTGTGTTCCAGGATACCACATTGCGTTTAGTTATCAGATCTCTTTAGTCTCCTATCTGTGAATACGACAATCTCTGACAGTTTCTCAGTCTTTCCTTGACTTTCACAACCTTGACAATTTTGAAGATTACACATCAAGTATTTTGTAGAATATTCCCTCAATGTGGGTTTATTTGATGTTTTTTCATGATTAACTGAAGTTTTGCATTGGGGGAATAATTTTTTAAATATTGATACTATCCATCTATCTATATATAATAGATAGATATAGATAAATAATTCTGCAACTTCCTATTTTCATTCAAAAATATGACTAAGATATATCCATGTTGATTCATGCAGATCAAAGTCACTTCTTTTATTTTTTATTATTATTATTTTTGGAGACAGGGTCTTTCTCTGTCACCCAGGCTTGAGTGCAGTGGCACGATCACAGCTTACTGCGGCCTTGACCTCCTGGGCTCAAGTGATCCTCCCACCTCAGCCTCCTGAGTAGCAGTTGCAACTACATGCTGGAGCCACCACGCCCGGCTGATTTTTAAAAACTGTTTGTAGAAATGAGGTCTCACTATGTTGCCCATGCTTCATTTAAATTCTCTATAGAATTTTATTATATAAATATTCTACATTTTAGTTAGCCACCCCCCATTGGTGGGCATTTAGCTGATTCTAAATTTTCTTTCTCTCTCTCTTTTTTTTTTTTTAAAGACAAAGTTTCACTCTGTCACCCAGGCTGGAATGCAGTGGTGCAATCTCGGCTCACTGCAACCTCTGCCTCCTGGGTTCAGGCGATTCTCCTGCCTCAGCCTCCTGAGTAGCTGAGATTACAGGTGTGCGCCACCACACCTGGCTAATTTTTGTATTTTTAGTAGAGACAAGGTTTCACCATATTGGTCAGACTGGTCTTGAACTCCTGACCTCATGATATGCCAGCCTTGGCCTCCCAAAGTGCTGAGATTACATATCAATTCTTTTTTTTTTTTTTTTTTTTTTTTTTTGAGACGGAGTCTCGCTCTGTCGCCCAGGCTGGAGTGCAGTGGCGGGATCTCGGCTCACTGCAAGCTCCGCCTCCCGGGTTCACGCCATTCTCCTGCCTCAGCCTCCTGAGTAGCTGGGACTATAGGCGCCTGCCACCACGTCCAGCTAATTTTTTGTGTTTTTAGTAGAGACAGGGTTTCACCACGTTAGCCAGGATGGTCTCAATCTCCTGACCTCGTGATCTGCCCGCCTCGGCCTCCCAAAGGGCTGGGATTACAGGCGTGAGCCACCGCGCCCGGCCTCATTCTTTTTATTATTGATTTGTTAAGAGTCCTTTATAGACAAATCCTTTGTCTTTTGTGTATTGCGAATAGTTTTCCCCTTATTCTGTTATCTTTTAACTTTGTTTTCAGTTTTTTTCAAGTTATTCCATCTCTCTGATTTTTTAAATTCTTTTTTCTGATTTATTTTTTAAAACAAAGTTCTTGATTATAAAAGTAATACAAACACCGTAAGAAATTAATACAAAAGTACAAAGAAGAAACCACCCCATCTTATCACTGAGAGAAAACAACATAATCAATTACATATTTCCCTGTAGTCTTTTGCGTGTGCAGTTTTTTTTCACAGTTGTGATCACATTCATTTGTGTGTGTCTCTATATTTGTTTTTCTCTCAGTACCATAGTGTTTAGACACAAACCCTGGCCTTTTTTCGTTTCTTCTTTTTTTTTTTTTTTGGAGATGGAGTCTCCCTCTGTCGCCCAGGCTGGAGTTCAGTGGCGTGATCTTGGCTCACTGCAACCTCCGCCTTCCGGGTTCAAGCGATTCTCCTGCCTCAGCCTCCCGAGTAGCTGGGACTACAGGTGCGTGCCACCATGCCCAGCTAATTTTTGTATTTTTAGTAGAGATGGGGTTTCGCCATGTTGGTCAGGCTGGTCTTGAACTCCTGACCTCAAATGATCCACCTGCCTTGGCTTCCCAAAGTGATGGGATTACAGGTGTGAGCTACCACGCCCCGCCACCCTGGCCTTTTTTCAAATGCACTTGGTTTAAAGATTGTGTTATGCCAGCTTCCAACCCCTATTCCTCTTTTCCATATATCCTGAGAAATTTAGAAGGTGAGGGGCCCAAGGTCTATCCTTAGCTGACCTGAAGCGAAGTTGGCTGAGAAGCACAAGAAGGGGTAGAAGTGCTCTGGCGGAGCACTTATTAAAAAGACGCGGAGGTTTTGGTTGACTGCAAGCCCAATATGAGTCAACAGTATGGGTGCCAAGAACTTTATCGCAGGAGTGCAAAGCGATAGGTCCCAAAAGGAGGAAGCTATAGTCCTGCTTTGCTCTGATGATACCACAAACATTTGGTTCAGTCTTGGGTGATGTATTCTAAAGAAATCACAGTCAAATCTACCATTTGCGTGAGAGGGATAAAGACCCTCAAAACCAGGGCAGAGGAGGAACAATGGAAGGAACGGGAGACACTGATGTGGAATGAGAAGACCTTGGGCAGAGGTGATAGAAGTAAAGTATCTGAAAAGTCAAAGGTCCAGGAGAGATTAGACGTTTGTTCTCTGTGGCTCCAAGGCATCGAATTTCGGCCCTGAGAGTGGAAGTTTAGACACATTTTCTCACTGGTGAGAGCTGCTCGGACCAAGGAATTCAGTCCTCTGGAAATAGCTAGCTGCTTTTGCGGAGTCTTCCTGCTGAGTTGCTGGTGGTGGGGTGAACATTTATTGAGTGCTTACTGTGTGCCAGGATCCTGCTGAGGGCCTCACCTATATTGTGTGATTTCATCCCGTCAACACCCTTTGATGTGGGGACTGTTGTTCCCTATCCTGGTGCTACAAATGTGGGCACCAGGTATAGGAGGTCAGGTACCTCGCCCGAGGTTACAGTTTGTAAGTGGTGGTACTGGGACTGGAACTCGTTCTGACAAACTTCAAAGCTGGTGTTTTTAGCCATCAAGGGGATTCGAGGGTGCCATGGGGGTGTGGACGCATGAGGGGCCTTGAGGTCCATTAGACCAAAACATTCTGTGACTGGGAAAAAGGATGCCCTCTCCTCCCAAGGAAAAGCTTCTTCTGAATGAGACACAGTGGAGAGGTTAGCCCAGGGCCAGGCTGAGGGGCGCAGGCAGAATGCCAAGGGATGGAGACCCTCAGAAGGGCAAAGCCGGTGTTCCATCGTTTGAAGATCTCCAGACCCGCGGGACAGACAGACGCAGCGCGGTCAGGGAGCGTCGGCTTCGCCGAACTCTGCGGCGGAGCTGGGGGACGGAACAGCGCGCCGGTCCCTGGCCGGGCGCGAGCAGAGGGGCGGCGCGGGGCGGTGCCGGGCGGCGGGGGCGGGGAGGGCGCGCGTTGAGGCGGCTGCGGCAGTTGCGCGCTGGGATTGTTGCGGTGCGCTGGAGCCGGTGAGTGCGGCGGGCCCCGTGGGCGGGCGGGGAAGGAGCGGGCGAACGGGGAGCTAGGTGGGGAGGTGCGCGGCCGAACACGCGACCCCAGGGTAGCGGCCGCCGCCTGCCCCCGCCCCCGGCCCCCAGGGACCATGGCCCCAAGGCCCCTCTCCTTAGGCCGAGTCCCCGCCAGCGCGCTCGCGGACGCCGCACGCCTCCCAACTCCCTCGGTGCGGCCCCCGCCCCACGGCAGCCCCTTCCTCCGCGCCGCCGCGACGCCTCCGGCCCACGTCACGCTCGCGCCATTGTTTCCCAGCCGCCGGCTCGCTGGGACCCCGCCTCAGCCTCCCAGCGCGGCCGTTCGCCGCGTTCCGCCCTCTTCCCCCCTTTCCTCACGCTGGTGGTAGCCCTTTCCTCAGTCCTGCTGACGTCCTCCAGCTGATTCCAGGCTGTTCCCGGCCACCCCTGAGGCCGTCTTTTCGCTTCTTGTAAAAGCCTCCCCGCCCCCAGAGCTCCTCGGTCGCCTCCCGAGAAGCCAAGGGGCCTCTGGTGGAGCGCCAGGTTGACAGCGTTTTAGCAGGACCGCGAGAAACGGCCAGCTCGTTTGCCACACGCCCGTGTGCAACACTTCCTGGAAAGGTCACAGCGAATTGCAAGCCGCCACAAAAAACATCCGGACAGCTCCTGGTCAGGGGGCTGAGCCGTTCAGTGGCGGCCTATTCTTCTCCTTTTTTCGGGGCTCCTGAAATCGGAGAGGGCGAGATGCCGATCTGAGGCCTGAACCCTTAGTTTAAGAAAAACGTTTTGGGGGTTTGACTCCGGCAGGCCACAGCTTCTAAAAGCAGCAGGTAGAGGCTGCTGTCCGAATCGACGTTTTCCTGGGCTTTCACCTTTAGGGCCTTGATGTTTGAGGGGGGTCGTGCTCTGAAGTACAGCGCCCCGAAATGACTAGTCACCATTACAGGGGGGTGTGTGCGCGCCCGTCCAGGGGCCGATGAGTTCTTCAGGATTGAGCTGTACTTGGTTCCCAGTGTCTGTAGACTATTCATTTCGCCTCTTCAAGCAACGAATGCAAACTACTGACCATAATGTGAAAGGGAGAATATTGAAACTGTGTCATTTACCATGAAAACTTAGTGTTATTGCGTAGAGAAGGCTTTAGGTTTCAAAAATATTTACCACATGGCTTTTCAACAACGGTTAGAATTTATCCAGATGAAGACATCCAGGCCTGAAAGGGTGAAGTTCGAAAAGAGAAAAAAAATAGGTGTGAGCTGAGAGTGGAAAAAAAAAAAAGAACAAAAAAGGTTAAGTTCAAGAAAACATAGCTGGTTAGTAATTAAAATAAAAACTCCACATGCAGGGTTGATACTAGCATACACAGACTTATTTCTGAAGTGCATTTCCATTGCAGTGTAAACCACTACATTTCAACAGTATAGGTAGCTGCATTACTCTCATTGACCCAGAATTAAGGTTTTAGGATTTAGTAACCAACAAATCTGTAAAATAAGGTGGAGGGGCGCGGGGTGGAGTGGGGGGGGTTCTGAAGGAGATGTTATGCAAGATTCCTTTCAGTTCAAAGGTTTGATGCCATTGTATGAAAATTTACCATCAGCTACAAGTTTTCAGAAGTTTGTAATTGTAAGAAGATTTATATAGATAGTATTCCCTTATAGTACCTGCCACCCTTAACCAGAAGACATCACATCTTCCTAAAGAAAGCCAGATTACAATAGAATGTTAGGCACAGAGGTGCTCATTAATCTTTCTCTAGGCTATTTCTCCTGTTTTATGGGGAAAGAGGAGTACATAAAACACAGGTTTTTTTTTTTAAGTATTTCCTCTCTCTCTCTTTTTTTTTTTTTTTTGAGACGGAGCTTTGCTCTTGTTGGCCAGGCTGGAGTGCAATGGCATGATCTTGGCTCATTGCAACCTCCACCTCCCGGGTTCAAGCAGTTCTCCTGCCTCGGCCTCCCGAGTAGCTGGGATTACAGGCATGCGCCACCACGCCTGGCTAATTTTGTAGAGACGGGGTTTCTCCAAGTTGGTCAGGCTGGTCTCGAACTCCTGACCTCAGGTGATCTGCCCGCCTCGGCCTCCCAAGTACTGGGATTACAGGCTTGAGCCACTGCGTCCGACCCTGTTGCTTAATTCTCTTACCAAAAGCTTAATTCAGTGAAATAGTAAATAACAACAAATCCCCAAAAACAAAAACCCACAACTTTGTCATGTTATGACTGTGCTCTTTTAAAGTACTTACATAGACTGGTTTTTATCTAGTACACTTGCTGTGTACATATTATTTGGGATTTTGCTCTTACCAATATTTCTGGGATGTCCATGTATTTAGAGAATTCATCTAATCTTCATTAGTAGATGCTCTCTAATGTGCCCCGGTAGTCAACAATGCCTGGCACACAGGCTCTTAGTAAATTTTTGTTGAATAAGTGTTGTAATGTTTTGAGGTTTTTAGACATTTAACACAAAATACTAACTATCACAAGGCATATGTTGAGTGACGTGAGCAGTAAAGGCAGTCATACTTTCAGCCAGGAGACATTGCATTTATTTAAGGGCCCGGATTTTGTAGTCTGGCTTGCTACTTAACATCATGCAACCTCGGGGAACTCAGTTAACCTTAGACAAGCTCACTCAGTTTCTCTCACCTTGAGAAGGGAAAAATAGAACAAATTTTACAGAGTTATGTGGATTAAATAGAATAATTCAGTTGAAGTGATACTGGCACACATTAAGTTCTCTATAAATGTTAGTTTTTTTTGCTCAGAGTGAAGGAATATTAATGTAGCTTGGTGGGATCAGGAAAAACAGTAACACTTCAGAGTAGGGAGAAGATGCTGAAGTGGATGTATTGAGGGTATGATTAATAGATTGTTCTCACTAAAAGGGTTTGGTAGAGCAGTAGTCTGAGATAAAACTGGAAAGAGAAATTCTGGTAAGCAGTTTACAAGTATGCTACATGGATTCTTTGCAATTAGAGCGGAGTGAATGACCACCTGAGGTCAGGAGTTTGAGACCAGCCTGGCCAACATGGTGAAACCCCATCTCTACTAAAAATACAAAAATTAATCAGGCGTGGTAGCGCATGCCTGTAATCCCAGCTACTTGGGAGGCTGAGGCAGGAGAATCGCTTGAACCCAGGAGGCGGAGGTTGCAGTGAGCTGAGATTGCGCCACGCACTCCAGCCTGGGTGACAAGAGTGAAACTCTGTCTCAAAAAAAAAAAAAAAAAAAAAGAAAGCCACAAAATTAATGCGGCAAACCGGCCAGGTGCGGTGGCTCACGCCTGTAATCCCAGCACTTTGGGAGGTCGAGGCAGGTGGATCACCTGAGGTCAGGAGTTCGAGACCAGCCTGGCCAACATGGTGAAACCCCGTCTCTACTAAAAATATAAAAAATTAGCTGGGCGTGATGGCGCCCACCTGTAGTCCCAGCTACTCAGGAGGCTGAGACACGAGAATCGCTTGAACCTGGGAGGCAGAGGTTGCAGTGAGCCTATATCGTGCCACTGCACTCCAGCTTGGGCGACAGAGCATCTCAAAAAAAAAAAATTCAGTAAACAGTAAAAGAAAAAAGTTAAAAAAATTATGACAGTCTTAATCTTTGTTTTTTTTTTCGTTTTTTTTTTTGAGATGGAGTCTCGCTCTGTCGCCAGGCTGTAGTGCAGTGGTGCGATCTCGGCTCACTGCAGCCTCCGCTTCCTGGGTTCAAGCGATTCTCCTGCCTCAGCCTACCGAGTAGCTAGGACTAAAGGCGTGTGCCACCACGCCCAGCTAATTTTTGTATTTTTAGTAGAGATGGGGTTTCACCATGTTGGCCAGGATGGTCTCAATCTCTTTACCTCATGATCCGTCCGCCTTGGCCTCCCAAAGTGCTGCGATTACAGGCGTGAGCTACCACGCCCGGCCCTTAATTTTAATTGTTAAAATTTGATAAAGAAGGTGGGTAGTAGACATATCAAATGATCATTATATTATTTTCTGTGTGTTTGAAATATTTCACAGTATTTTAAGATGAACCTAAAATAAAACATTAAAGAAACTCCATTAAACTAATGAGCCTATAAAAATATATATCCCACTGGGCATCTGTAATGAAAACATGCTAATACTCAGCAAGCTTACTGATTTTTTTTTTTAAGCCGTTAAATTTCAGGCATCAGATTTCAGTCTTCTCTTTCCAAGCACATAGTACAAGCAGGCTCTTTCATCCCACACTCTTTTTTTTTTTCCGAGACGGAGTCTCACTTTGTTGCCCAGGCTGGCTCGATCTCAGCTCACTGCAACCTCTACCTCCTGGGTTCAAGCAATTCTCCTGCCTCTGCCTCCCGAGTACTACAGGCATGCTGAGAATACAGGCATGTGACACTGTGCCCGGCTAATTTTTGTGTTTTCGGTAGAGATGGGGTTTCACCATGTTGGCCAGGCTGGTTTCAAACTCCTGACCTCAGGTGACCTGCCCACCTCAGCCTCCCGAAGTGCTGGGATTATAGGCATAAGCCACTGCGCCCAGCCCAAATTCGTATGTTATACAGAATTTTCTGATTTATAAATGTGGGCAACTGATCGTAAAAAATTGTAAAAAACACTGTGACCTCTACAGAATCTGGACCCATAAATCTGTTTCTACATCTGGAAGGGAACTTGAGAGTCTTCCACGTTCAATGCCTTCATTTGACAGATGGGGAAAGTGAATCCCAAAATGTTTTGCATTTTTTGTCTTTTATGCAAGAAAGTCTTCCCTACCTTTGATCCGTAAGGCTGTTCATCTCTATATTCTTCTGTAAATTGTATGGTTTTGCTTTTTCACATTTAGGTTTATTGACAGTGCGTATTTTTTTCTGCTTAGTTTATCTTTATTTTTTATTTATTTATTCATTTTTGATTTTTGCACTGTCGCCTGGGCTGGAGTGCAATGGCGTGATCTCTGCTTACTGCAACTTCCACCTCCTGGGTTCAAGTGATTCGTCTGGCTCAGCCTCCCGAGTAGCTGGGATTACAGGCGCCCGCCACCATGCCTGGCTAATTTTTTTGTATTTTTAGTGGAGATGGGGGTTTCGCTATGTTGGCCAGGCTGGTCTCGAACTCCTGACCTCGTGATCCACCTGCCTCGGCCTCCCAAAGCATTGGGATTACAGGCGTGAGCCACCGCGTCCGCCCTATTTTATCTTTAATATGATCAGCTAGTATTTGTGTTACATATTCTTTTTCTACCATTATGTTTGTCATAAAATTATGCTCTATAAATTCATAAGGACAGGACATGCTTTTGTTATGCTCTGATTTTGGGTCAGAATATTGTAGAAAATGAAATTTTTGAATTCATTTTAGTGTAAATATTTTACAGATTTCTGCTCTTCTACATTATTTTGTCTCATTTGCCTTTAAAGATGAGTAGTACATGTATTTGACTATCCTTGAAAAATATTTTGCACACTTTTTATAGCAGTCATATTAGAATCTAGTTAGGCATTTGTGTATCTCTATCTAGTTTGTTTGAGAGCTGCTAAGTAAACCAGCTAGAATAATAGTGTGTAGATTGAAATAGCTCAAACATTCTGTATCAAAATTATAAGAATTTTAAGTTATTTTAATAAGCATTTAACAGTATCATGCTGTGTAAATAAGACCAAGCTGTGGCTTGGAGAGTAAACATTAAAAGTTTTTTTTTTTTTTTTTTTTTAAGATGGATTCTCACTCTGCCCCCCAGGCTGAAGTGCATTGGTGCAGTCTCAGCTCACTGCAACCTCTGCCTCCCGGGTTCAAGCAATTCTCTGCCTTAATCTCCCGAGTAGCTGGGATTACAGGCGCCCACCACTACACCTGGCTAATTTTTTATTTTATTTTATTTTTAGTAGAGATGGAGTTTCTTCATTTTGGCCAAGCTGGTCTTGAACTCCTGACCTTGTAATCTACCCGCCTCAGCCTCCCAAAGTGCTGGGATTACAGATGTGAGCCACTGCAACTGGCCTTTTTTATTTTTTTAAGGTGGAGTCTCTCTGTGTTGCCCAAGCTGGAGTGTAGAGGTGCGCTCTCAGCGTACTGCAACTTCCGCCTGCTGGGTTTAAGCGATTCTCCTGCCTCAGCCTCCCTAGTAGCTGGGATTACAGGTATGCGCCACCATGCCTAGCTAATTTTTGTATTTTTAGTAGAGACAGGTTTTGCCCTGTTGGCCAGGCTGGTCTTGAACTCCTGACCTCAGGTGATCCGCCCACCTCAGCCTCCCAGAGTGCTGGGATTATAGGCGTGAACCACCGCCCCTGGCCTAACATTAGAATCTTTCACAAATCTGGTCAGTAAATGCCTTTTTTTTTTTTTTTTTGAGACGGAGTCTTGCTCTGTCACCCAGGCTGGAGTGCAGTGGCTCCATGTCAGCTCACTGCAGCCTCCATCTCCCGGGTTCAAGCTGTTCCTCTGCCTCAGCCTCCCTAGTGCTGGGATTACAGGCATGTGCCACCACGCCTGGCTATTTTTTTGTATTTTTAGTAGAGACGGGGTTTCACTGTGTTAGCCAGGATGGTCTCGATCTCTGTACCTTGTGATCCGCCCGCCTCGGCCTCCCAAAGTGCTGGGATTACAGGCATGAGCCACCGCACCCAGCCAGTAAATGCCATTTTTTTAAGCCTTGAATTACTCGTTTACTTTTGAAGTAGGTTTGGTGAAATAAATCTTGAATTAATTCTCTCTAGGTCTGAGAGCTTCCAGGAAGAAAGGAAACAAACCTATAGCTATAGTTGTCCTTATATTTAGGATACTTTAATTGACGTGATAAATGTGTGAAATTGTTACAGCCTCTGATACGTAATGGACGCTATGAGGTTTTGACTCCAAAAGTAGAAGCCTATTACTCATTCCTGCAAACATCAAGTACTGTATTGTGCTAAGGCTTCAAGTATTCAAACATCTTGCACTCAAGCATTATAAACAGTTTATATTGACCAATTTCCATGTCTCAGCCACTGTTCTTAGCACCTTACATCCTTGTTCCAACTCTACCTGTTTTGCAATGGAAGAAACTGTAGTGCTTATAATTTGCTTAGTCGTAGAGCTAGTTGGTGTTAGAGCCAGGTTTTGAACGCAGGCAGTGTGGCTCCAGAATCCGTACTCTTAACCACAGTATAATTCTGTGACTTCAAATTATCTAACTTCTCTTTCCTGTTTACTTCTTCGTAAAATGAGGATAATAGTACCTAACATATAGGGTTGTTCTGAAAAGTCAGTGAGTTAAAATATGTACTATGCTGCTTAGAATCATACATGAAAAATAGTAAGTACTCAATAAATGTCAGCTGTTATTATGTTAGCATTATTAAGGCATCGAACTCATGCATATCTCTGAATTTTAACCAAATAGGTGGACTAAACCTTAAGTATGAATTTATATATTAAAAGGTAGAAATACTGTGGTCTGTGGTTATTTATGCCTTTCCGATTTTATCTTTTTAAATTATTTTGTAACAGGAAAAATAAGAGCTAAACCAAAGTTGAATGGTGAGCAGGAGTTCATTGGTAAGAGAATGAGTTCTTTCCTGAAATAAAGCAGTTTTTTACCTGCTTTTTTTTTTTTTTCCTTTTTTTTTTTTTTGGAGACAGGGTCTTTGTCTGTTGTCCAGGCTGGAGTGTGCAGTGGTGCGATCTTGGCTCACGCAATCTCTGCCTTCCCGGCTCAAGCAATCTTCCTACCTCAGCCTCCCGAGTAGCTGGGTCTACAGGCACCCGTCACCATGCCTGTCTAATTTTTGCATGTTTTTATAGAGATGGGGGTTTTGCCATGTTGCTTAGGCTGGTCTCGAACTCCTAGGCTCAAGGGATCCGCCTGGCTTGGCCTCCCAGAGTGGTGGGATTATAGGTGTGAGCCACTGCACCTTGCCCTATGTATTTTTTTTTTTTAAAGGAGTATTCAGGAGTCATTACTAAAGGTGCAAAGTATTATATATCGTCTGAATGTAAAAATTGTACAGCTGGTTTATACCTTTATGCTTTTGAAGACCTCAGTTAATTATGGCAACGTTTTGAAGAAATAGCTCAGTCTTTTAAAATGTTTTCCTTACATGCTCTCTTGTTCCTTTGTGTCAATAACCATGTTATTGTTGAAGGTCCGGTATTATTCAAAACATTCAGTTAGAAGCAGCCTTAATGTGTTGATGTAGAACAAATATATAGCATTCTATGTGATATGGCAGGATAGTAGCAATAGAATGTTGATGAGAACATAGCAAAATTAGTCTTTTTTGTATATTTTCAAAAGTTTAGGAACAGATGAAATAAATTTGTAGTTTCTAGTTACAATTTCAGACTACAGATAGGAGCATGTAGCTGCTTGAAGAAGAAAAACAAATTGTCAAGGCAACAGGTACTGCATTTCTCACTCGACAAGTTCTCTCTTCTCAACTTTGTTATTTTTCCTTCGGAGAACAAGGAAGCTTTTGTTCCGAGGCCTGATGTTGAAATGTTAGCAAAATATTATGTTAATCAAGCCAAGAATCTTATGTATTTGTGAACCAAGAATAAGATTTCACAAAGATTCATTTAGAGTATTAAAAGGGACTTCTGCAGTTATTCTTGCATTTTCAGGCTTACACAAAAATAGGCTTCTGAAAAGCAAAGGGCTCCATGTGTAGACGTTTAATGGTTCATTTATTTCTGTCTGTTAAGTCTACTGTGCGAGATGCTGGGGATACAGCAGCAAATAAAACACTCCTCTCCCTTATGGAGCTTATATTTTGGAGAGATTGACAGAATGCAAACTGTCAAATGTAAGGGTTATGTGCAAAAAACAAGTAAAGCAGGGTAAGAGGACAGTGAGTGATGTGTGTGGGTAAGTGTGATGTTATTAGTTGGAGTTTGTTAACTGTTGGCATCACTTTGGTGTGTGAACTATTGAGTGTTGGCCTTTGACAGGAATGTGTAGTGCAGTTTGGGACAAGTGACATAAAGAACTCTGAATGAAAATAATGAAATGAAAAATAAACAAAAAAACTTGTTTATAGGCTGGGCACGGTGGCACATTCCTGTAATTCCAGCACTTTGGGAGGCAGGTGGATCACTTGAGGTCAGGAATTCGAGACCAGCCTAACCAACACGGTGAAACCCCGTCTGTACTAAAAATACAAAATTAGCCGGGCGTGGTGGCTCATGCCTGTAATCCCAGCTACTTGGGAGGCTGACGCAGGAGAATCGCTTGAATCTGGGAGGCGGAGGTTGCATTGAGCCGAGATCGCGTCATTGCACTCCAGCCTGGGCAACAAGAGTGAAACTCTGTCTCAAAAAAACTAAAAAAAAAAAAAACCAAAAACTTATCATGAACTATTTAAAAGATGAGAGGTAATGAAACATTTAAGATAATTTAAATGCAACAGTTTCAAGGAGCCTTCTGGAAAAATAGGCATTTCTTCATCTTAAACTATTTTATTTTTTAATTTTTATAGATTTAGGGGGTACAGTTTTGGATATATAGCATAGCAGTGGTCTGGCTTTTTAGTGTAACCATCACCTGAATAGTGTACATTGTACTCATCAGGTAATTTCTCATCCCTCACCCTCCTCCCACCCCCACTTAAAGTATATATATATGTGTGTGTGTATGTGTGTATGTATATGTATATATATATATATGGCGTGAACCCAGGAGGCAGAGCTTGCAGTGAGCTGAGATGGTGCCACTGTACTCCAGCCTGGAAGACAGAGCGAAAGAGACTTCGTCTTTAAAAAAAAAAAAAAAAAAAAGCATTTGTTTAATTATTTTTGCAGTAGAAGAAAAGAAAGGAAGAATGATGCAGAGGCAATATTGAGAGGGATTTGGGGCAGGAATTTTTCAAAATTCATTAGAGTTATTAAAGAACAGTTTAAAACTAGTAATTCCAAGAAGGAGGGATAGATTGTTAAAAAAAAAAAAAAAAAGCTAATAATTTCAGGAAAGAGGGGAGGGAAGGAGTGTGTGATATATATATATATATATATATATATATATATCACACACACAC
Organism: Homo sapiens; assembly: GCF_000001405.40. Taxonomy (NCBI): domain Eukaryota; kingdom Metazoa; phylum Chordata; class Mammalia; order Primates; family Hominidae; genus Homo; species Homo sapiens. The sequence goes on along the minus strand of NC_000010.11, from coordinate 103,183,251 downwards.
ATATATATATATCTCCTTTCATGTGTTTTGTGATGATAAGGAGTAAAGGTTACAAAATACTTAAAAAAGCTATAGCTTATTTCACAGTGCTATTCTTTGAGTTATAGGTGACACTGTTAACTACAAATATGAGGATTTAGTTTTTCAGCAGTACTGGTAGATGAATTAAAGTAAACTTGCATCTGACTTTCCATGTTTTTAAGGGGATGTATTTGTAAGTAAGTTGGTCTGTGGCTATGTTACAGAGAGGCCCTTAAGCACAATATAATGATAAAACCAAATGTCTAACTACTATAGGTTATTGATTTTACTTGCTTATCTGCCAAGGACTAGGGTTATCAAAGACTGAATAAAATGTGGCTATTTAGTACAATATGAGGCATACAAATGGAGGATATAGCTTTAACTTTTGTTTTTCCATAAACTAGTTTAACATGAGTAATATGCAGTGAAAGTTGTTGTATTTAGAGACCAAAATAAGTTTCAGGCTGGTGAGAAAATTTGAAGAAATTATTCAAAATTATCCTTTCCATGTAAGTTTTAGGGCAGTGTTCTTAGAATGAGAATGAATGGTTGATTATAAAACTTAAAAATGCCAAGTTTAGTTTTTTTTTTTTGAGATGGAGTCTTGCTCTGTCACCCAGGCTAGAGTACAGTGGCGGGATCTCGGCTCACTGCAAGCTCTGCCTCCTGGGTTCAAGTGATTCTCCTGCCTCACCCTCCCAAGTTGCTGGGATTATGGGTGCCTGCCACCACGCCTGGCTACTTTTTATATTTTTAGTAGACAGGGTTTCACCATGTTGGCCAGGCTGGTCTTGAACTCCTGACCTCAGATGATCCACCCGCCTCGGCTTCCCAAAGTGCTGGGATTACAGGTGTGAGCCACCCAGGTTTTGTATTTTAAATACAAAATTAAAATTTGAGTGAAGTAGAAACTACTGATTATTCATACTGCTATTATTACCCTATTATCTATGTTGACATACTTATTCCATTGAAAAATGAATATTTGATTCAAATTGCCATGTGTTAAACACTGCCTGATAGACCTGCTCTACATATTGTTAAAGTGCTCCTCACTTTATTCCAAATGAATTACTGACCTGACTTGAAACAGACATGTAAAATGACTTTTTAAAGAGCGTTTGCCAATGTATAACTCTAGCAGCGTGGCATTTTGTCTTAATGCAGAATTGTCATGAAAAGAAGTGCTGACTGCTATTTTTTCTTTTTTTTTTTTTTGAGATAGAGTCTCGCTCTGTTGCCCAGGCTGGAGTGCAGTGGCGCAGTCTCAGCTCACTTCAACCTCCGCCTCCCGGGTGGGAGAAGCAATTCTCCTGCCTCAGCTTCTCGAGTAGCTGGGACTACAGGGATACGCCACCACGCCTGGCTGATTTTTTTCCGTTTTTAGTAGAGACAGGGTTTCATCATGTTGGCCAGGCTGGTCTCGAACTCCTGACCTCAAATGATCCACCCACCTTGGCCTCCCAAAGTGCCAGGATTACAGGCGTGAGCCACCACGCCAGGCCTTTACTGCTATTTTTATACTTTTATCAGTTTGGGCGTGAAGAATATTACTGTACTACATCATAATTCTTGAACTTTTCTTAACATTATGTTAAGTAATGAGGTAATTATGGGAGGGACAAAATTTCCTTTCATTGTAGTTTAAAGATAGTGGTCTTACTATATGTGGCTATCAGCATTTTATTGGCACACCATTTTGAAGGAAAGAATATTCAGTGCAGATTGCTAACCAGGCTTACCCTACAGTTTCAGTTGCTCTTTGCTTCCTGTTTTCAGCAGTTGCCTAGAGCTGTTGGAGCAGCTGTTTTCCTTTCTTTGGGGGAGGGTGATGGTAGTGGTGAAGGGGACTGTGCATGTTTTGCCTGTGAATTATTATTTTTTTTTTTTTTGAGACAGAGTTTCGCTCTGCTGCCCAGGCTGGAGTACAGTGATGTGATCTCCTGACGTCAAGTGATCCATTCGCCTCGGCCTCCCAAAGTTCTGGGATTACAAGTGTGAGCCACTGCCACTGGCTGAAAAAGTCTTATTGTGGCATAATTGGTATACAATAAGTTGCACAGAGTATATAATAAATTTTAACATATATATATGTACCCATGAAACCATCACCATAATGAAGATATTGAACGTATCACCCCTTCTCCCCAAAAGTTTTCCTGGGCTCCTTTGTAATACCTCCTCCTCTCCGTACTTGACCTCCTTACCCCAGGGAACCACTGGTCTGTGTTCTGTCAGATTAGTGTGCATTTTCTAGGATTTTATATATACGGAATCATACACTATGTACTCTTTTTGTCTTCTTTCACTCAGTGTAGTTATTACGAATTTTTTAATGTTTTGCATGTAAATACTTTATTCCTTTATATTGCATAGTAGTATTACATTGTACAGATGTACCATAATTTTTTTTATCCATTTACTTGTGGATAACATTTGGGTTGTTTGTAGTTTCTGGCCATTACAAAGCTGCTAAGAACATTTGTGTATAAGTTTTTTTTTTTCTTTTGAGACAGGATCTCTGTCGCCCAGGCTGGAGTGCAGTGGCACGAGACAATCTTGGCTCACTGTAGCCTCAACCTCTTGGGCTCGTGTGATCCTCCCAAGTAGCTGGGACTACAGGCATGTGCTACCATGCCCAACTAATTTTTCAATTTTCGTAAAGACTGCATTTTGCCATGTTGCCCAGGCTGCTCTTGAACTCCTGGGTTCAAGCAATCCACCCATCTTGGCCTCCCAAAGTGTTGGGATTAGAGGTGTGAGCCACTGTGCCCAAGCCTGTGTTCAAGTCTTTATATGGATATGTGCTTTAATTTCTCTTGGACAATTACTTACAATTAGAAAGTCTGGGACATATGATAGATATATGTTTAAGTTTTAAAGAAATGGCAAACTTTTCCAGAGTGCTTGTGCCTTTTTTATTTTCTTTCCAGCAGTGTAGTAGAATTCAGGTTGCTCTACATTCTCAACAACATTTGATACTGTCTTTTTAATTTTAAATATTCAAATAGGCATATTTTGGTATCTTATTGTGTTTTTAATTTGTATTTCCCTAGTGACAAATGATGTTAAACATCACTTCATATGCTTATTTGCCATTTGTATATATTCTTTGATGAAATGTCTATGCATATGTTTTGCCTGTATTTTAATTGGATTATTTAGCTTATTATTGCATTTTGAGAGCTCTTCCTATATTCTGGATACAAGTCCTTTTGTCAGATGTGTGTTTGCAAATATTTTGTCCCAAACCATAGCTTGTCTTTTTCCTCTCAATACTCTAATGGAAGGATAATATATAAATGCAATTTTGTTTTAGTTTTTTAAGTCCTCTGTTAGCCATGAAGAGGGACTTAAATTAAGTATACAAACAAGGTTGCAGAGATAATCTAACCTTCTAAGAGAATAAAATATTCTAAATCTTTTGCATATGCATATAAACCATAATATGCAAAACAGATTAATATGATGTTATATGCCAACCCTGTAGTAGGTTGGTTTATTGTTTGTTTTATTTTTTTGTTTAGAGATTGGGTCTCACTCTGTCACCCAGGCTGAAGTGCAGTGGTGTGATTATAGCTCACTGCAGCCTCAAACTCCTGGGCTCAAAGCGATCCTCCTGTCTCAGCCTCCCAAGTAGCTGGGAGTATAGTTGCAAACCACTGTGTTACTAAATACAAAAAATTAGCCGGGCATGGTGGTGTGCACCTGTAATCCCAGCTACTTGGGTGCAGTTGTTGTTTGTGTATATGCAGTTGCTGTTTGTTTTATTTTGTATATCACTCCTTTACTTTACTCAGGTCTCTGAACAAATATTACCTCCTCAAAGAGGCCTTCCATGGTTTTCCTACCTACAGTATTGTTACTGGAAAGGGGTCCTGATCCAGACCCCAAGAGAGGGTTCTTGGATCTGATGTAATAAAGAATTTAGGGCGAGTCCATAAAGTAAAGTGAAAGCAAGTTTATTAAGGAAGTAGAGGAGGCTGGGCACAGTGGCTCACACCTGTAATCCCAGCACTTTGGAAGGCCAAGGTGGGCAGATCATGAGGTCAGGAGTTTGGCACCAGCCTGACCAACATGGTGAAACTCCGTCTGTACTAAAAATACAAAAATTAGCCGGGCAAGGTGGTGCGTGCCTGTAATCCCAGTTACTCAGGAGGCTGAGGCAGGAGAATCGCTTGAACCTGGGAGGTGGAGGTTGCAGTGAGCCAAGATCGCATCACTGCACTCCAGCCTGGGTGACAGAGCAAGACTCTATCTCAAAAAAAAAAAAGAAAAAAAGAAAAAAGAAAACGTAGAGGAATACAGAGAAAACGTAGAGGAAACAGAGGAATGACCACTCTGTTTACAGAGCAACCCCAAGGGTTGCTTGCTTGTCTTTTTTTTTTTTTTTTGAGACAGTCTTGATCTTGTTGCCCAGGCTGGAGTGTAGTGGTGTGATCTCGGCTCAGCTCATTGCAACCTCCACCTCCCAGGTGAAAGCGATTCTCCTGCGTCAGCCACCTGAGTAGCTGGGATTACAGATGCGTGCCACCATGCCCAGCTAATTTTTTGTATTTAGTAGAGACGGGGTTTCACCATGATGGCCAAGATGGTCTCCATCTCTTGACCTCGTGATCCACCCTCCTTAGCCTCCCAAAGTGCTGGGATTACAGGCATGAGCCACAGGTCTTCCTCTGTCACTGAGGCTGGAGCGCAGTGGCATAATCAGCTCACTGCAAGCTCTGCTTCAACCTCCGCCTCACTGCAACCTCTGCTGGGCTCAAGTGATACTCCTGCCTCAGCCTCCCAAGTAGCTGGGACTACAGATACGGACCACCATGCCCAACTAATTTTTGTATATTTTGTAGAGATGGGTTTTTGCCATGTTGCCCAGGCTTTCAAACTCTTGAGCTCAAGTGATCCACCCACTTTGGCCTCCCAAAGTGATGGGATTATAGGCATGAGCCACTGCGCCTGGTCTGTGTACAAGTTTTATAGTTTTAGATATTACGTTTAGGTCTATGATCCATCTTAAATTTTGTATATGATGAGACGTGTGGATTAAGTTCACTTTTCCACAAAAGGAGAGCCAGTTGCGCCTGCACAGTGGATTATTATTCAGTCATTAGAAAGAATGAAATGTGATATGTGATACTACATGGATGAGCTTTGAAAATACTATGCCAACTGAAAGAAGGCAGACACAAAAGGTCACATGTTGTATGATTCCATTTATATGAAATATCCAGGATAGTTAAATCCAGAGACAGAGTCCAGATTGGTTGTTGCCAGGGGCTGGGTAGAGGGCATAGTGGGAAGAAACTGCTTAATGGATGAGGGGTTTTACTTTAGAGTCATGGAAGTATTTTGACACTAAAAGGAGTTGGTGGTTGCACTAAATGCCACCAACTTGTTCACTTTAAAGTGGCCAATTTTATGTGAATTTCCCCTGAATAAATTATTTTTTTAAAAGCCACAGAGGTGATTTATATAAAAAAGACTTAGCCTGGACAACATAATGAGACCCTGTCTGTACACAAATTAAAAAAAATAATAATTAGCTGGGTTTTGTAGTGAGTACCTGTATTTCTAGCTGTTCTGGAGCCTGAGGTGGAAGGATCACTTGAGTCCAGGAGTTCAGGGTTACAGTGAGCTATGATCATGTCACTGCACTCCAGCCTGGGCAACAGTGAGACCCTGTCTCAGAAGAAGGGAGAGAGGAAGGGAGGTATATATTGACTTCATGTCATAAACGATGTTAGCATTTTCAAGATGGGAAATAACAGGCTACAGATGTTTTCACAAATAATGCTATTTTTATAAAATATTAATCTACTACTTAACTCTAAGAGGATATTTTTCATCCTTATTTGAAACTACTTACTGATGAAAACTTCAAAAACAGAAGTGAAACCTAAGAATAGCCTAATGTAAAAGTAGTTAAAAACACTTAAGCTGCCCACCTCATTTTAGATGCTTATCCTAATTAGATGGAATGTTTTAGTTTATTCCTTCTTTTTGTTCATAGTCTTTATTGCCAGCTGAAAATAAGTTATTACAGAAAAATGTAAAAGCATTAAATAACTAGAAATCAAATATTTATTGCTTGTATTTGTGCCACCATTGACTGAGCTTAGTATGTTATCAAAATGTATTTATTTATCTTTTAAAGGGATGACATTTTTTCCTTTTCAAATGTTACAGTAAAACCAGGTGGAAGAGAATGGTTTTAGCAGCTTAAAAAAAAAAAGTACAAATCTGAGGTTTGGCCATTAAAAGTTTTATAACAATGGGAGAAGAAAAGACAAGTTGTTTCACATTACAGACCTACCCCAACCCCAAAGCCTAATGCTTTCTTACCAAGTCAAAAAAAGAGACACATTTGATGTACAAGCTGGAGGTTTCCACATGAGTAAGATATTTATGAAAACCTAGATGGAGGCCGGCGGGTGGCTCCCAACTGTAATCCCAGCACTTTGGGAGATTGAGGTGAGCAGATTGCTTGAACCCAGGAGTTCGAGACCAGCCTGGCCAACACTTTTTGTAGAGACCCCCTCGCCCCGGTCTCTGCCTGTGGTCCCAGCTACTAGGGAAGCTGAGTTGGGAAGATGGCTTGAGCCTGGGATGCAGTGAGCAGAGATCACGCCACTGCGACCCTGTTTCAAAAACAAACCAAAAACCTAGATGAGGCAGTGGCCTTTTCAGCCCAAGTGCCAGCAGACACAGCACAAGAGACTAAAACTCAACGGCGGGAGGCTGGGTATGCAATGTTTGGGAGTATAAGCACCACACTTCTGGCTCAGGGATTTGGGGAGTAGGGTAAACAAAACCTACTTGGAAAAGAATCGAGGAAGAAAACCAACAGTTGCCTTCTGCAGGGGTGGGGACAGGGAGGGAGGTAGGGCCAAGGCGAGGAGCATTTTACATCAGTGACCTAACCTGGGGAGCTATCAGGGCCTATCTTCAGCTGGCCTTAAGAGGAAAACCAGATCGCTGATGGGAGAATCCACAGGAGGGAGAGGGGAAAAGGGAATGTGGCTGGCAGGAGGCAATAGCCCCTTCCTTTCTGGGCACAGGAAGGCAGTCAGGGCACCAGGTCCAGGCAATGACCTCACAAGGACAGCACGGTTTTTGCTGCCCCCACCTAGCTCCTCATTCTGCTCAGCACTGCCTGGTATAGGGCCACTCTCTGCCCCAAGGGAGTGGATGTCTCTGTAGCCTGGGGCTTCTTCTGAGGCAGCATTACCCTCTGCCCCCTTGGCTTGGGGCTCCTGGCTCTCAGGGGTAGCAGCAGCCTTCCTTTCCTGGGCAGTGCCCTTGTTGCTACAGGCACCTTGCTCCTGCATTTCCTCTGGCTGAGAGGCAGAAGAACTGCCCCCGTCCTCCTTCCAATTTTTGTGGAAGAGCAGCCTGCTGAATTTGAAAGACTTCTTGAGAGAGAACTTATTAGGGGAGACTGCCCCCTTGGCCTCAGCACCCTGGATAGGGGATGCTGGCTCAATGGCATCGCCAGTGGCCCCGGCTGCCTCATGTGTTCTGTTCACAGAGGCAACACTCCTTCACCCTTGGGAGATAAGTCTTCATTGCTTTTCACGTGGCCATCGTCTTGTCCGTTGGCCTTTGCAGGGGAAGCACCTGCCGCAACCTTGGTGGTCACGTCTTCCGAGGAGCCTTGGAGCTCTGGCTGCCTATGATGGGGGTCTGCTGGGGGGTAGCCAGTATCCAACCCAGACTCACACCTTGGGGTAGTACAGCGGGGTTGGCTGGGCAGGCAGAGGGGTGGGGCTGGCGTCTTACGGGAATGGGGAAACGAGCTGTACCCCCATTCCAACCCGCTAGCTGTGCCTGCTACTGTTCTACTCCACACCAGAATCTGTTGATTAGAATTTAAAATTTGCCTACTACACACATTTTAAAAACATACATCAACTTAAAATTATATATCTTCACAAACTGCTGTGCTGTGGTTTTAGTGCCTTTTCTAGAATCTAGGATTAGAGTAATTACTGGCAGCCATGCTTAATTATTTGGAAGTATATGTTATCTTTCCGGATTGAAATTACCATATGAAATTATTTTTCCAACTTTAGATTATTGAGAAGTGTCAGTATAATTTTCAGCATATTTACTGTATTCAGTGTGTTTTAATAGGTAATTATATTAGGCAGTTTGCAAGCTGGAGTTTTTCTGATTTTTAAAAAAATCAGATGTCAGTATACAGATGCCAATATTAAGTTACTAAATTAATGATTTTCTTTTCTAGAATACAAAATACAGTTAAAATAAAATGTCAACCTCCTGGAGTGATCGGTTACAGAATGCAGCAGATATGCCTGCTAACATGGATAAGCATGCCCTGAAAAAGTATCGTCGAGAAGCCTATCATCGGTAAGTATTTTGTCTATTTAATCCTCAAAACCCCTCTATGAAGTGGGACTTCATTTTACAGATGATGAAATTAATGTACAGAGAGGTTAAGTAAATAACCCAGATCGTATGTCTAGTACATGGTACAAATCTAGTTCTAAGTCGAGACTTTTAACTACTAGTACACCATACTGCTTTGTGTATCTACTAGTAAAAGTATTTAAGAGAAAAATGTCTTTGGTTGCTAGAAAATTGCACCTAAGTTAATAAAAATTTTTTTTTCTTTCTTTTTTTGAGGGAGTGCTGGATGGACAGAGTCTTGCTCTGTTGCCCAGGCTGGAGTACAATGGCGCAATCTTGGCTAACTGTAACCTTCACCTCCCAGGCTCAAGCAATTCTCTTGCCTCAGCCTCCTGAGTAGCTGAGACTACAGGTGTGGGCTACTGCACCCAGCTAGTTTTTGTTTTCTTTTTTGAGACAGAGTCTCACTCTGTTGCCTAGGCTGGAGTGCAGTGGTGCAGTCTCAGTTCACTGCAACCTCTGCCTTCTGGCTTCAAGCAATTCTCATGCCTCAACTTCCCCAGTAGCTGGGATTACAGGCATGGCCCCATGCCAAACTAATTTTTGTAGTTTTGGTAGAGACAGGGTTTTGCCATGTTGGCCAGGGTGATCTTGAACTCCTGGCCTCAAGTGATCTCCCCACCTCAGCCTCCCGAAGTGCTGGGATTATAGGCTTGAGCCACCACACCCTGCCAAGAATGAATTTTTTTTTTTTTTTTTTTTGAGACGGAGTCTGGCTCTGTCGCCTAGGCTGGAATGCAGTGGCATGATCTCAGCTCACTGCAACCTCCACCTCCTGGGTTCAAGCGGTTCTCCTGCCTCAGCCTCCCAAGTAGCTGGGATTACAGGCGTGCGTCACCACGGCTGGCTAATTTTTGTATTTTTAGTAGAGACAGGGTTTCACCGTGTTAGCCAGGCTGGTCTTGAACTCCTGACCTCAGGTGATCCACCTGCCTCGGCATCCTAGAGTGCTAGGATTACAGGCGTGAGCCACCGCACCCAGCCCAGGAATGAAATTCTTGTATTTTTTATTTATTTACTTATTTTTTTTTTTTTAGTAGTGACAGGGTTTCACCATCTTGGCCAGGCTGGTTTTGAACTCCAGACCTCGTGATCCACCTGCCTCGGCCTCCCAAAGTGCTGAGATTACAGGTGTGAGCCACTGCGCCCGGCCAAGAATGAAATTCTTTTTTTTTTTTTTTTTTTTGAGACGGCGTCTCGCTCCCTGGCCCAGGCTGGAGTGCAGTAGCACGATCTCACTGCAGGCTCCGTCTCCCGGGTCCACGCCATTCTCCTGCCTCAGCCTCCCAAGTAGCTGGGACTACAGGTGCCCGCCACCATGCCCAGCTAATTTTTTGTATTTTTGGTAGAGATGGGGTTTCACTGTGTTAGCCAGGATGGTCTTGATCTACTCTTCTTGTGATCCGCCCACCTCAGCCTCCCAAAGTGCTGGGATTACAGGCGTGAGCCACCGCGCCTGGCCAAGAATGAAATTATTAATTGATATTTACCACAAACTGACTGTAATTTTTAAACAGAATTTAAAAATTGTGTCTGCTGGCTACTGTGTGTTAGATTGAATGTGGGTAACTCTGGGTATTAGCAAAGTTTCCTTGTTTTGATTTTAGACTGTAATATTTTCTCGAAATCACTTTTTCTTTAAAAGTGTAGGCCAGGCATGGTGGCTCGCATCTGTAATCCCAGCACTTTGGTAGACCAAAGCAGGAGGATTGCTTGAACCCAGGAGTTTGAGAACAGCCTGGGCAATATGATGAGACCCCAACTCTACAGATTTTGTTTTGTTTTGTTTTGAGACAGAGTCTCGTTCTGTTGCCAAGGCTGAAGTCCAGTGGCTTGATCTCGGCTCACTGTAATCTCCACCTCCTGGGTTCAAGCAATTCTCCTGCCTCAGCTGTCTGAGTAGCTGAGTACAGGCGTGGGCCACTGCACCTGACTAATTTTTGTATTTTTTTGTTTTTGTTTTTGAGACAGAGTTCATTCTGTCGCCCAGGCTGGAATGCAGTGATGCGATCTCAGCTCACTGCAACCTCTGCCTCCTGGGTTCAAGCAATTCTCATGCCTCAGCCTCTCTGGTAGCTGGGATTACAGGTGTGGCCACCATGCCCAGCTAATTTTTGTAATTTTAGTAGAGATGGAGTTTCGCCATGTTGGCCAGGCTGGTCTTGAACTCCTGGCCTCAAGTGATCCACCCGCCTCAGCCTCCCAAACTGCTGGGATTGCAGGTATGAACCACCGTGAGTGGTCCCCAAATATTTTTAAATAAAATTTTTTTCCTGTAATCCTAGCACTTTGGGAGGCCGAGGCGGGTGGATCACAAGGTCAGGAGATCGAGACCTTCCTGGCTAACACAGTGAAACCTCGTCTCTACTAAAAATACAAAAATTAGCCGGGTGTGGTGGCAGGTGCCTGTAGTCCCAGCTACTCGGGAGGCTGAGGCAGGAGAATGGTGTGAACCTAGGAGGCGGAGCTTGCAGTGAGCTGCGATCACACCACTGCACACTCCAGCCTGGGTGACAGAGCGAGACTCCGTCTCAAAAAAAAAAAAAAAAATTTAAAGTTAAAATTGTATTTAAATTTTTGTTTTTTATTTTTTGAGACAGAGTCTTTGCTCTTGTCTCTCAGTACAGTGGCGCGGTCTCAGCTCACTGCAACCTCTGCCTCCCAGGTTCAAGCGATTCTCCTGCCTCACCGTCCCGAGTAGCTGGGATTACAGGCACACACCACCACACCTGGCTAATTTTTTAATTTTTAGTAGAGACAGGGTTTCACCGTGTTTGCCAGGCTGGTCACAAACTCCTGATATCAGGTGATCTACTTGCCTTGGCCTCCCATAGTGCTGGGATTACAGACGTGAGCCACTGCTCCCGGCCTTAACCTGTATTTTAAAAAAAAATTTATTTTATTAGAGACGGGGTCTTGCTGTGTTGCTCAGGTTGGTCTCAAATGCCTGGGCTCAAGCATTCCTCCAGCCTTGGTCTCCCAAAGTGCTGGGATTACAGGCATGAGCCACTGAGCCCGGCCTAAATTGTATTTTCTTTTTACTTAACTCTTTTTATAGATTCAATTAAATGTTTGCTTCTACCTAAATCTTAAGTAGTTAGGGTCCTTGGGAGTAGATAATGTATTTAGTAATTATTTATTTTTAAGAAGAAATTAGAAATCTACACCTAAAGTGAATTTCTGGGGTAGAAAAATCTGGGCCCTACTAGAACCATCTTTGCCTCCCACACCAGGAAAGCCGGCAGTAAGTACAGGTGCTGGTATATTGGCAGTGCTAAAAAGTTGCATGGGAACTACAGGAAGTCTAAAATGACTCTTAATCACTTAGCTGTTTCTGGGCTACAGGAAAAAGGAAATGAATATTACTTTGAAATCTTACTGGAAAAGTGGCTAAACTGGTTTATGTAGGTAAGTTTTTGTAAGCAGACAAAAAATTTCTAAGTGCAGTCTTCTCTGTATAGGAAAGCTAAGTCAGAATTAGGTAATATTTTGTTGTTTCAATAGATACTAATATTTTGAAAAATATAGTTACTTGTTATTGAGTATATCAGAAGTTAATTATTATATCAATAGTTGGTTTTTTAAGTAGGCTGGTGATATTTGCCTCATGGTAGGTCACTGTGGCATTTCTGGGTGTTAGGATGCTGTTACTCCTTAAACCCTGAAAAAGTGAAAACATTAAAGATTCCTGTCAAATGGGTACTAACGATTCTCTTCTGTGTGTGAGATATGTTGCTAGGTATGGCGTGTTAAAGTATAAAACAGAACATTTATGTGTGTCTATGTAATAAAACATAACATTTGGAAAAGATTATGTTATATGGAGTTCTATACTTTTTCTTCAATTATTTGCTTGGTCTTTACACTATAAAGTATTAATTAACATTAGGGTGTAACATTTTTAGCAGTGGAAATGAGGACTGGTAAACATTATTTAATAAACATCCTAATTATATTTAATATATATCATAGGCTGGGCATGGTGGTTCACGCCTGTAGTCCACACACTTTGGGAGGCCGAGCCAGGCGGAGTCCTTGAGCTCAGGAGTTTGAGACCAGCCTGGGCAAGATGGCGAAACCCTGTCTCTACAAAAAAAAAACATAAAAATTAGCCAGGTGTGGTGGCTTACGCCTGTGGACTCAGCTACCTGGGAGGCTGAGGTGGGAGGATCACCTGCGTCTGAGAGGTGGACGCTGTAGTGAGCTGAGATCATGCCACCAGCCTGGGTGACAGAATGAGAGCATGTCTCAAAAAAAAAAAAAAAAAAAAAGTGTGCATGTGTGTGTGCTTGTGTGTGTGTATCATAGCCTGAATGAGTATACTCCTAACTCATTTGGAATGGTATTTCCTGGAATATTTTAGATGGATTCTGTACCCTACGTTCTTTCATATAGTAAGGTGTATGTACTGGAAACAATAGAAAAAACATTTTCAAAGGCTTGATGTTTTAGATCATTGAAAAAAATTTTTTATCTATGTTATTTAAAGAGGCAGGGTCTCATTCTGTTGCCTAGGCTGCAGTGCAGTAGTGTGATCATAGTTCACGGTAACCTCAAACTTCTGGGCTTAAGCAATCCACCTGCCACAGCCTCCCCAGTAGCTAGGACTACAGGTGTGTACCACAGTGCTCAGTAATTTTTATTATTTTTTTAAATTAATTAATTTTTTTTGAGACAGAGTCTCGCTCTGTAGCCCAGGTTGGGGTGCAGTGGCATGATCTTGGCTCACTGCAACCTCTGCCTCCTGGGTCTGGTTCAAGCAACTCTCCTGCTTCAGCCTCTGGAGTAGCTGTGATTATAGGCATGCGCCACCATGCCCAAGTAATTTTTGTATTTTTAGAGACTGGGTTTCACCATGTTGGCCAGGCTGGTCTTGAACTCCTGACCTTGTGATCCGCCTGCCTCAGCCTCCCAAAGTTCTGGGATTACAGGCGTGAGCCACCATGCCTAGCCATGCTTGGTAATTTAAAAAATTTTTTTCTAGAGATGTGGTCTCACTATGTTGTCCAAGCTGGTTTTGATCTTCTGGCTGCAAGCAGTCCTCCTGCCTCGGCCTCCAAAAGTGCTGGAATTACAGATGTGAGCCATCACTCCCAGCCTGAAAAAAAAATTAAATGTAGAAAATTTGGGTTCTTGGTATCTTGCAAGAATTTGCTTTAAAATTATTATAATTTTTTTTGAGACAGGGTCTTGCTCTGTCACCCAGGCTAGAGTGCAGTGGCTTGATCATGGCTCACTATAGCCTTAACTTCCTGGGGTCAAGTGATTCTCCTGTCTCAGCCTCCTGAATAGCTGGGACTACAGGCGTGTACCACTACACCTGTCTAATCTTTGTATTGTTTTTGTAGAGACAAAGTCTTGCTGTGTTACCCAGGTTGATCTTGAACTCTTGTTCTCAAGTGATCCTCCTGCCTTGTCCTTCCAAAGTGCTGGGATTACAAGTGTGAGCCACCATGCCCCGTGTTTAAAATAAAGTATATGTGTGCTTTTAGAACAATAAAAACATTATATATATATGTGTGTGTGTATATGTATATGTCTTTTTAAACATTGACAAAAATTGTATGTATTTATGGTGTACAAGTTGATATGGAATGGCTAAATCAAGCCAATTAACATGCATAACCTCTTACATTTATCATTTTTTTTTGTGATGAGAACATTTAAAATCTAATCCCTTTGCAATTTTGAGGTATACAGTAGATTATTATCTGTACTCATCATGATGTAGTCATCAGACTTGTATCTCCTAACAGTATTTGCTTTTGTTAATTAAAAATTTTAAATAGAAACCATTTAGAAGAAATTTATTTTAGTTTTCTAGTTAAGTCAATTTGTAGAATATTCTGTTTCCAGGTCTTTTCATTAAAGACATTTATTTGGATTGGTAATTTATCATTGGTTAAGTTAGGCTATGCTGATCATTATCACAAAGTATACATCGTATGTGATGCTTTACAATTTCCCTTTAGAAGAAGCTAAATATTCTTAGTTAAGTAAATAAATATCTAACTTCCAGCTTTTTTCTTGCTTAATATCAGTTTTCTGAATTTCAATATAGAGATGCCAGTCATATGTCATTATTAAGAAACTAGCCTTTAAAATGTATGACTGTTGCTCCTTCTTCATTTCCTTATGGTTGTTTAGTTTTCTGGGCTGAGGATAAGTCATCAGGCCAAACCTTTCAGTGGAATGTGTTTTGCTATATGGTTAGAAGACAAGCTGAGCTGCTCAGATGTCATAGTGACCTGAAAGAGGCAGCTTCAAAAATTACCTCTTAAATAGTTTTTGTTTAATACTAGAATCTTTTAGTGATCACTATAGATCAGAATTTGTATTTACCAATCCAAGAATGGAACAATTAGGTTTTTCATCTGCTCTCTACATTGACTGTGCCCAGGATACCGAAGTCAGGTATTTAGTTTTTACGTTTGTAAAGCTCTGATGCTTCCAGTAGAACAGAATTTCTGTAGGACAATGAATTGGCTTTTTCTTTGTGAACACAGCTTATTAATTTAGCAGTGGTTTTATCATATTGAACTGAAATGTGGCACGTTATTAGGCTTGTGAATTTTTTGTTAACCAGTCTTTTGCCTTATTTTAGAAAATATTGCAGTGATTTTTCTCTTTAAAATTCTTTAAAGACTTTTGTATATTTATCTTAAATTATATATCTGAAGTTTTTTTTTTTTTAGTTGCAGTTTAGGCTTCCAGAGCCATATCAGTCTTTATATAAATCTGTTGAATAATCGTTTCTTCTAAAATCAAAGTAAATTTCTTGTACATGTTTAAGGAGTGAAAAGGAATTTGTGTATATGTAATTTTGCTAGTACTTATGGCTTCGATCTAGAAATGTTTATGATGGACCAGGCACGGTGGCTTATGCCTGTGATCCTAGCACTTTGGGAGACCCAGGCGGGTGGATGGCTCATTGAGCACAGGAGTTCAAGACCAGCCTGGGCAACATGGCAAACCCCGTCTTTACCAAAAATACAAAAATTAGCTGGGCATGGTGGTGTGCACCTGTAGTCCTGGTTACTCAGGAGTCTAAGGCGGGAGGATTGCTTGTGCCTGGGAGGTCAAGGCTGCAGTGAGCCATGATTGCGCCACTGCACTTCAGCCTAGGTGACAGAGTGAGACTGTGTCTCAAAAACAAAAACAAAAAAAGGGGAAATCTTTATTTTTTTTTTTAAACCTCATACTAAAAACAGGTATCAGGTTATATGTAGATAGAGACTGCCAGGTTGATCAATTTTAATTTCTCTTTTAATCACTTATGGATATCATATGAATGTCATTCAGCTTTTTAATTTTGTCATTAATCAAGCTGAGTAGTAAACTGTCATTTTAGTATTGGTTCAAATATTCAGTGGATAATTGTTAAAATTTCAGTAGCCACTTTGTAAATTGAAAATCATGCGGAAAATATAGGTCCTCTGGAATGCTGAAGAGCCATGTTTCTTAAATAGTATACATATGGGACTGGGCATGGTGGCTCATGTTTGTAATCCCAGCACTTTGGGAGGCCGAGGTGGGTGGCTCGCCTGAGGTCAGGAGTTTGAGACTAGCCTGGCCAACATGGTGAAACCCCATCTCTACTTAAAGAATACAAAAATTAGCCAGGTGTGGTGGCGGGTGCCTGTAATCCCAGCTACTCGGGAGGCTGAGGCAGGAGAATCGCTTGAATACAGGAGGCAGAGGATGCAGTGAGCTGAGATTTTACCACTGCACTCCAGCCTGGGTGACAGAGCGAGACTGTCTCAAGAAAAAAAAAAAAGAAAAATAATATATATATGGGATATATCTTGTCGGAATAAGAAGAGTAAGGTAGAACATCAAAACTGTGGCTGGGTGTGGTGGCTTACACCTATAATACTAGCACTTTGAGAGACCGAGATGGGAAGATGGCTTGAGGCCAGGAATTTGAGACCAGCCTGGGGAACATAATGATACCCTGTCTCTACAAAAAGTAAAAAGATTAGCTGAGTATGGTGCTGTGCACCTGTCGTCCTAGCTACTGGGGAGGCTGGGGCAGGAAGATCACTTGAACTTGGGAGTTTGAGGTTGCAATGAGTTTTGATTGCGCCATTGCACTCCAGCCTGGTGACACAGGAAAACCCTGTCTCTAGAAAAAAGAAAGAAAGAAAGAAAAAAATTCAAAACTCTGTTTTTTGTTTGTTTGTTTGTTTTTTATCATTCTAATGCTTTTATTCATGTTTCATCTTCCTAAGGAATGACAGGTAAGAATTTAGGGACTGGTAAGAAATTTTTCAGCTTATTATTTTCCTCCCAAAATTCTGTGTATGGAATTCTATTCAGCAGTAAAAAGTGAACTGTTGATACGTGCAACAGCTTTGATATATCTCAAGAGAATTATGCTGAGTTAGTAAAGCCAATCTGAAAAGGTTACACTCTGTATGGTTCCATTTCTGTAACATTCTTGAAATTACAAAATTATTGAGATTGATAAATTAATGGTTGCTAGGGGTAGAGATTGGGGTGGGTGGAGGGAGATGGTGGGTGTACCTGTAAAAGGGTAGCACAAGGAATACCTTATGAGGAAACTCTTGTGTCTAACTCTAGTGGTAAATATATTAATCTACACATACACAGAGTGCATGTAAAACTGATGAAGTCTGAATAAAGTTGTGAATTGTGTCAATGTCAATTTCTTTGTTGTGATATTTTTCTATATGGCACAAGATTTCCCCATTGGGGGACACTGTGTGAAGGGTTCATGAAATCTCTGTATCATTTCTTACTCAACTGCGTGTGAATCTACAATTACTCCAAATTAAAAAGTTTAACTTAAAAAATTCTCTTGGGTAAGCCAGGCACGGTGGCTCACGCCTGTAATCCCAGCACTTTGGGAGGCCAAGCCAGGCGGATCACCTGAGGTTGGGAGTTCGAGACTAGCCTGACTAACATGGAGAAACCCTGTTTCTGCTAAAAATACAAATTAGCCAGGCGTGGTGGTACATGCCTGTAATCCCAGCTACTGGGGAGGCTGAGGCAGGAGAATCGCTTGAACCTGGGAGGCGGAGGTTACAGTGAGCCTAGATTGTACCATTGCACTACAGCCTGGGCAATAAGAGTGAAACTCTGTCTCAAAAAAAAAAAAATTCTCTTGGGAGGCTGAGGTGGGGACATCACTTGAGTCTAAGAGTTTGAGATTCTGGCAACAGAGTAAGACCCTGTTTCTAGAAAAAAAAAAAAAAAAAAAGCCACAGGTGGTAGTGCACGCCTGTAATCCCAGACACTAGGGAGGCTGAGGCAGGAGGATTTCTGTTTTTCTTTTTTTTTTGAGATGGAGTTTTGCTCTTGTTGCCCCAGCTGGAGTGCAATGGCGTGATGTTGGCTCACTGCAACCTCTGCCTCCTGGGTTCAAGCGATTCTCCTGCCTCAGCTTCCCGAGTAGCTGGGATTACAGGGATGTGCCAGCACGCCAGGCTAATTTTGTATTTTTAGTAGAAATGGAGTTTCACCATGTTGGTCAGTCTGGCCTTGAACTCCTGACCTCAGGTGATCCACCCGCCTTGGCCTCCCAAAATGCTGGGATTACAGGCGTGAGCCATTGCGCCTGGCTGAGGCAGGTGGATTTCTTGAGCCCAGGAGTTTGAGGTTACAGTGAGCTGTGATCATGCTATCATACTCTAGCTTGGAAAACAGAGCGAGACCCTGTCTCTTAAGAAACAAAAACAAAATAAAAATTTTCACAGTGACACCTTTTCTTACGTCACATGAATTCCTTATCTGTTCTAGATACAAGATGCTCTTAAAAATGTGCAGTGATACCACTATGGAGTACAGATTCTCTAAATGTTACTGTTCAAAAGAATGTATTGAATCCTAAAGCACTCTCTCTTTACTACCATTCCCTCTATACTTCTTCCAAAAACAACATATCTAACAGTAAAATTAAGAAGAAAAGTGGTATTGGTGGCATGGAAGAGAAAGAATAAAAGCAGATCTGAGATTTATTGAAATAGTATAAGAAGAAACTTATGTTGAGGAAGTATCATTTATATTTACATTTAGATGGTGTATTTCACCTTAAAGGGTATGGCTTCTGTATTAATTGTAATGTCTGAGAGAGAGATTTATTCATGTTTTTGTATCAGTAATTTGTTCTTTTTAATTACTGTGTGTCATTCCATTGTATCAATATACCACAATTTATTTCATCATTTATTTTCTGTTGGTGGACATTTAGGTTTTTTTAATACTAAAAACATTGTTTTTGGCCGGGCGCGGTGGTGCATGCCTGTAATCCCAGCCCTTTGGGAGGCTGAAGCAGGTGGATCACAAGGTCAAGAGATCGAGACCATCCTGGCCAACATGGTGAAACCCTGTCTCTACTAAATATACAAAAATTAGCTGGGCGTGGTGGCGCATGCCTGTAATCCCAGCTACTCAGGAGGCTGAGGCAGGAGAATCACTTGAACCCAGGAGGCAGAAGTTGCAGTGAGCCAAGATTGAGCCAGTGCACTCCAGCCTGGCGACAGAGTGAGACTCCGTCTCAAAATAAGAAAAAAAAAAGCATTGTTTTTCAGAGACACGATTTCACTGTTGCCCAGGATGGAGTGCAGTGGCGCAATCATAGCTCACTGCAGCCTTGACCTCCTCCTGGGCTCTAGTGATCCTCCCAACTCAGCCTTCCAAGCAGCTAGAAATACAGGAGCACACCACCACACCTAGCTATTTTTTTATTTTTTATTTTTCGTAGAGATAGGGTCTCACTTTGATGTCCAGGCTGGTCTCAAACCCCGGGCTTCAAACAGTTCTCCTGCCTTGGACTCCCAAAATACTGGGATTTTAGGCGTGAGTCACCATGCCTGGCTGCCTCCCAGGTTCAAGCGATTCTTGTGCCTCAGGCTCCTGAGTAGCTGGGATTACAGGTGTGTGCCACCAGGTTTTTTTTTTTTTGTTTTTTTTTTGTATTTTTAGTAGAGACGGTTTCACTATGTTGGCCAGGCTGGTCTTGAACTCCTGACCTCAAGTGATTCACCTGCCTCAGCCTCCCAAAGTGCTGGGATTACAGGTGTGAGCCACCATGCCTGGCCCACATTTGAGTTTTTTTTTTTTTTAAGTTTTTAGTTATTGCATATAAAGCTGTTATAGACTGAAAAAAATTCGATAAAGGACTTATATCTGGAGTATATAAAGAACTTTTAAAATTTAACAATATGAAAATAACCAAATTATGAAATGGTTAAAAGACTGAACATCACTAAGAAGATATATACAGATGACATAAAAACACATATTTAACTTCTTTACCCATTAGGAAGATAAAAATTAAAGCAACTGTATATATGCCTGTTACAATAGCTAAAATAAAAAATATTGACAATATCAAGTGTTGCCAAGGATGTGGAGCCACTGGAACTTCTCATACATTGCTCGTGAACAGAGAGGGTGCAGCTCCTCTGGAAAAACAGTTTGGCAGTTTCTTATCAAGTTAGAGACCTTAACATTAATGACCCAGAAATCCCACTCCTAGATATTTACCCTAGAGAAATGAAAACTTAGGTTCACACAATGGATAATGTTTATAGTATCTCTGTTTATAATTGCTCAAAACTGAAGGCAGCCCAAATGTTCTTCAGCAGGTACATACATAAACAGTATGTGGTATATTTATAGAATAGATTATAACTCAGGTAAAATAATGAACTAGTGATACATAGAGCAACTGATCACTCTCAAAGGCATAATGCTGAGTCAAATAAGACAGTCTTAAATGACATCTGGCATGATTTTATTTATATGATAGTCTCAAAGACAAAACTGTAGTGATGGGGAGAACACATTAGTGGGTTCTAAGAGTTAGTAGAGAAGGAAAGTGTGACTACAGAAGGATAGTAGGGGAGAGTTTTTTGGGGTGATGGAACTTTTAAATTTCAGATTGTAACTATTATGTGAGTTAGGATTCATAGAAATGTATACATAAACAGTGTATTTTAAATAAACTATTACTGTATTTTAGTAATAATAAAATAATAGTAATTTTTAGTTGAAAAAAATAAGAATAATGCTGTTATAAATGTTCTTGAACAAATCTTTTTGTGGATATATACATTCAATTCTATTGGTTTCTACCCAGGAATGGAATTGCTGGGCCATAGGTTAAGCATACGTTTAGTTTTTGTAGATACCGCAAAATAGTTTTCCCTAGCAGTTTATAGTTCCACTTACAATGTATGAGAGCAGTATCACCAACACTTTAATATTAATCTTTTGAATTGTGTGTTTAATTTAAAAGTTATTCTAGTGTATACATAGTGGCATCTCCTTTTGGTTTTAAGTTGTATTTTTCTGATGAATAAATAGGTTGAACACCTTCATATTGTAAGTAGCCATTTGCAGAAGATCCTCTTCTGTGACTTGCCTTTTCAAGTTGTTTGCCAATTGTGTTGTCTTTTTTTTCCATATTGATTTATGGAAGGTGTGTGTGTGTATTCTCTTAAAAAATAGCAGCTTCAGTGGGGCGTGGTGGCTCATGCCTATAATCCTAGGACTTTGGGAGGCCGAGGTGGGTGGATCATGAGGTCAAGAGATCGAGACCATCCTGGCCAACATGGTGAAACCCCGTCTCTACTAAAAATACAAAAATTTGCTGGGCGTGGTGGTGCGTGCCTGTAGTCCCAGCTACTTGGGAGGCTGAGGCAGGAGAGTCACTTGAACCCATGAGGCGGAGGTTGCAGTGAGCCAAGATTGCACCACTGCACTCCAGCCTGGCAACAGAGCGAGAATGTCTCAAAAAACAAACAAACAATTGAATTATAATTTACATAATATAAAATAGAAGTATATTATTCAGTGGCTTTTAGTATATTTACAAAGTGGTACAACCATTTTTCATTATCCCAAAAGAAACCTCATACTCATTAGTAGTCCACTCCACGTTTCCCTCTCTCTCCAGCCCGTGTCAGCCACTAATTTACTTTCTGTCTCTATGGAATTGCCTATTCTGGATATTTCATATAAATGAACTTATACAGTTTATGGCCTTCTGTGTCTGACTTCTTTCACTTAGCATAGTATTTTCTTTTTTCATTATTTTTTTTTTAAGAGTTGGAGTCTTACTCTGTCATCCAGGCTGGAGTACAGTGGCGCAGTCATAGCTCACAGAAGCCTCACACTCATGGGCTCAAATGATACTCCTGCCTCAGTTTCCTGAGTAGCTGGGACTGTAGCACTACAGGCACAAGCCACTGTGCCCTGCATCACTTAGCATAGTGTTTTCAAGGTTCATCTGTATTGTAGCCTATCTCAGTACTTCATTATTTTTTATTGCCAAATAATATTCTATTGGTCAGGCACAGTGGCTGATGCCTGTAATCCCAGCACTTCCTGGTAGGTGAGACGGGCAAATTGCATCATAATACCAGGAGTTTGAGACTAGCCTGGGCAACATAGCAAAACCCCATCTCTACAGAAAATACATAAATTAGCCAGGCATGGTGGTGCATGCCTGTAGTCCCAGCTATTCAAGAGGCTGAGGTGGGAGGATCACTTGAGCCTGGGAAGTCAAAGTGGCAGTGAGCTATGATTGTGCCAGTGCACTCCAGCCTGGATGACAGAGGGAGACCTTGTCTAAAGAAAAAAAATATATTGTATGGATATACCATATTTTGTTTTTCCATTCATCTGTTGCTTAACATTTGGGTTGCTTCCACTTTGCCAAACCATTTTCCAGTGCAGATGCATCATTTTACATTCCCTCTAGCAGTGTATGAATGTTCCAGTTTCTCCAAATCCTCATCACACTTACTGCCTTTTTTTTGAGATGGAGTCTTGCTGTCGCCAGGCTGGAGTGCAGTGTGGCACGATCTCAGGTCACTGCAACCTCTGCCTCCCGGGTTCAAGTGATTCTCCTGCCTCAGCCTTCCAAGTAGCTGGGACTACAGGCATGCACCACGCACAGCTAATTTTTGTATTTTTAGTAGAGATAGGGGTTCACCATGTTGGTCAGGATGGTCTCGATCTCTTGACCTCGTGATCTGCCTGCCTCGGCCTCCCAAAATGCTGGGATTACAGGCGTGAGCCACCGTGCCTGGCCCTGCCTTTTTAATTATAGCCATGTGAGTGTGTGTGAAATAGTATCTCATTGTGGTCTTTACTTGCCCTTATGACCAGTAATGGTAAGCGTGTTTTCATGTTCTTACTGGCCATTTGTGTATCTTTTGTGAAGTGTCTGTTTAGGTGTTTTGCCTATTATTATTAAATGAGTTGTTTATATTGTGGAGTTGTAAAAGTTCTTTATATATTCTGGATTCTAGACCTTTATCAGATACATGATTTTCCAATATTGTCTCCTGTTCTGTGGGCTGACTTTCATTAATAACTTTTTTGGTAGTGTCCTTTGAAACACATGTTATTTTAATACCGGTGAAGTCCAATTTATGTATGTTTTCTTTTTTCGAGTATGCTTTTCATGACATGTTTAAGAAACCATTGCTTATTCCAAAGTCACAGTGATTTACTCCTGTGTTCTCTTCTGTTAGTTTTACAGCTTTAGGTCTTACATTTACGTTTTTGATCCATTTTCATTTACTTTTTTTGTTATTATATAAGATAGGGGTCCAGATTCATTTTTTTGCACATGACTATCCAGTTGTCCTAGCACCATTTTTTGAAAAGACTATTCTTTTCACATTGAATGGTCTTGGCACCCATGTCAAGTATCATTTGAACATAGATGTATGAATTTATTTCTGGACTCTGAATTATATTTGTTTGATCTATTTGTCCTTATGCCAGTAGCACACAGTCTTGATTACTGCAGCTTTGTAGTAAGTTTTGAAAAACAGCAACCTACTCTTCTTTTTCAAGATTGTTTTGGCTATTCTGGTGCCCTTCTATATCCATATGAATCTTAGGATCAGCTTGTCAATTTATATAAAAAAGCCAGCTGGATTTTGTTATGAATTACATTGACTCTCTCTATATATAACTTTGAGAAGTATTGCTGTCCTAATAGTATTAAGTGTTTTGATCCATGAGTATGGGATGTCTTTCCATTTATTTAGATTTTCTTTAATTCTTTCAACAGTATTTTGTAGTCTTCATTGTACAGGTCTTGCACTTCTGTTGTTAAATTTATTCCTAAGTATTTTCTTTTCTTTCTTTTTTTTTTTTTTAAAGAGACAGGGTCTTGCTCTGTCACCCAAGGTGTAGTACAGTGACATGATCATAGCTCACTGTAACCCTGAACTCCTGGCTTCACGTGATTCTCCCACCTCAGCTTCTCAAGTAGCTAGGACTATAGATGTACCACCATGCTTAGCTAATTAAATTTTTTTCTTTTTGGTGGAGAAGGGGGTCTTGCTATGTTGTCCAGTCTGGTGTCTTTCATTATTTCTGATGCTATAGTAAATATAATTGTTTTCTTAATTTTATTTCTGGATTGTTCATTGCTAGTTTATGGAAACACAACTGGTTTTTTGTATATTAATCTTGTATCCTGCCACTTTGCTGAACTTGTTTATTAGCTCTAATTGTGTGTGTGTGTGTGTGTGTGTGTGTGTGTGTGTGTGTGTGCATGTTTTGGAGATGAGGTCTCACTCTGTTACCTAGGCTGGATGCAGTGGCTATTCACGGGCCTGATCATAGTGCACTGTAGCCTCTAACTCTTGGCCTCAAGTGATCCCCCTGCCTCAGCCTCCTGAATAGCTGGAACTACAAGCATCTGCTACTGCACCTGGCAGTGTTAGAAGTTTTTTGATTACTGACTTAATCTCCTTACTACTGATAGATCTCTTTAGATTTTCTATTTCTTTTTGAGTCAATGTTGGTAATTTGTGTGTTTCCAGGTATTGTAGTCTTTAGTGTACAAGTCTTGTACTACTTTTGTCTGTTTTATCTTGGTTACCTAATATGTTGGCATATAGTTATTTATAGTATTATATCTGTTTTTATTTCTGTGAGGTCAGTAGTAATGTCTCTGCTTTTATTCTTCTTTTTTTTTTTTTTTTAGATAAGAGTCTCGCTCTGTCACCCAGGCTGGAGTGCAGTGGCGCAATCTCGGCTCACAGCAACCTCCGCCTCCTGGGTTAAAGCGATTCTCCTGCCTCTGCTTCCCAAAGTAGCTGGGATGACAAGTGCCCGCCACCATGCTTGGCTAATTTTTGTATTTTTAGTAGAGACAGGGTTTCACCATGTTGGCCAGGCTGGTCTCGAACTCCTCACCTCAAGTGATCGCCTGCCTTGGCCTTCCAAAGTGCTGGGATTGTTAAGTGTGAGCCACCGTGCCTGGCCTCTGCTTTTATTCTTGATTTTAGTAATTTGAGTCTTCTTTTTTTGGGTCAGTCTAGCTAAATGTCAATTTTGTTGATGTTTTTAAAGAAAAAGCATTGATTTTTCTCCAGTGCTTTAGATTTTGTATATATATATTTAAATCTCTGCTCTAATCTGTAATATATTATTTCTGTCCTTCTGTTTGATTTGGGTTGATTTTGTTCTTCTTTTTCTATAATTTCTTAATGTGGAAGGCTAGGCTATTAATTGAGATGTTTCTTCTTTTTAAATATGTGCATTTACAGCTATAAATTTTCTTCTGAGCACTGCTTTTGCTGTACCCCAATGATTTTGTTATGTCCTTTTTTTCGTTAAATTGTAAGCGTTTTCTAGCTTTCTTTGTGATTTCTATTATTTAGGAGTGTGTTGTTTAATTTCTACATATTTGTGAATGTCCCAAATTTTCTTTTTTTTTTTTCTTTTTGAGATGGAGTCTCGCTCTGTTGTCATGCTGGAGTGCAGTGGCACGATCCTGGCTCACTGCATCCTCCACCTCCCGGGTTCAAGCGATTCTCCTGCCTCAGCCTCCTGAGTAGCTGGGGCTACAGGTGCGTGCCACCATGCCCAGCTAATTATTGTATTTTTAGTAGAGACGGGGTTTCCCAGTGTTGGCCAGGATGGTCTCAATTTCTTGACCTCACGATCTGTCCGCCTCAGCCTCCCAGAGGGCTGGGATTACAGGTGTGAGCCACCGCACCTGGCCCCAAATTTTCTTTTGTCATTGACTTGTACTTGCATTCCATTGTGGTTGTAGAACATATTTTACATGATTTTAGTCCTTTTAAATTTACTGTGTCTTGGTTTATGGGCTACTCTGTGGTCTATCTTGAATAATCTCTATGCTTTTGACAAGAATGTGTATTCTGCTGATGTTGAGTGGCATATTCTAAAGATGTCTTTACCTTAATTTGTGTAGCATTTTTCACTGGGTATGCATTTTTATATGTATTGTAGAAATCATGAGTTCACACCATTACATCTAATGCTAGTCCATCCTAGGAAAGTTCCTTCTTGTTCACTCCCATTCCATGTTTGTATATCTCTTGTTCCACAGTGAAAGCCCTGGCTCCTGACATCATCAACATATTTAGTTTGCTTAATCTAAAATTGCTTCAGTTGATTAACTCATACCATAACAAACAAACCTAAAAAGTTCAGGATTTATTTGCCATTCTTCCACTTTCTTACCTTACCCTGCCAAAGTCTAAAGGCTTAGACTTTGTGTTTTTTAGTTCCTTGGATTAGTTCGTTCTTGCTTTTTTTCTCTACAGCATGGTTAGGGTATTTGTATACAGTATAATTAGGTTCATTTGTTTGCTTTCAGTTAAGTGTTTTTTTCTTTTTCATTCTATTGATCTAATTTTTAAATAATTTAACATAATACAACATTTCATAATACATCCTATGTTATAGCATTATTATATATAATATATATAAGAGTAATATACATTTAAAAGTCAAAATTATGCAAAAGGCATATCAGAAATGTTACCTACCAACTTTGGGAGACATATGGGTTCACGGCATTCTCCTGCCTCAGCCTCCCGAGTAGCTGGGATTACAGGCACGTGCCACCACGCGTGGTTAAGTTTTTGTATTTTTAGTAGAGATGGGATTTCACTGTGCTAGCCAGGATGGTCTCCATCTCCTGACCTCGTGATCTGCCTGCCTCGGCCTCCCAAAGTGCTGGGATTACAGGCGTGAGCCACTGTACCTGGCCCTTGAAAGTTTTTTTTTTTTGAGATAGAGTTTCGCTCTTGTTGCCCAGGCTGGAGTGCAATGGCGTGATCTCAGCTCACCACAACCTCCGCCTCCTGGGTTCAAGTGATTGTCGAGCCTCAGCCTCCCGAGTAGCTGGGATTACAGGCATGCGCCACCATGCCTGGCTAATTTCATATTTTTAGTAGAGATGGGGTTTCGCCACGTTGGCTGGGCTGGTCTTAGAACTCCTGACCTCAGGTGATCCGCCCGCCTCGGCCTCCCAAAGTGCTGGGATTACAGGCATGAGCCACGGCACGTGGCCCCTTGAAAGCTTTTTAAAAGAGGACTTTAATTGTTACTACATCCATTATTAGGAAGCAATTTCTAAATATTACCACCATAGATCCAAGAAGTGAGGAATAATATAGTCACCATGCTCAAATTTTAGTGTCTTATTTAAGCACACATGCATACTTTAAAATGAATCTAATTATTTCTAGACTCTGGCCTTTTCATTCCTGATAGTATTGCCATGGTCCAGGCCCTTGTTATCGCTGTCCTAGATTACAGCAGTATCCCCCCGTAGGTCTCCCCACCTTCAGCCTTGTCCTCCTCAAAAAAATTTTTTTTTCAAGAGATGGAGTCTCACTCTGTTGCTCAGGCTGGAGTGTAATGGCATGATCATAACTCACTGTGGTCACCTTGACCTCAAGTAATTCTCACACCTCAGCCTCCCAAGTACCTGGGACTACAGGTGCATGCCACCATACCTGGCTAATTTTTAAATTTTTTTTTGTAGAGACAGGATCTTGTATGTTGCCCATGCTGGTCTAAAACTCTTGGCCTCAAGCAGTCCTCCCAGTTCAGCTTCCTGAGTCGCTGGGATTACAGGTGTGAGCCATGGCACCTGGCCAAATTCATTTTTTAAATAATGTTATAATCCTGCTTAGATCCTTTAGTGATATCACATCGAGCATGCAACAGGATAAATTCTAACCCCGCCAAGACTCTCTAAGACTGATCTTTTTCTGTCCACTTTTGTGTTGAGCAGTTCTCTTCCTCAGATTCTGTGTTCTGTCAACTGTATCTAGCTTTGCTTTTTCTCTGAGACTGGGTCTTGCTCTGTCACCTAGGCTGGAGTGCAGTGGTGTGATCATGGCTCACTGCAGCCTTGACCTCCCGGGCTCATAGCTTTGTTTTTATTCACACATCATGATGTTTATGTCATTTTGCTTTTTGTTCATGGTTCCTCTTCTGTTGGAGACCTCTTCTTTTCCTCTTAGCCTGCTGCTAATACTTTTAGCCTGGTGATTAAGAGCTTGGGGCTAGGGTTGGCATTTTGGATTGTTCCATTTCTTTAGAATCCCAGCATTTAAGTTTTGTAAATTTTAATTTTGTAATCTTTTAAACTGGAATAACTTTACCTCATAGAGTTATTGCAAAGATTAGATGAGGTAATAAATAAAGAGCTTAGCACAGTGTCAGTTTTTAAAAAACAGTATCTCATCCTATCTCTAAGACTCAGCCAAGAGGATCTATATGTCCCTCTCTGTTGTGCGTATCTCTAATACTACTATTAACACACTACTTCATAGCTACTTTTGAATGGACCTTCTCACTAGCTTCTTAAAATCAAGGACTTCCAAGTTTATCTTTGTATCACTGGTATCTGGCACACAGACATTCAGTAAATATTTGTTTAATGTATGCATGGAGTTTGAAAGAGCTAATCATCTTTAGACAATGCCTTACCTTTTGCACAGGAAGCTTCTGTAAGTGTGTACCCTCAGTTCAAGTGATAATTTTTGTTTTCCTTTCTCTTTGCCAATAGTAAAGTCTTAAAATAGTAATTACATTTATTTCCACTGCACTGAGCTGTGATACCACAAGCTGAAAATCTAGGGAATCCATGGGAAGTTGGCACCCTTAAGGATTAGATCATTTTTCCATATTCAATTTGTATTCTTGTAGTTATGGAATTTGCTTTGAGGATAGTCAATGGAAATCCTTCATATTTGTGTAAAACTTGAGATTTAGATTTTTTAAAAAAGTATTTCCCATGAGATATATTAATGAGGCAATGCCTGATAATCCAGTTGCTTTTCCTGTTCCCCTACCCTCAGTAATAGTTCTTGGAGCGCTTACATGTGACAGACAACATCCCTACCAGATGTTATCTTCCCTTTTATAGATTAAAACGCTCAGGCTTAGGTTAAGTAACTTATTCAAAGTTCCAAAGCCAGAAAGTGGAGGAGCTGGAATTTAAGCCTTAGTTCTTCTAGTGCCCATTCTCTTTCCATTACACCATACTGCTTTTCTAAATAAACTGAAAATAATTTTCTTTTGTTTTTTCTTTTTTATTTTTTCTACCTTAAAGTCTTTTATCCCTTAATTTTATTTTGAATTTATAGTATTTAGTAGTGCTTTTAATTACTTAGTAACTATTTAAACATTTTAATAACAAAAAGAAACCTTTATGGTAAGATATTTAGGTAATATTTAAAGGGATAAAGCTTTTAAAAATTTTAAGCCTTAATTCAAGTAGTAGTTCTTTAAGGTATATGTATTTTATTTTTAATTTGAATCACCGTGAGGAGGATTTGCCATCTCAATGTTCTTAGACTTTAGCAGACTTATTTATTTCTTCCCCTGTTGCATAATCCCTATGCATTATATTGGTCGGGAGGCAGGAATGTTACAGATTCTTTTTTTTCAAAGCTCAGTTTGCTCTGAGATTTGGAATTAACCTTTAGAATGTTCTGGATTTATCCCCCATATGCCAAAGATCTGTAAATATCTTTTCACATGAGCTGAAATTTTCAGGCGATTAAGTGAAATATTTGTGAACGCAGATGTTTTGTTTAAAAGCAGTTAATGAAGTCAGAAAAAAAAATACCTCGCTGTGGAAATACTTTAGGTTCCTCCTGTAATATGATCTGCACATACTTCCTTCTCTTGTAATTCACATTGTTTATTTTCTGAGGGAGGAAATAACTACACTAATAATTAAAACATAAAATTATTTATCCTGTGTTTTTTGCTCCCAGAGTAAACTAAAAATGATTTTGACCGACCAGGGCTGCTTGATTCTGTGAAACTCACATTGTTTGCGTACTGTTGGAGGGCCTCATTAGGGGGTAAATTTGCTTTTTCTGTGTTTGCCAGTAACGATTCCTGTCTCTTACAGGAACTTGCCATTTGGATTGTCTCCTTCCTTAACTGGCCAGCCTTAAACAGTTCAGGCCATTAGTTATTTTTCCTAGTCTTGAAATTTTTAAAAAAATTATTCTTAAGTTTTCAAGTATTTAAAGCTGAGGATATTGGTCACTGAGATATTGCCTAGTTAGGGTTCGGCATTGTGCCCAAATTTGTTGGGCCTCTCAGGGCCTGAGTTCTCTGTGCTTTAACAAATGAGCTACAGTTCTCAAGAGATCAGTGAAGCTTGTTTGTTGATCCTGTATTCTCATCCAGAGGAAGTAGATCTTTGAGAATGTCTAAGGAAGGGTAAGTGATTTTATTATTCTTTCTCTTTCATTTTTCTCAGTGAAGAGGTATCATCTGCATGAATTAAAAGATTAATAAGCAGTGCTACCAGTCCGAGAGTGGAGGTAGAGGCAGAGATTGAAAGAAATTCAGCCCAAATCTTATAGTGTTTCATGTGTAATCTACTATAAAGTTGCTATTGTTGTTTTGAAAGACAGCACTGAGTAAGGGCAATCTTAATAGGAATTTTGTAAGATATAAGTACTTTGTTTACTCTGTGGTAAATTCATTTTGTTTTTCTGCAGAATGTATTTATCAAGATTGGAAGCAAACGGTGGTTTACCGAAGAATTGAGGGAAGCTTAAAAATTCAATGGCGTTTTAAAATAAGTTGTACCTTTAGAAAATGGTGTGAAATATTTAGTGAAAAACAGCCTATGATTTTGTTTCTGGGGCATGTAGGCAAAAAATAATTTAGAGTAGAATTCCCTATTCTAATTTGCTTTGCAATATAAGATAGTTCCATATTATTTTTGTATTATTTTCTCTTATGCTTCAGAGTCTGAATTATTACTGATTCTCTTTTTGTGACCACTATAATAAGTGATAAGTTAATAACTGCATACTGTTGGTTATTTCATTTCTAGCCTTCAGGCATAACTAGACCTGGTTAATTTTAGAGAGATGTTTCTTTTAATAAAATAGGACATAAATCTCTCAAAAAAATTCTTTAAAAATACAGTAAAAGTTTAGTTTTTATTTTTCTGGAATCTATTAATTATCTTTCTAGTTCTTTTGTTCTGTAAGAAAATTTGAAGTGGTTCCAGAGCCTCACATTTACAACTTATTTTAATCTAATCATGTATTGATTATGAACAAAATAAAATTGGCCCACTTTACTGCTATTTTTAGATTTCATTATTGAATAACGAGAACAACCAGGGGTATAAGTAATTCTGTATTATTTTTAGACCTTTTATGACATCACTAGAAATTTGAGGTTTCTTTTAAATGTGAAAATTATGAAAGGACTGCTGTTTTAGATTGGTATATTTTCTTAAAGGACTGCCTTTTTAGGTTGGTATATTTTCTTTCCTTCTACCACTGGCTATAGATAGGTAGGTGTTAAACCATTTTTATGATAAGGACTATCACAGGTGCTAGTATGTTTGTCAATCTTGTACACAGGGTTGTTTATAAAGCTATTATAGTTTGTAGATTTAAGATGAATTGTATTTCTAGACGCGGTTAAAGTTCTTGGAAGTAGTTAGTGCTAATTTTTACCCTATGGTAAAGTATATGTTAGACTTGGTTAGTTAGAGAAAGTTGGAGGGACCTATATTACCCCTCTAGGACACTGTAACGGCAGATTTTTTTTTTAGGTTTATCTCTAGGAGCCTCTGGAGCAATGTCTGTACTGTCCGAATGGATAATAAGTGCATTTGAAGTACATGGAGTATATAAATGACATCAATTAAGTTTTATTCTCTATGCTATCTTTAGAAATAAATGGATACATTTTGTGCTTGGGGATGAAAAAAATTCTTACATTCACCGTTTTCATAAGTGCAATATTGACATTTAGTACCGTGTTATCATTTGATAGCTATGAAATATTTCCCTAATAGTAATAGGAAAAGATTAATAGAGTTAAATCACCCAAAGTTATACTTGAGCTTTATGTAAGTCTATGGTAATTAAGACAGTGTGATATTAGTGTTAAGATAGGCATATAGATTATGGAACCAAATGGGGAGTTCATAGACCCACATATATATAATCAATTGATTTTCAGCAATGAAGTTAAGCTAATTCAATGGCGAGAGGCTAGTGTTTTTTTTTTTTTTTAAGAACAGGTTTCACTCTTGTTGCCCAGGCTGGAGTGCAGTGGCGTAATCTTGGCTCACCGCAACCTCCACCTCCAGGTTGAAGCGATTCTCCTGCCTCAGCCTTCCTTAGTAGCTGGGATTACAGGCATGCACCACCATGCCCGGCTAATTTTATATTTTTAGTAGAGACAGGATTTCTCCATGTTGGTCAGGCTGGTCTCGAACTCCCGACCTCAGATGATCCACCCACCTTGGCCTCCCAAAGTGCTGGGGATTACAGGCGTGAGCCACTGTGCCTGGCCAGGAGAGGCTAGTGTTTTTAACAAATGTACTGGAACAACTGAATATTCATATAGGAAAAAAAAAATGAACCTTGACCCTTGACCTTTATCTCAAACTGTACATTAAAATAAATGGATCATAGACCTGAATATAATCTTTGTGACCCTGAATGAGGTACACATTTCTTAGGTAAACTGAATAAAAATTGTTAGACAAAACTGATAAGTTGGGCTTCATCAAAATTTAAAAAATCAAATTCCTGTTTCTTGAAAGACATCATGAAGAATATTTAAAGGCAAGCTGCAGACTGGGAGAAAATATTCTGAATATGTTTATATCTGATAAAAGACTTGGATCCAAAATATACGAAGAACTCTTGTAATTCAATAATAAGACAGCCCAGTTTAAAAACGGGCAAAATATTTGAATTGATGCTTCACAAAATTGGATTTGAAAAGATGTTATTGGTCATTAGGGAAATACAAATTAAAACTATAGTGAGATACCACTGCACACACACTAAAATGGCTACAATTAAAAACACTGACTGTGGAGCAATGGTAACTCTCATGCATTGCTGATAAGAGTGCAAAAGAGAAAAGAGTTTTGGCAATGTCTTTTTAAGTTAAACATATGCTTAACATATGACCTAGTAATTCCATTTTTAGATATTTACCCAAGAGATTAAAAAATGCCCACATAAATTTGTATGTGACTGTTTGTAGCAGCATTATTTATAATAGTCGAAAGCTGGAAACAAACCAAGTGTCCATTAACTGAATGGATAAACAAATTGTGGTATATCCATACAATGAAATACTCAGGAATAAAAGAACTAATCATATATGCAGCAACATGGATGAATCTCAGAAGTATTGCTAAGTAAGCCAGACACATGACAAAGTAATACTTGATTCCATTTATATGAAAACTACAGTGACAGAAAGTACTAGTGGTAGCTCAGGGCCAAGGGCTGGGGAGGGTATTGCAAAAGAACATGAAGGAATTTTTTGGATTGAAGAAAATATTCTACATCTTGATTGTAGTAGTTGTTGCATGAGTGTATACTGTTATCAGACTCACCAAAATTTTCATTTAAGGGGGGTGAATGTTATTTTAAGTAAATGATACCTTAGTAAAGTTGGTGGAGGAATGAGACTTGAGAAGCTCCTCATCCTGCTGATTTAAAATTTTGTAAAGCGGTTGTTGATTCAAAAGGATATCTTTGGGAAAATATGGTTGCTCCTAGGATGTGTAATGCAGGGAAAAATATACTCTCTTTGCAGTGTCATGATTGAATTAGCCCTCTGGAGTTGTTAAAGTGCTTTTTTTTTTTTTTTTAATTACTAGAGTTGCTGTCGTTTAGGTAAAAGGCCAAAATGAATTTTATTATTTGTTTTTATTTTAAATTCTGGGTTTTGACCTTTCTTCCAATATAGGCACAGTATACTTGTTAATTTGGACTTAGCTAACATGGATAACCATATTTTCTTCTCTAATTTCTATCTCACAGAGTTTAACCCTGAAATTTTGCTGTGTTTTATGAATGATCCTCTATACACTGGTCTTTCAAAAATTGTAGAGAAAAAGTGAAAAACAATTTAGAGGAAAATAGGAAAAAAGGGATTGGAAAAGCCTATGCTTAATTAGACTGAGGTTTTAGAATAGTAAATATATTCTTAGAAGTACTGGTATTGTCCTGGTTTCTCCCGTAACTTGTGTATTTTTCTAATTTGGTAGTCAGCCCTCTCTTATATTTCCTACCATCCTGCTCCCATTATCACAATTTCTTCATTTGAGAATGAAGGTGAAGGGAATTTTAATGTCTTTTCCTTAAATATTTTTGATGAATCTCCTTAAAGTGTGCTTTAAAATCTTTGCTGGAAAGAGAGTCTGCATTATCATCAGTACTCCTATTATTTTATAGTTTTTAAGATAGACCTTCTTTTACATTTAAACATCCCAGAAACTGGGCTATATCTGGCAATATACCACCTAGAATTCAAGTTGAGTTCTTCCAGAGAGGATTTGCTTTCGCTTCTTTCGGTCACCTGGGGAAAATATCAACCATCCTGATAGTATAAATTCAGAGCACAACCTACATGACTGACTTGTTCAAATTCTCAGGGAGAGATTTTCCCCCTCCCTGGACGCAGTACAAAATGGGAAATAGATGTACAGTCAAGGCTGAGATGTACAGATTTCTTTGTGGGCCCTTCTGTGTTGTAGATATATTTCTCCCTTATCCTCATATTATGAGTATATCCCTTTTGCTATCCTAACTTTTTGTGGAATCTCCTAGGCTGTGACTTGGAATTTCCCCCCTTTTCTTACTGGTATATAATATGGGTACATTTTATAATTGATGGCATTTTAAATCTTAATCATCTTAAATTTTGTTCCATGTATGTCTCCATACTGACTTTTCTCTGGAACTTTTAAATACTGAGTATATGAGTGAGTAAAATGAGTATTATAATTTCATGTTTTATTTTATAAGTGATAACACATTTGTTCAGATTTTTAGTGTGTGTGCTGCCGAAGTGAGCACTGTTCAGATTTTTAATGCACAGGAGGCTGTTCTTTTTTTTTTTTTTTGAGACGGAGTCTCACTCTGTTGCCCAGGCTGGAGTGCAGTGGCACGATCTTGGCTCACTGCAAGCTCTGCCTCCTGGGTTCACGCCATTCTCCTGCCTTAGACTCCCGAGTAGCTGGGACTACAGCAGGCACCTGCCACCATGCCCGGCTAATTTTTTTATTTTTAGTAGAGACGGGGTTTCACCATGTCAGCCAGGATGGTCTCAATCTCCTGACCTCGTGATCCACCCGCCTCAGCCTCCCAAAGTGCTGGGATTACAGGCGTGAGCCACCGCACCCAGCCACTGCTGTTCTCTTGACACAATCTGATAAACAAAATGTATCCCTCTTGATGTTCCTCAGAGAAAATGTTAAAACAAATTAGTAAGAAGTTACTGGTTAGAATTTATGAAAGCAAAACTAATGCTACTAGATGTCTGTTGCTTTTAGAATCTAACCCAAAATTTCTTGTTGTGTCTGTATGTCCATGGTATTTGAGCTTTGAATTTTTAAGAATCCATTTCATAAAGTTCTTACCTATAATACTTTTTATATCATTAAGCATACTTTTTACGGAGGATGGAGACATAATGGCAGACTGAGGTCTTCCTATTACTTTTTTTTAATAACAGCTTTATTGAGATACAATTCACGTATCATTCAATTCACCCTTTTAAAGCATACAATTTGATCATTTTAGTATATTCACAGAGTTGTGCAACCAATACCGCTATCTAATTTTAGAACATTTCATTACCCCCACAAGAAACCCTGTACCCATTAGCGGAAACTGCCCGTTCCCTCCTCCCCACAGCCTCTGGCAATGACAAACCCCTATTAAGTTTCTAGTTTAAGCTTAATTTTTAGTTCAGTTAAATATTGTGTCTGCTATTACAAGGCCCTATGTTAGGTGTTGGGAAGATTATAAATCCTGGTCTCAAAGTTTATAATCCAATAAAGAATAAGAGAACTACCATATTTTATGTCTATGACAACATATAGTAAGTGTCAAAACAGGGAATTTTGAAGGTTTAAGCCTCTCATTTGGGTCACAACTTTATAGAATTTTAGTTGCTGATGCAGTTTCTTTCATTAAGTAGAAAAGTAATGAGACCCAGAGACATTACTGTCACATAGTTCTGTGGCACAACCAGAATATTGATAGTTCCTTGACAAAATCACTTGAGATGCAGGGTCTTGATAATTAGAGATAACTGAGGTGGCCCTTTTAGGGAAAAGAATATAAACAAAGCCTTAGGGCATATTTAGGAAATAGCAAGTAGCTCACTTTGATTACTACAGCCAAAGGTGCATGATGTGGGACAATGTAAGATCAAACTGATTTTGACAAAATGAAAGTTTTTGAACTTTAAGATCCAATAATTTGCAATTTATTAATTGGGTAGGTAGTGAGCGATGACTAAAAGTTCTTAAGAGAGTGATATGATTGGATCAGGGTTTTAGGACAGTGCTTCTCAAACTGTCTGTGAGGGAGGACCAGTTTATAAATAACTTTTTTCCAATCTGTTTCAAATGGACAC
This sequence comes from Homo sapiens, assembly GCF_000001405.40. NCBI lineage: Eukaryota > Metazoa > Chordata > Mammalia > Primates > Hominidae > Homo > Homo sapiens. Next base: position 103,147,083 of record NC_000010.11, on the reverse strand, counting down.
GTTTATAAAATAAAAATGAATTTCAAGAAAAATGAAGACACAAAATGTAAGCCTACCTTTTTTATTACTACATTCAACAAACAAAATTGCTCTGTCAAATTACTGTAAAAGTTTCTAAATACTTAAAATTTCTGTATGTGTCATGTCATGGGTTAGCAACAAATGTTCATAATCCAGCATTGGCCTGTGGACCATGCTTTGAGTAGCACTACTTCAAAGCAATTAATTTGGCATTAGTGCGAGGGCAGAGCAATTGGGAGATGATTGCTGGACTAATGAGGACCTGGACATGTTGTTAGCACTGTGAATTGAATGGAAGATTGGATTCCAGAGACGTTTGGTAATTTAAATGAAGGCACATTAGATGATTGGATGTGGATTTGAAGAAGAGGAAAGAATCAAAAGATAGTAACTAGATTTTAAGCTTGAGTGGGAGAATGGGAGTGCCCATAGCAGAAATAGGAACTAGTTTGGAGATTGGGTTTTCAACAAAAAATCCACATTATAGCATTTTCTATTAAGTAAAAATATGCATATATACAGACACATACTTTTTAGTTCATAATTTCAATTTGCCCTCTCAAAAAGCACTTGTAACTTTTTCTTTTCTTGATTGTAGCAAATTTTCAATGTGTAATTATGCAAGCCCATAAGGAAAACAGATGCCCAAGAAGATTTTATACTTGAATCCTTAGTCTCATTTGTTGTTGCACTAACTGTCATTGGGCACTTGGCCAGGAAATTGTGACTCCTAGGCAAGGGGAGGAGTTACAGATAAAGTTCACCATTGCCAAAGAAATTCTATTCCAAATGGATTTGTGTGGAGCAACAGTGATATCCAATGACAAGTTAAATTAAACACAGAGGTGTTTTCTCCAGCACTGTCTCGGAAGATACATGCTTTTGAGGGGCCTGATTCAGGTTAAACTTCTTGAAGTTAAGTCACAAAAAAACTATACTAGGGACCTTACGAAGAATTTTGTTATGTGACTTCAAGAACTAGTTGACTCAGATAGTTTTACACTTTTCAAAACGGCAACCAGTGACAGATGAGGTAATACTGCTTTGAATTACAAGTTAAAGCCATTAAGATTGCTATTTACAAAATTTCAAATTTAATAAATTGCATGTTCATGTTACTTAAGTGTGAGAATATTCTTATTTCTAAAGCACATTATATTAATGGCTCTATTTCTTATGGTTAATATTTATATTTACTTGGATGGAGTTTATTCAAGTTTAATGTCTTAACTGCTGTGGGATATGATAATAAAAGCTGTTACATTTGTCTTTATATTGAAGTCTGTGCTTCGTTTTAGAGTGTTCCTGTCACCTAGAGATTGTTTTTCATGTTAATGCTCAAATCTGCAACTTACAAAGACTTAGTATGTTGGAATTGCTGGCTAATTGTGCTTTAAGATTGGATGCTTAGTTTAGTCATGCTTTCTAGGGCGGCAAGTTTGTGCTTTTTTAAAAGCAAGCTTCGGGAAGTTAATTTCTCCGATATGTTCAAGCTCTTGAACATAGGGGTGGAGTATGTTCCACTTGTTAATAATTTAGAAATGTGACACAGTAAACTGACATTGGCAAAGGTACAGTCAAGGTCCGGAGACCAATAGAAATTTTTGGATTCCTCAAGCAGATAAATCTTTTTGTTTTGAAATGTATGATGGGGCAGTGGGCCAGCCTTGTAATTGATATAGTACCTTTTAGTTGATATAGTACCTAACACTTTGTTTTGCTATAACCTCAGTGAAGAGTAGTCATTAGTTTGAGACCAAGAGATTAGTTTCTCTTGAAGACTGTATCCTGGAGACATGGTATTTCATGCTTTAAGGCTGCCTCTGTGCTGAAGTCACTGCATACTTTAAGCATTTGGGTGTTTATTATCTTTGTAAACTGTGGAATATATAGCCAAATAACTATATTTGGCTTATTGCAGTTCTCTATAATACAGCTGTTCTATTTTGCCATTATAGCTTTGCTTATGCACTTCAGCTATTCATACAACAAATTAGATTTAATTCCACACTGCGCCTCCCCTCATGTTTTGTAGCCTAGATTAGGGAAAGAAAAGGAAAGATGAGAATATATGTGAGGCTTTTCATTTTTATAAATATCATAATAGAAATGAATTGGGGGGAGACAGAAGTGATTGTTTCTAAGTTCAGGAATTGCTTTTGTGGTTAGAGCACTTATTTTGAATGAAAATGGAAAGATAAAGGATATTTGGTAGAACTTCATAGGAAAACATCATATTTCCTAATTTTAGACTCTTATAAAGTCTGTCCTAGCTCTTTCTGCTCCCTAAAGAACAGCTTATATGACATATGTCACAAAATGGTATCTGCTTTGTAGTAGACAATGAATGTGTTGATTGAATAGTTAATGTGACTAGGTTAAAGAGAGGAGAAGTGCAATTTGATGGATATGTAGCAATGATTATTTTGGCAAAACCAGATTTTCATATTCCTGAAATATGTTATTCCTAGAGTTTACATAGATAATAAAGGTACATTATAATCTTTGAATCCTTAAAAATATACATAAATGATTTGATATATTTTCATGACAGTACAAGCTTAATCTCTTTTCTAACAAAGAAAGAAGCTGGTACTTGGCTGAGACTGTTGTTCTTGTCTTAAGCACTGATTGACATTAACAGCAAAATCTCCTTTTTCCTGTAATGTTAGCTGTGCTTGAAGCTAGCTAGCATCTTTCTTCTATGAGAGTAAAAGCTGTTTCTTTTATTATGTCGTTCCGCATACTTCTCTCCTGGATTGTATCACAAGGGAAAAAATCATCCCCAATCCATTCCTGCTTGTATTCCCATAGAATATTTTAGGCATGTCAGCTGTTAGGGCCTGATCAAGGATTTGATCCAGTTGGCTCTCTAGCCTGAATTAAGAATCTGTTTGAAAAGCCTTCAGTAGTTACATTTAGTTTCTAGAGCTACAACCATTATTTTGTCTTTTATCCCTGTTGTACTTTCAAAAGGATTTATGTAACTGGGAAAATATAATAAAGTAGATGCTTTTATCAGTAATAACAGGGTGATATTTGATGAAATATTAGAAGGTGATATGTTTGGGGGCTGGAGGTTGGAGGGTGTTTTTTGTTTCTTTGTTTGAGACAGGGTCTTGCTCTGTTGCCCAGGCTAGAATGCAGTGGCACGATCTCAGTTCGCTGCAGCCTTGACCTCTTGGGCTCAAGTGATCTTCCTGCCTCAGCCTCTTGAGTAGCTGAGACTATAGGCATGTGCCACTACACGTGGCTAATTTTTTATTTTTTGTTGAGATAGGGTCTCACTATATTGCCCAGGCTGGTCTCAGACTCCTGGGCTGAAGCAGTCCTCCCACCTTGGCCTCCCAAAGTGCTGGGATTATAGGTGTGAGGCACCACTTCTGGTCTCAAACTCCTTTTTAAAAAAAGTCTCCAAGGCCATCTCTACAAAAAAAAAAAAAAAAAAAAAAAAAAAAAATAGCTGGACATGGTGGTGCGTACCTGTGGTCCCAGCTACTTGGGAGGCTGAGGCTGAGGTAGGAGGATAACATGAGCCTGGGAGGTTGAGGCTGCAGTGAGCCATTATCACACCACTGTACTCCAGCCTGGGCAACAGAGTAAGACTCTGTCTTGAAAATAAATAAGAAACATATATAAATATATAAATTAGGCATTTTTAAATGGTGAGGTAAATATCAATAGAAGATCTGATATTTTCTTTCTGTATCCCAGTGGAGGCTTTTTGCATCCCTTGATGCAGTTACTCTTCTTTGGAGACCATTGACCTAGATCACTGATGGGGGAGCCCAGCCCAGGCTTTTTTATTTTTAACAAGTTACTCAGGTGATTGTGATTTTGATGTACACTGCAGTTTTGAGATCCACTGATCTATATCATTCTAATTTCCTACAGTTACTTATGAAATGAAGACAAAGAAAAGGTTTGGTAATAAGAGGAGAAGCCATGCAGTTTTAACTTTGGCTACCAAGCTGAGGATCAAGTGGAAAGGATAACCTTATTTTCTGTCTTTTCCCTTTCCGTTCCCTTTCCTCTTTTCTTTTCTCTTTTCTATTCTTCTTTTTTTTTTTTTTTTTGATGGAATCTTGCTTTGTAGCCCAGGCTGGAGTGCAGTGGTGTGATCTTGGCTCACGGCAACCTCTGCCTCCCGGGTCTAGGCTCAAGCAGTTCTCCTACCTCAGCCTCCTGAGTAGCTGGGATTACAGGAACACGCCACCATGCTCAGCTAATTTTTGTATTTTTAGTAGAGACAGGGTTTCACCATGTTGGCCAGGCTGGTCTTGAACTCCTGACCTCGTGATCCACCCGCCTCAGCCTCCCAAAGTGTTGGAATTACAGGCGTGAGCCACCGTGCCTGGCCCTTCCTTTCTTTTCTTCTTTCTTTTTTTTCTTTTTGAAACAGGGTCTTACTCTGTCACCCATGCTGGAATGCAGTGGTACAATCTTGGCTCATTGCAACTTCTGCCTCTCAGGCTCAGGAGATCCCACTTCAGCCTCCCGAGTAACTGGGACTACAGGCATGTGCCACCACACCCAGCTTTTTTTTGTATTTTTTGTGGAGACGGGGTTTTGCCATGTTGCCTAGGCTGGTTTCGAACTCCTGTGCTCAAGCGATCTGCCTGCCTTGTAAAGTACTGGGATTACAGGCGTGAGCTACTACACCTGGCCTTTATTTTTAAAGATGATTAAAACTTACCCTGAAAGACCATCATGCTGATGATCTACCATACTATTATATGTTCAGTTTTTCCTATGTCTTCATAGTGATCTTTCTGATTATTTCATTTCCTTAAACTCTGATATTTTGGTCTTAAATGCGGGATAAAGTCCAAATTCCCTAATGTGGCTTACAAAATCTTCAGGATTTTGACCCCTACTAACCTTTCATAGCTTTTATTGCTCCTTCCCCCATCCTTGCCCCCTGGAAAACCTCTTTCTGTGAAAACAAACAGAAGCAAAACCAAAGAAAGCTTCTCAACTCCAGCCACAATAAATGCTTTGTAGTTTACTGTAAACCTTTTCTTTGCTTGGTTATTTTGCCTGCGTTGCCTTTCTTGCATTTTCCTAATGGAAAACTACTGATTGATTAAGATTCAGTTCAAACATTTCTTCCTGACCTCTCTAAACAACTGGTACTCTCTCCTCCATGTTATTTTATAGTACTTACTGAATTGCTGAAATTATTTAAAGGTCTCCTTCCTAGTAGGCTGAGTTCCTCAAGGATAAACAGAGTAAATTACAATATAAGTTTCATGAGGGCTGGTACAGTCTTTTGTTCAATCACAGTATCTGGGTGTAATAGACAGTAGCTATTTATTTAATTAGTCTATATTTTTATCTTCAGTGGGCTTTAAATGACTTGTTTATTAAATAAATTATAAATTAATAAGTGAATGAGTTATAAAATCCCAAAAGTAATCTTATTTTATGGGGTCAGACTTTGGAAAGGAGAGCCTCTTCCCTGAAATCTTGAATACATGGCATTTTTAATGCCAGGACACAATACACAAATCTGTATATTTTTGTATAATATCTGATTTCATTTACTGTATAAGAAAGACTTGGATAATATTTTTCAATTTTTAATTTATTTGTTATTTTTTTGGGAACAGGGTCTCACTCTGCTGCCCAGGCTGAAGTGCAGTGGTGTGATCTTGGCTCACTACAGCCTTGATCTCGTAGACTCAAGCAATCCTCCTACCTCAGCCTCCCAAGTAGCTGGGACCACAGGTGCACACCACCATCCCCAGCTGATTTTTGTATTTTTTGTAGAGTTGGGTTCTCACCATGTTAACCTAGGCTGGTCTAGAACTCTTGAGCTAAAGCCATCTGCCTGCCTCGGCCTCTCAAAATGCTGGGATTACAGGTGTGAGCCACTGCTCCCAACCTTGAATAATTTTTATTATGGATTTTAATATTGGTATTTAAATGAGAAGATCTAAAAGAAAACAAAGGAAAAGCTTCTTGACCTTGGTCTCGGCAGTGATTTTTTTGGATAGGACACCAAAAGCACAGGCAGCAAAAGCAAAAACAAGTGGGACTACCTCAAACTAAAAAGCTTCTGCGCAGCAAAGGAGAAACAAAAAGGCAGCCTATGGATTGGGAGAAACTGTTTGCGAACCATGTATCTGTTAAGGGATTAACATCTAAAATATATGAGGACCTCAAACAATAGCGAAAAAAGAAATGACCCAAAAATGGGCAAAGGACCTGCATAGACATTTCTCCAAAGCAGACATGCAAATGGCTAACAGGTATTTGAAAAGGAGCTTAACATCATTAATCATCAGGGGAAGTGCAAATCAAAACCACAATGAGATATCATCTCATACCTATTAGAATGCCTTTTATCAAAAAGATAAGAAATAAATGTTGGCAATGATGCATGAAAAGGGAACACTTGTACACTGTTGGTGGCAATGTAAATTGATGCAGCCACCGTGGAAAATGCTGTAGAGCTTCCTAAAGAAAATACAGCTGCCATATGACCCAGCAGTTCTTCTAGTTGTATGCCCAAAGGAAGTAAAATCACCACTTTGTGAAGATACCTGCACTCCCATGTTCATTGCAACATTATTTAGAATAGCTAGGAGATGGAAAAAAGATATCTGTTGATGGGCTGAATGAATGGATAAAGAAATTGTGGTATATATACACACAATGGAATATTCAGCCTTAAAAAAGGAGATTCTACCGTTTGCAACACCATGGATGAACGTAGAAGACATTATGCTAAGTGAAATAAGCCAGACACACCAAAGAATACTGCATGATTTCACATGTGGAATCTAAAAAACAATCAAAAAAGGAAACCATAGAAACAAAGAGCAAAGCAGTGATTGGAGGCCAGGCGCGGTGGATCATGCCTGTAATCCCAGGACTTTGAGAGGCCGAGATAGGAGGGTTGCTTGAGCCCAGGAGTTCAAGATGAGCCAGAGCAACATAGGTGAGCCTCTGTCTCTACAAAAAATAAAAAATTATCCGGGCTTGCTGACGTGTGCCTGTAGTTCCTGCTACTCAGGAGGCTGAGGTAAGGAGGATCTCCTGAGCCTAGGAGGCTGAGGCTGCAGTGAGTCATGATTTCACCACTGCACTCCAGCCTGGGTGACAGAGTGACTCTGCCTCAAAAAACAAAAACAAAACAGTGTTGGGGAAGGATGGAAAGATGTAGATCAAAGGGTACAAAGTTGCAGTTATGTTGGATGAATAAGTCTAAGAGATCTAATGTATAGCATGAGGGCTATATTTAATAATATTGTATTATGTACTGTTAATTTGCCAAGACAATAGATTTTAAGTACTTGTACCACAATAAACAAGAAGAAAGAAAACAAGGTAACTGTATGGGATAATGGGTATGTTAATTTGTTTGACTGTATTAATCATTTCACTGTGTATATGTGTATCAAGATAAGTATATCAAACAGCATGTCGTGTTATACATCTTAATATATAATTTTAAAAGTTTAAAAAATCAATTGGAAAAATAAATGAGAAAACCTAGAAAAATAGCCAAATAACTTTATTAAACTTGAGAATTTATTTTCCAGTGTTGAGATATTATTTTTTATTATTTTCTATAGGGTGTTTGTGAACCGAAGTTTAGCAATGGAAAAGATAAAGTGTTTTGGTTTTGATATGGATTATACCCTTGCTGGTGAGTAGCAATTTCTGATTGCTTAAGAACTGCTGCTTTGGGTATAACACAGTGGGTTCACAGTAGGCAATTCAATTGACATTTGCTGACTTAATCATGTATTTGGCTGCCAGAAGCTTTTATTATCAGGTTGCTTCCAGTAAGATTTGTGAATATTGAAATTATCAGATATCCTTGAGATGTGGCTCATGAGTTTGTACACATAGATAGAAAAAGTACTAAATTTTACTATTTTAGAGACCCTGGTAAGAAATAATATGGTAAAATCATATATTGATAGGTATATTTGGGCATTTTTGACTTTTACTCTTAGCCATTCTTTAGGTATGAGATTTTGTGTCTCTTGCACTGCCACAGATAAACTTGTATCAGTTAAAAATTTTAGTTTTTTTTTTTTTGAGACGGAGTTTCGCTCTTGTCCTCCAGGCTGGAGTGCAATGGCGCGATCTTGGCTCACTGCAACTTCCACCTCCTGGGTTCAAGCGATTCTCCTGCCTCAGCCTCCCAGGTAGCTGGGATTACAGGCATGCACCACCACACCCGGCTAATTTTTGTATTTTTAGTAGAGATGGGGTTTCACCATGTTGGCCAGGCTGATCTCGAACTCCTGACCTCAGATGATCTCCCCACTTGGCCTTCCAAAGTGCTGGGTTTACAGGCGTGAGCCACTGCACCCGGACAGTATGTTATTCTTAACACAGATGGGAAATGTGTTCATTTTCCATTGAAATGATTGCACACGTAGTATGTATAAGGCTTTTTAAAAACTAGAGCTGCAGCCACATAAAGGAATGAGTTTGTGCCTTTTGCAGGGACATGAATGAAGCTAGAAGCCATCATTCTCAGCAGACTAACACAGGAACCAAAAAGCAAACACTGCATGTTCTCACTCATAAGTGGGAGTTGAACATTGAGAACACATGAACACAGGGAGGGGGAACATCACACACTGAGGCTTGTCGGGGGGTGAGAGGCAAAGGGAGGGAGAGCATTAGGACAAATACCTAACGCATGCAGGGCTTAAAACCTAGATGACGGGTTTATAGGTGCAGCAAACCACCATGGTACATGTATACCTATGTAACCTGCACATTCTGCATATGTATCCCAGAACTTAACAAAAAACAAACAAACCCCAAAAAACTCAGAGATGTACTGGGGTTTCTTTTCTGTACCTAGGGTATATGCAGGAATTTAGCCAGTCTTCCCAATGGTCAGCTGCAGTTAGATGGAGGACTGGGCAAGAAGTCATTGAAACTCCATGACAAATATGGAAAAGATGAACTTCTTTTTTAACTTGTAGAATCCTTAGTCTGTGTAGATGTTTTCATCAGCATGTTTTGTCCTTATGAGGATGTGGGGCATTGGGTACCATCTCATGGTCTCCTATTTGTGTAAACTTTGTGTTTAAGTTTCCACATCCTTTTTTATTAAATAAATTATATAGCTTCTGAAACCAACTAACCAACCAACCAAACAAAAAACTAGAGCCATTAGCTTTTTTCATTATCCTGTAGCCCTTAAACACCAGCACTGTGCTGTTTTTCCCTTCCTTCTCTAAGATATATTTGAAAGAGTCAATGTATTAATCAGTAGTTATAACATCTTTCCAGAATTTAGTAAAATATTTTCAATCTCGTGGAAATGCATTTAATTTAAGAAGTAGTGGGGATGAGGGATCAAGTTGAGCATATATGCTTGCACGTGTATGTGAAACTGTGACACACAGAATCTTTCAGAAATTGTCTGTTAAAAAATTTTGTCTTTACACAAAAACCTTAAGACGTATAAAGACACTTCTCAGGAACTATTAATATAACAGTATTAATTTGTCCATCTCAAATTAGACAAATCACAGTTTGATGTTCGATTTAGGCTACAAATGTGAATGAATAATACGTGTTCAAACACGAAATTACGGGAGTACTTGCTACATAGATACGGTCATGATTTTTTTACCAAACAAGTAATACATTAAAAATATACACAGTTCCTGATTTGAATTTTTCTCTTCCCTCCATACTCTTTGTCATTTATTTGTTTTTCTATTGCCTTAACCTTATTTTTGCAGCATTTAATGTTTTTCTAATTGGTCACAGACACTTTTAGGAGCACTTGTCAGAAAGCAGGGGAAAGCAGTATACTTTCCCAATGTAGATCTTGCTGTTCAAATGGGAAGAAAATCTATAGTCTCTTCTTTCAAGATTCTAGCTCTCTAGGGAAAGGAATGGTGAGTTAATTTGGCAGCTGAAAGAGATTATCTAAAGCAGAAATAGAAGTTAATGGTGTCAAAAAGTGACAAATATTTTTCCCTTGGTTATTAAGACAATCTCTTTACATTGAAATAGTTCAATTTAGTAAGTATTTATTGAGAATCTATAATGTGCCTGGCACATTTTGTTACTGAAAACTGAGGTGATTATATATTCCCACAGAATAATGAAAAAATAAACTATCTTGTATATTGAAAAGGTCACTTAATTGGCCTGGCGCGGTGGCTCATGCCTGTAATCCCAGCACTTTGGGAGACTGAGGCGGGTGGATTACTTGACAGGAGTTCGAGACCAGCCTGCCCAACATGGTGAAACCCCATCTCTACTAAAAAATACAAAAATTAGTTGGGTGTGGTGGTACGTGCCTGTAGTCTCAGCTGGTCAGGAGGCTGAGGTGGGAGAACCGCTTGAACTGGGGAGGCAGAGGTTGCAGTGAGCTGAGATGGTGCCAATGCACTCCAGCCTGGGCAACAGAGTGAGACCGTGTCTCAAAAAAAAAAAAAAAATAATTAACTGAATCTGTCTCTAAACTTTAATGCACCTTATGATTTCTTCTTTTTGTTTTTTGCAATGCCACTTCGTATTTTAATGCTTTCTCCTAGTCTACACACAAACATACTTTGTGTATATTTAACAGTAAGTGGTAACATTTATTAAGTACTTATTATATGCCAGGACCCGTTCCAAGTGCTTTATTACATAGATTATCTCATTTAACACATGGATTCTGTCATTCACATCTGTTATTTAATATTTACAGAAACCCTGTGAAGCAGTTACTACTATCATCTCCATTTTACATATGACTCTGAGACATCAAGCACTTTGTCCAAGGACATTTAGTTATGATATACCTGAACCAAGATTCAAACCTAAGCATGCATGTATGTATAGGCATATAATGTTAAAATGATCATTTTGGATAATGACAGTTTATCGAGATTTTCATATGAATAGAAACATATGGTGTATTAGTCTGTTTTCATGCTGCTGATAGACATACCTGAGATTGGGCAATTTACAAAAGAAAGAGGGTTTTTTTTTTGGAGGCAGAGTCTCGCTCTGTCTCCCAGGCTGGAGTGCAATGGTGCAATCCTGGCTCACTGCAACCTGTGCCTCCCAGGTTCAAGAGATTCTCCTGCCTCAGCCTCCTGAGTAGCTGGGATTACAGGTGCCCACCACCACACCCAGCTAAGTTTTTTGTATTTTTAATAGAGATGGGGTTTCACCAGGTTACCCAGGCCAGTCTCGAACCCCTGACCTCAGGTGATCCACCTGCCTCGGCCTCCCAAAGTGCTGGGATTACAGGCATGAGCCACCACGCCCAGCCATTTTGTTCTGTTTTGAGATGGAATCTTGCTGTGTCACTCAGCCTGGAGTGCAGTGGTGCGATCTCAGCTCATTGCAACCTCCGCCTCCTGGGTTCAATCGATTCTCCTGCCTCAGCCTCCTGAGTAGCTGGGATTACAGGTGCCTGCCACTATGCCCGGCTAATTTTTGTATTTTTAGTAGAGATGTGGGGGGCAGTGGGGGTTTCATTATGTTGGCCAGGCTGGTCTTGAACTCCTGACCTCAGGTGATCTGCCTGCCTCGGCCTCCCAAAGTGCTGGGATTACAAGCGTGAGCCACCGAGCCCAACCAGAAAGAAGTTTAATGGACTTATATTTCCACCTGGCTGGGGAATCCCCAGCATCATGGCAGAAGGTGAAAGGCATGTCTCACATGGCAGCAGACAGGAGAAGAGAGATTGTGCAGGGAAATTCCCCTTTTTAAAACCATCAGATCTCATGAGACTTATTCACTATTACAGGAACAGCAAGGGAAAGACCCACTCCCATGATTCAATTACCTCCCACTGGATCCCTCCTACACCATGTGGGAATTGAAGATGAGATTTGGGTGGGGACACAGCCAAACCATATCATTCTGCCCCTGGCCCTTCTAAATCTCTTGTCCTCACATTTCAAAACCAATCATGCCTTCCCAACAGTCCCCCAAAGTCTTAACTCATTTCAACATTAACTAAAAAGTTCACAGTCCAATATCTCATCTGAAACAAGGCAAGTCCCTTCTGCCTATGAACCTGTAAAATCAAAAGCAAGTTAGTTACTTCTTACATACAATGGGGATACAGGCATTGAGTAAATACAGCCATTCCAAATGGGAGAAATTGGCCAAAACAAAGGGGCTACAGGCCCCATGCAAGTTTGAAATCCAGTGGGGCAGTCAAATCTTAAAGCTCCAAAATGATATATTTTGACCCTGTGTCTCACATCCAGGTCTTGCTGATGCAAGAGGTGGATTCCCATGGTTTTGGGCAGCTCCACTTCTGTGGCTTTGCAGGGTACAGCTTCCCTCCCAGCTGCTTTCACAGGCTGGTGTTGGGTGTCTGTGGCTTTTCCAGGTGCACGGTGCAAGCTGTCAGTGGATCTATTATTCTGGGGTCTGGAGGACGGTGATCCTCTTCTCACAGCTCCAATAGGCAGTGCCCTAGTAGGGACTCTGTGTGGGGGCTCTGACCCCACATTTCCCTTCTGCACTGCCTTAGCAGAGGTTTTCCATGAGAGCCCCACCCTGGCAGCAAACTTCTGCCTGGACATCCAGGCATTTCCATACATCCTCTGAAATATAGGTGGAGGTTCCTAAACCCCAATTTTTGACTTCTGTGCACTTGCAGGCTCAACACCACATGGAAGGTGCCAAGGCTTGAGGCTTGCACCCTCTGAAGCCACAGCCCGAGCTCTATATTGGCCCCTTTCAGCCATGGCAGGAGTGGCTGGGACTCGGCACTAAGTCGCCAGACTGCACACAGCATGGGGAGCCTGGGCCTGGCCCATGAAACCACTTTTTCCTCTGAGGCCTCCTGGCCTGTGGTGGAAGGGGCTACCATGAAGACTTCTGACATGCCCTGGAGACATTTTCCCCATTGTCTCGGTGATTAGCATTAGGCTCTTTGTTACTTATGCAAATTTCTGTACAGGGCTTGAATTTCTTCTCAGAGATGAGTTTTCTTTTCTATTGCATTGTGAGGCTGCAAATTTTCGGAACTTTTATGCTCTGCTTCCCTTATAAAACTGAATGACTTTAACAGCATCCAAGTCATCTCTTGAATGCTTTGCTGCTTAGAAATTTCTTCCATCAGATACCCTAAATCATCTCTCTCAAGTTCAAAGTTCCACAAATCTCTAGGGTAGGGGCAAAATGCCACCAGTCTCTTTGCTAAAATATATAAAGACTCAGCTTTGCTCCAGCTCCCAATAAGTTCCTCATTTCCATCTGAGACCACCTCAGCCTAGAATTTGTTGCCCATGTCACTATCAATATTTTTGTCAAAGCCATTCAACAAGTCTCTAGGAAGTTCTAAACTTTCCCACATTTTTCTCTCTTCTTCTGAGCCCTCCAAATTGTTCTAACATTTGTCTGTTACCCAGTTCCAAAGTTGCTTCCACATTTTTGGATATCTTTTCAGCAGTGCTCCACTCTACTGGTACCAATTTACTATATTAGTTTGTTTTCATGCTGCTAATAAAGACATACCTGAGACTGGGCAGTTTACAAAAGAAAGAGGTTTAGGCCAGGTGTGGTGGCTCACACCTGTAATCCCAGCACTTTGAGAGGTTGAAGTGGGCAGATCACCTGAGGTCAGGAGTTCGAGACCTGCCTGGCCAACATGGTGAGACCCCATCTCTACTAAAAATACAAAATTAGCTGGGTGCAGTGGTGCATGCCTGTAATCCCAGCTACTTGGGAGGTAGGAGAATAACTTGAACCCGGGAGGTGGAGATTGCGGTGAGCTGACATCGTGCCACTGCACTCCGGCCTGGGCAAAAAGAGCAAAACTCCATTTCAAAAAAAAAAAGTTTAATGGACTTACAGTTCCATGTGGCTGGAGTGGCTCCACAATCATGGTGGAAGGTGAAAGGCAAAAGGCATGTCTCATATGGCAGCAGACAAGAGAAGAGAGCTTGTGCAGGGAAATTCCCCTTTTTAAAACCATCAGATCTTGTGAGAGTTATTCACTATCACGAGAACAGCAGAGGAAAGACACACCCCTGTGATTCAATTACTTCCCACTGGGTCCCTCCCACAACACGTGCAAATTCAAGATGACATTTGGGTGGGGACATAGCCAAGGCATATCATATAGTATGTACTCCTTTTTGTCTGCCTTATTTTGCTCAGCATGTTTTTATGATTCATTCACATTGTTGTGTCTACCAGTAAGTAGTTCATTCTTTTTTTAACTCTTGACATAATTTTTTTTTTTAATTACTTTAGACCGCGGCCAGGCGCGGTGGCTCACGCCTATAATCCCAACACTTTGGGAGACCGAGGCAGGCAGATCACAAGGTCAGGAGATCGAGACCATCCTGGCTAACACAGTGAAACCCTGTCTCTACTAAAAAAATACAAAAATTAGCCGGGCGTGGTGGCGGGCGCCTGTACCGAGTCCCAGCTACTCAGGAGGCTGAGGCAGGAGAATGGCGTGAACCTGGGATGCAGAGCTTACAGTGAGCCGAGATCGCGCCACTGTGCACTCCAGCTTGGGTGACAGAGTGAGATTCCGTCTCAAAAAAAAAAGAAATTACTTTAGACCTACAGAAGAGCTACAAAAATAATTTAGAGAGTTCTCCTTTCCCCTCTCCTATGGTAACATCTTGCTTGACCATAGTACAATTATAAAAACTGAGAAATTAACACCAGTACAGTATTATTAGTTGAACTATGGACTTTGTTTTTTATCAGTTTTTCCACTAATGTCATCTTTTTATTCTAGGATCCAGTCCCGAATCGCATATTGCATTTAGTTGTCTTATCTCCTTAGTCTCTTCTAATCTGTGATTGTTCCTAAGTCTTCTCTTTCATTGCTATGACACTTTTTTTTTTTTTTCGAGATGAAGTTTTGCTCTTGTTACCCAGGCTGGAGTGCAATAGTGCAGTCTTGGCTCACTGCAACCTCCGCCTCCCAGGTTCAAGCAATTCTTGTGCCTCGGCCTCCCAAGTAGCTGGGGTTACAGGCATGCATCACCACACCCAGCTAATTTCTTGTATTTAGTAGAGATAGGGTTTCACCGTGTTGGTCAGGCTGGTCTCGAACTCCTGACTTCAGATGATCCACCCGCCTCAGCCTCCCAAAGTGCTGGGATTACAGGCATGAGCCACCATGCCTGGCCAATACTTTTTTAAAAAATAATTTTTTTTTTCTCTTTTGAGACAGTGTCTCACTCTGTTGCCCAGGCTGGAGTGCAGTGGTGCAATCATGGTTCATTGCAGCCTTAACCTCCCAGACTTAGGTGATCCTCCCATTTCAGCTTCCCAAGTAGCTGGAGATACAGGTGCAAGCCACCATGCCCAGATAACTTTTTCATTGTTTAGTAGTGACAGGGTTTCACCATGTCACTCAGACTGGTCTGGAACTTCTGGGCTCAAGCGATCTACCTGCCTTGGCCTCCCAAAGTGCTGAGACTACAGGTGTGAGCCACTGCACCCGGCGTTGCTTTGAGACTTTTAAAGAGTACTGGCTAGGTATTTTGTAGAATGTTCCACAACGTGGGTTTGTCTGCTTTGTGGTTCATAGAAAGCACCTTCTAGCTGTGTCCTTATGTGGTAGAAGTAGTAAGGGGTCTCTCTTAGGCCTCTTTTATAAGGGCACTAATCCCATTCACAAGTGCTCCGCCTTTATAAAAGAGGACACCAATCACTTCCCAGAAGCATCACTTCCTGACACCATCACATTGATGATTATATTTCAGCATATGAACTTTAAAGGACACAAATATTGAGACCATAGAATGAACTATAAAACTATCTGTCTAGCATAATCTATGAATTGGCTATTCTGGCAAACAGTATTTTGAGTGATATATAATTACCTTACAGCATAGATAGATTACTAGTTTTCAGAGTTAGAATGTAGTGAAATTCTTAGAATACAGTGATCCTAGGATTGATGCTTCTGAAGTGTCTGCATAGGACATCACATGTCAAACATAACATCTCAAAGTCGTGTTTTGGAATGGTGTGTTCATTGAGAGGTGGTTGTTGGCTCATGATCCTTATCACACTGTAAATTTGCCTAAATTTGTTCTGAGGAAACAGCTACATAGGGTTTCCTCAAAGTTCTTTTTTCTTGTTTTCAAATGTGGGAAATACATATGACTTCTTTTTGGAAAGGATGGGGGTTGGGATTTAGTCTTGGCAAATTGAGATATTTTCATAAGGAAACTCTGTTTTTGGTCTTCCTGAAGATGGCTACAGAAGACCTTCTTTGGGGAGAGGGGTTTTTTGATTTTTCAGCTTTTTAATGGTTCCTATTAATAGATAAGAAAATTTACTTTGAATAATGATGTTTTGAGAATCCTGTTTTTTATGTTAAATGCTGGAGTTGATAGAATTAGTGGTAAATAATTATTTAAAACTTTGATGTCACTAATGAATGAGGAAGAGGGTAACTGAAGCAAAAATATATATGTGGACTGTAGGAATGTTAAGCTGAATATATAATAATTCTAAACTTGTAAACTTCTAATTTTTCTTTTTTTTTTTTTTAATTTTTATTTTTTTTTTAAATTTATTTTTTTATTGATAATTCTTGGGTGTTTCTCACAGAGGGGGATTTGGCAGGGTCATGGGACAATAGTGGAGGGAAGGTCAGCAGATAAACAAGTGAACAAAGGTCTCTGGTTTTCCTAGGCAGAGGACCCTGCGGCCTTCCGCAGTGTTTGTGTCCCTGATTACTTGAGATTAGGGATTTGTGATGACTCTTAACGAGCATGCTGCCTTCAAGCATCTGTTTAACAAAGCACATCTTGCACCGCCCTTAATCCATTTAACCCTGAGTGGACACAGCGCATGTTTCAGAGAGCACAGGGTTGGGGGTAAGGTCACAGATCAACAGGATCCCAAGGCAGAGGAATTTTTCTTAGTGCAGAACAAAATGAAAAGTCTCCCATGTCTACTTCTTTCTACACAGACACGGTAACCATCCGATTTCTCAATCTTTTCCCCACCTTTCCTGCCTTTCTATTCCACAAAGCCGCCATTGTCATCCTGGCCCGTTCTCAATGAGCTGTTGGGCACACCTCCCAGACAGGGTGGTGGCCGGGCAGAGGGGCTCCTCACTTCCCAGTAGGGGCGGCCGGGCAGAGGCGCCCCTCACCTCCCGGACAGGGCGGCTGGCCGGGCGGGGGGGCTGACCCCCCCCACCTCCCTCCCGGACGGGGCGGCTGGCCGGGCGGGGGGCTGACACCCCCACCTCCCTCCCGGACAGGGCGGCTGGCCGGGCAGAGGGGCTCCTCACTTCCCAGTAGGGGCGGCCGGGCAGAGGCGCCCCTCACCTCCCGGACGGGGCGGCTGGCCGGGCGGGGGGCTGACACCCCCACCTCCCTCCCGGACGGGGCGGCTGGCCGGGCAGAGGGGCTCCTCACTTCCCAGTAGGGGCGGCCGGGCAGAGGCGCCCCTCACCTCCCGGACAGGGCGGCTGGCCGGGCGGGGGGGCTGACCCCCCCCCACCTCCCTCCCGGACGGGGCGGCTGGCCGGGCGGGGGGCTGACACCCCCACCTCCCTCCCGGACGGGGCGGCTGGCCGGGCGGGGGGCTGACCCCCCCACCTCCCTCCCGGACGGGGCGGCTGGCCGGGTGGGGGGGCTGACCCCCCCATCTCCCTCCCGGACGGGGTGGCTGGCCGGGCTGAGGGGCTCCTCACTTCCCAGTAGGGGCGGCCGGGCAGAGGCGCCCCTCACCTCCCAGACGGGGCGGCTGGCCGGGCGGAGAGCTGACCCCCCCACCTCCCTCCCGGACGGGGCGGCTGGCCGGGCGGGGGGCTGACCCCCCCACCTCCCTCCCGGACGGGGCGGCTGGCCGGGTGGGGGGCTGACCCCCCCATCTCCCTCCCGGACGGGGTGGCTGGCCAGGCTGAGGGGCTCCTCACTTCCCAGTAGGGGCGGCCGGGCAGAGGCACCCCTCACCTCCCGGACGGGGCGGCTGGCCGGGCGGGGGGCTGACCCCCCACCTCCCTCCCGGACGGCACGGCTGGCCAGGTGGGGGGCTGACCCCCCCACCTCCCTCCCGGATGGCACGGCTGGCCGGTCGGGGGGGCTGACCCCCCACCTCCCTCCCAGATGGGGCGGCTGGCCGGGCGGGGGGTTGACCCCCCCCTACCTCCCTCCCGGACGGGGTGGCTGCCGGGCGGAGATGCTCCTCACTTCCCAGATGGGGTGGCTGCCGGGCGGAGAGGCTCCTCACTTCTCAGACGGGGCAGCTGCCGGGCGGAGGGGCTCCTCACTTCTCAGACGGGGTGGTTGCCAGGCAGAGGGTCTCCTCACTTCTCAGACGGGGCGGCCGGGCAGAGACGCTCCTCACCTCCCAGACGGGGTCTCGGCCGGGCAGAGGCGCTCCTCACATCCCAGATGGGGCGGCGGGGCAGAGGCGCTCCCCACATCTCAGACGATGGGCGGCCGGGCAGAGACGCTCCTCACTTCCTAGATGTGATGGCGGCTGGGAAGAGGCGCTCCTCACTTCCTAGATGGGATGGCGGCCGGGCGGAGACGCTCCTCACTTTCCAGACTGGGCAGCCAGGCAGAGGGGCTCCTCACATCCCAGACGATGGGCGGCCAGGCAGAGACACTCCTCACTTCCCAGACGGGGTGGTGGCCGGGCAGAGGCTGCAATCTCGGCACTTTGGGAGGCCAAGGCAGGCGGCTGGGAGGTGTAGGTTGTAGTGAGCCGAGATCACGCCACTGCACTCCAGCCTGGGCACCATTGAGCACTGAGTGAAGGAGACTCCGTCTGCAATCCCGGCACCTCGGGAGGCCGAGGTTGGCGGGATCACTCGCGGTTAGGGGCTGGAGACCGGCCCGGCCAACACAGCGAAACCCCGTCTCCACCAAAACCAGTCAGGCGTGGCGGCGCGTGCCTGCAATGGCAGGCACTCGGCAGGCTGAGGCAGGAGAATCAGGCAGGGAGGTTGCAGTGAGCCGAGATGGCAGCAGTACAGTCCAGCTTCGGCTCCGCATGAGAGGGAGACCGTGGGGAGAGGGAGACAGAGGGAGAGGGAGAGGGAGAGGGAGAGGGAGAGGGAGAGGGAGAGACCGGATCATTTTAAATACAGTTTTTGTTTGTTTGTTTTTGCAGGGGGTGGGTATGGGTACAGTGGTTCACTCCTGTAATCCCAGCACTTTGGGAGGCTGAGGCGGGAGGATAACCTGAGGTCAGGAGTTCCAGACCAGCCTGGCAAAACCCCATCTCTACCAAAAAATATAAAAATTAGCCAGGTGTAGGCCGGGCGCGGTGGCTCACGCCTGTAATCCCAGCACCTTGGGAGGCCGAGGCGGGCGGATCACAAGGTCAGGAGATCGAGACCATCCTGGCCAACACAGTGAAACCCCGTCTCTCTAAACTTCTAATTTTTCAAAAGTTAATGATACGGATTTTGCTAAAGGTGTTACTGGGTACTGTGGGAGAGTTGGTTGTTGGGAGTTTGTTGAGAGTTGAGAGTAGTTTGTTAAAAGAGAAATTGATGGCCTTTCTTGTATTAAAATGTTTCTTATTTTGCTTACAGTTTGGTAATCATTTGGTAATCATTTATTTCCCCAATGAAGTGTGTCACATAGTGTTCAGTAACATAATCCATTCTGATGGGAGCTTCATTATCTTCATCTCATCTAAATGCCAGCCTAATGCCACAAATATTTTTCAGAGAAGATTCCTTTATCACCAATTATCCCCATAATTGAAGCCAGCTGTGTATCGGTTTATTTGCAGGATTTCTATGTAAGACTAACATTTGTATATAGAACAGAACAAAATATGCAAAAATCTTGTTTATTGACAAAAGTAATTTTGCCTGGTTGTCTTGAACCTAAATCAGTATTAATCCTGAATCTACTACCCATAGAATGCCAGTATTTGTATTTAGCTCCTTATGTCTGTATTGTTGTAGATTAACACTTTATTTATCTAATGAGATTATGTACATTAATTATGCTTTAACTACAGTTAACCCTTGAATAATACAGCAGCTAAAGGCACTGGCTCCCATGCAATCGAAAACCTCAACTCTCCCCACTGGCTGAGGCAGGTGGATTGCTTGAAGCCAGGAGTTTGAGACCAGCCTGGGGAACCTAATGAGACCCTGTCTCTATAAAAACTTCTCAGAAATTACCCAGACATGATGGTATGTGTAGTTCCAGCTACTTGGGAGACTGAGATGGGAGGATCACTTGAGCCCAGGAGTTTGAGGTTTCAGTGAGCTGTGGTCATGCCACTGCACTCCCTCCTGGGTGATACATCAAGACCTTGTCTCCAAAAAAATAAAAATAAAAAATCCGCATATAAGTGGACCTGTGCAGTTCAAACCCGCATTATTCAAGTCAGCTGTAGTTTGTCTGTCGAGTACAGATGAGTTTATATATGAAAGTCATGTTTAGAATCTAGATAGTACTGAATCATATGTGTTAGCTTTACCACTGGCCAAGAGTGGACTATGTTTTTTTGTTTGTTTTTTAGTTTTTTAGACGGAGTCTCGCTCTGTCACCCAGGCTGCAGTGCAGTGGCATGATCTCTGCTCACTGCAACCTCCGCCTTCCAGGTTCAAGCGATTCTTCTGCCTCAGCCTCCTGAGTAGCTGGGACTACAGGCATGCACCACCGCGCCCTGTTAATTTTTGTATTTTTTGTAGAGATAGGGTTTCACCATATTGACGAGGCTGGTCTCGAACTCCTGACCTTGTGATCTGCCCACCTTGGCCTCCCAAAGTGCTGGGATTACAGATGTGAGCCACTGCATCCGGCCAACTATGTTTTATATAAAAAATACCTGCCAAGCCTATTTACAATTCCTCTTTCACCCCAAATTACTTTAGCGACGTTCTTTGCACATGATATGTATCAGGATTTGGCCCTTTGCATTTTGACTTCCTCTGCGGGTATGTGTTTTTCTTTTCCCTTTTTTCGAGGCCTCTTTCTCCCTTAATTAGACCTGTCGGGTGCTCTAGTTTCCTAATTTATTAAGTTGCCCTCATGTATATACTTTCTATACCCCAGGTTTTTCATTTGTGGTCCTTATCTGAGCACACAGTCTTTTTTAGCCTTTTTATGGTTAAGTGACCTACACAGATGAGTCAGGCTAACCCCAGGACAAAACAAGCTTAAAAAGATCTTGAAAGCCAATCTAAGATTAGGTCTTTGGACCTGGGACAGAGCAAGAAAGTTGTTTTTAATCAAACTATGCACTCTCCACAAAATGAAGGGACTAATCTATACTATTTCTGAATTTGGTTTCTTTGGTTTTATTTGCATAGACAACTGCTAAAAGTGTTATATTGCTGAATTTGTTGTTACCAACAGTGGACAATGGAGTGAAAATAGAAAACAGAATTGGTAAATTTCAGGCTGTTCAGTGCTTGTTTTTTTTCAAATGGCAAATAGGCATAAACAGACTAGTGATTTCCATTAGTATTGTTACTTAGTTTTATAATACTAAATCCAGAAATCTAGTTCTGAGGCTTCAAATGAGAAATTCTTTTCCGAGTAAATGAGTGACATAAAGTCCTTAACATTATCTCCTCGTGGTTACAGATCAGCATCTGACAGACTGCTAATCTGCAAAATGTGGTTTCTTCAAGAAGCAGAATGCTAGCCAGCAGCTGTTAAGTGAGAGTAATCTGAGTGTAAGAAGTGATTTTTTTTTCTTTCCATCATCTTTCCACGCCACCACAATGGTGCACATGAACGACTTGGCTGATGCCCTCAAGAGCATCAGCAATGTCGAAAAGACAGGCAAACGCCAGGTTCTTACTAGGCTGTGCTCCAAAGTCATTGTCTTTTTTTTTTTTTTTAACTGTGACAATGAAGCATGGTTCCATTGGCGAATTTGAAATCATTGATGATCACAGAGCTGGGAAAATTGTAGTGAACCTCACAGGCAGGCTAAACAGGTGTGGAGGGATGAGTCCCAGATTTGATGTGCAACTCAAAGATCTAGAAAAATGGTAGAGTAATCTGCTTCCATCCTGCCAGTTTGGTTTCATTGTACTAACTATCTCAGCTGACATCATAGACCGTGAAGAAGCAAGACGAAAATGCACAGGAGGGAAAATCGTAGGATTCTTTTTCTAGAGATGTAATACATATTTACAAATAAAATGCCTCATGGAAAACAAAAAGTTATTTTTTAAAAAAAGGGAGAATAATCCTTTTTCTGTTAAATTATATTAAATATATTAATTATATTAAATATAATTACATTAAATTTAATTATTAAATTATATATTAATATTAAATATAAGTCCCATACATTCCAACTTTAGACCTAGTCTTACTTTTATCCTTACTCTAGAGGTTATGTGGTTGGTGGAAAAAAACCTCATGGTGTGGTAGACCTGGGTTGGATCCCAGCTCTGCCTTGTACTAGCTCTTGACCACCAGCATTGTTACTTAACCTATGTCTCAGTTTCTTCATTTAATTTTTTTAAAAGGTGGGGGGAGGGGCGGTGTGGCAGGGATAAACTTTTGGTGTAAGGTTTAATTGCAGTAGTGTACATGAAATGACTAGTGCAGTGACTAGTGCACTCTTTGTCTGACTGGTGATACCAAGGTATTAATATACTGAAACTTGAGCTGAAAGGGAAAAAATCTGAGGAATAAGGAGAAAAATACCAATATTGACCTTATTTACACTTCTATATATTATGGAAAAACCTGGCTTGCTTGGTAGATGGCAGTGGAATATTTAATGCTCTTTTCTGTGTGTTTAAGTATTGCAAATGATCATGAACTTAATAGAAAGTTAAAGCTCTTTTTTGAGCAGCTGAATGACAGGGTATTTTGGCAACAGAGCATGTTTCCATGAGCATGTTTACCAGTGTGCTGAAGGAAATAGATTTTGGACAACAGGTCCTTCTTTAAATTAAAAAAAAAAAAATTCTTTATGACAGAGGTGTCATTATGCTTCTAATAGATGCAAGGAGAGTTACTTGCCTTTTTGAAACAATAAGAAAGGAAGAAATAGTTAATGTTTGCAGTTGCACGAAAGAGTAAATGTGGTAAATTTCATGAAGTTAACACAAAAATTATACATGTAGAATTATTAAATTTCCAGAAGTCTTAACCCCAAGGAAGACTAGAGCAACATAATGGTAGAAAGTGGGGGGATGAGTTGTTAATATTTATTTAAGCCCTTCACAAATATAGAGTGACTCTTGGTTTAGGATTATGAAACTATAGTATTTCTAACTTGGCTTACTGGCTCATTTGGGAAATCATAATGACTTTTTTTTTCCCCCCCCAATTTCGAAGGCTTGAGTTTTTTGGCTCTCTTGTGACTCCTGGTGCTTGGAAATCCGGAAGGAGGTACATTCCAGTTTTTTTCCAGCTCCAGCACTTTAGATTCTGAGCCGTTTCAGTAAATCCAGCAATAAGCTCCTTATTTCTGTTATTTCAGAATCAGTGGATACCATGGCTAGTGTCCACTCCTTCGCATTTCTCTGAGAAATTTTCAGGAAGATAGAAATGAACATTTATTAAACGTACTAGAAAATGTACTTTATGTACAATGTACCTTTTAATCCTTACCACAGCCTGCTGAGGTAGGGATTACTAGCAACATTGTACAAAAATAAGGCCAGGCATGATTGCTCACAGGGGTAATCCCAGTGCTTTGGGAGGCTGTGAGCCCTTGAGCCCAGGAGTTCGAGATCCCTCTGTGCAACATAGTGAGACCTCATCTCTACAAAAAATAAAGATTACCAGGGTGTGGTACAGCAAACCACCATAGCACATGTTTACCTGTGTAACAAACCTGCACATCCTGCACGTATACCCTGGAACTTAGGAAAAAAAAAATATTAGCAGTGTGTGGTAGTGCATGCCTGTAGTCCCAGCTACTTGGGAAGCAGAGGGAGGAGGATGGTGTTAGCCAAGGAGTTTGAGGTTTTGGTGAGTTGTGATTGTGCCTCTATCCTGGGCTATAGAACAAGACCCTGTCTCAAACAAAAAGTCAAAAAATAAAAAAGGCTACTAAGTCAACAGATAAGATGACTTATATGTAGTGTAGGGGAAAGAAATATCTTTCCTTCCCATCTTAGGTTCATGGTTGCGGCCCCTATAAGAAAAGACAGATTAGTGAGAGAAAAGCATACAGATTTATTTAATGTAAGTTTTATGGGACACAGGAGCCTTCATAAGGAAATGAAGACCTGGAGAAATGAGTAAACCTGTGTGTTTTCTATGACAGGATTGATAAAGAAGTGGATAGTTGTAGAGAAGTATGGTTGGACAAAAGGGGGTATGATCTAATGGTGATAAACTGGGAGGAACTTAGTAAGCTCTGTTCATTCAGATTCTTTGCTGCGTCCCTGGGTCTTCAGAGGTAAGGATGTTCCTTTCCTCGTGGTATAAGGATGACACCTCTCAAATGAGAGTAGTATGACCTGCTTTAGGGGAAGGTGAGAAAAATTCTTCCTAGATTTTATGACTTCCTTCAGGGAAGAAGTCGGGAGGTGAGAGTGACCTTCCTGCTTCTGCTGTTTTCTCAAATGCCCAGGTATCATATTTTGGGTTCAGATGTCCTAAATCCTATCAGTAACTAGCAACAGATTTGTTAAAACTCATAGCTGGAATTTAAACTCAGGTCAGTTTCTATTTCTCATGCTGCTCCCAGCTTTCAGAACAGAAATTATCCAGTAACTCTAGATGAGATATCAATAAGAGACAAAAACCCATAAACAAAGAAGATCATCCTTAATTTTTTCCCCCCAAATGAAAACCCTGCCTGGGGCAAAACTGCATGTTTCTTTTGCAGTTGAATTGTAATCTTCCATCTTTAGAATACAGATAGAAACTGTGTTAAAACACAGTTTTTCTTTTGCTTAATTTTTAGAAATAATCTTAAAGCTTCGTTAAGCCTCAGGATTACTATATAAGTACTGTATTAGAAATGTTGTTAGAATTATTATTATTTTGAGACAGAGTCTTGCCCTGTCACCTAGGTGGGAGTGCAGTGGGGTGATCTCGGCTCACTACAACCCCCTCCTCCCGGATTCAAGCGATTCTGGCGCCTCAGTCTCCCAAGTAGCTGGGATTACAGGCGTCTGCCACCACGCCTG
Source organism: Homo sapiens (assembly GCF_000001405.40). Lineage (NCBI taxonomy): Eukaryota > Metazoa > Chordata > Mammalia > Primates > Hominidae > Homo > Homo sapiens. Next base: position 103,122,029 of record NC_000010.11, on the reverse strand, counting down.
GCTAATTTTTGTATTTTTAGTAGAGACAGGGTTGGCTAGGCTGGTCCAGGCTGGTCTTGAACTACTGACCTCAGGTGATCTGCCCTCCTCAGCCTCCTAAAATGCTGGGATTACAGGCTTGAGCCATCGTGCCTGGCCGAGAATTCTAAAATTAAATAGTGCATTTTTTTCTCAATTAAAAAATCTTAGGGGGATTGGAAATACATTTTAGGTCCCTCTCTTTTGAATTTTTCTGCCCTCCCCTCCTTTCTAGGCCATATCATTAGCCTCTGGGGAGTTATCCCAAACCTAAGCACTTGGCATTAACAAACCTCAAGTGTGGGAGAGGTGATGAATAAAGCTGTTAAGAGTACCGGGGAAGAAATTAAGAGAAACTAGCCTGTGATGTCAGTAAATCAGAGCATTATCTTGCTACTAGCAGAGGCATCTCAGGACCTTTGATCCCTGTCCTCTCGAACATAGTAGATGCACTCTGATCTTGTTTTATTGTTATTGGAATGGACTCAACTCACTTGACATTTAAGTGAACATTTTTTGGATGGTGTGTTTACTTGGACTAGAGTCCAGGGCCCTCATCATGTTTCTGTCAGCAATTGTATATCCTCACCAAACTTACTGGCATTGGAGGTGCTTAAATGAGTGAGAAAAACTATTTAAAGCAAGAAATATTATGCAGTATTGGTGTATTGTCACTACAGGCATCTCAAGTCCAGCATTAAAAAAATTTATGGTAAAATATATAGAATATAATATTACCATTTTAAACCATTTTCAAGTATACAATTCAATGGCATTAAGCACATTCACAAAGTTGCACAATGCTCACCACTATCCATTTCCAGAACTTTTTCATCATCCCAAACAGAAACTCCATACCCATTAAGCAATAACTCCCCATTCCCTCCACCCCTCAGTTGCTAGTAACCTCTAATTTATTTTGTCTCTATGAATTTGTCTGTTATAGGTATTTCATAAAAGTGAAATTATACAATACTTGTTTTGTGTCTGGCTTATTTCTTTTAGCATATTTTTTAAATTTGTCCATGTTATAGCATATATTACTTTTTGAGACTGAATAATATTCTACTGTAGGTATATACATTTGTTTATCTGTTCATCTGTTGATGGACATGGGGATTGTCTCCACCTTTTGGCTATTATGAATAGGCTGCTGTGAACATTGGTATTTAAGCATCTGTTTGAGTTCCTGCTTCCTGCTTTCAGTTGTTTTGGGTATATACCCAGGAATGGAATTGCTGGATCATAACGTAAATCTATGTTTAGCTTTTTAAAGAACTGCCAAACTGTTCTCTATAGTGGCTGTAACATCTTACATCCCCACCAGCAATACATGAATGAGAGTTCCAGTTTCTTCACATCTTGGCAATACTTATTTTCAGGTTTTTTGTTGTTGTTTGATAATACTCATTCTACTGGGTGTGAAGTTACGGTATCTTATGGTTTTGATTTCATGTTTCTCTAATGGCTGGTGATATTAAGCATCATTTCATGTGTTTATTTAGTCAGTTATATAACTTCTTTGGAGAAATATCAGTTTTTTAAAATTAGGTTTTTAAAATAACTGTGGAGTTACACATTCTGCATATTAATCTTTATATATTCTGGATATTAATCCCTCATCAGATACACAATTTGCAAATATTGTCTCTCATTCTGTGGGTTTTCTTTTCCCTCTCTTGATCATGGCTTTTGAGGCACAAAAGTTTTTAATTTTGAAGTCCAGTTTATCTGTTTTTTTCTTTTGTTGCCAGTGCTTTTTGCTGTCATAGCTGTGAAATCATTCCCAAATCCAATATAAGGAAGATTTTCTGCCATGTTTTCTTCTAAGAGTTTTATAGTTTTAACTCCTACATTTAGGTCTTTGATCCATTTTGAGTTTACTTCTTTTCTTTTCTTCCTTTTTTTTTTTTGAAACAGGGTCTCACACTGTCATCCAGGCTGGAGTGCAGTGGTGTGATCTCAGCTCACTGCAACCTCTGCCTCCCAGGCTCAAGTGATTCTCCCATTTCAGCCTCCCAAGTAGCTGGGACTATAGGCTCGTGCCATCATGCCTGGCTAATTTTTTTATTTTTTGTAGAAATGGGGTTTCACCATGTTGCCCAGGCTGGTCTCTAATTCCTGGACTCAAGCAGTCCACCAGCCTCAGCCTTCCAGAGTGCTGGGATTACAGGCATGAGACTGCAACTGGCCACGCCTTTTTTTTTGTTTAATGAAACCAATGACAATGTAAAAGTCTGTGCTTTAGCATTTCTTCTTAAAGAACGATGAAACTCTTTGATGAATTAAGATGGAAGATTAGCTGAGCTGAACTTACTATTGATAGCGTGTAAACTGGTTGCATCTATTTGGAGTTCTTACTGTGACGAGAGGTCTCTGAAAGGAATGTATTTGTTGAAAAGTCTTTGGTACAAAACAAGAAAGGTAACCTTTATCAAAAAGACCAAAGAAATTCTCATTGTCCTAGGTCATGAAATAATACTCAGGGCATCCTCCTCACAACTTGGAAAATATAGAACTTGTGCATTACCTCATCCCACTGGCTTCCAGATTATATGTGCAAGAGATATTTGTGTGAGGGAATGAGCACTTCTAAGTCAGTGAAAGCTACCAACCTGTATATACCCTCTGACTTTTTTTTGGAGACAAAATTTTGCTCTTGTTGCCCAGGCTGGAGTACAATGGCGCGATCTCAGCTCACCGCAACCTCTGCCTCCTGGATTCAAATGATTCTCCTGCCTCAGCCTCCTGAGTAGCTGGGATTTCAGGCATGTGCCACCATGCCTGGCTAATTTTGTATTTTTAGTAGAGATGGGGTTTCTCCATGTTGGTCAGGCTGGTCTTGAACTCCCCATCTCAGGTGATCCACCCATCTTGGCTTCCCAAAGTACTGGGATTACAGGTGTGAGCCACTGTGCCCGGCCCTCTGACTTATTCTTGAGAGATTTATCAGTTTGTGAATGGATCAAAAGCATACAACTGAAAATTAAAGAACAGAAAAATAGATGTAGTTTGACTTACTACATCTTAAAAATGCATTCATGATCTCCCTTAGTGATCTTTTTTCTTAAGAGTTTTTGGACTCTTGCCCTCCCCCACAAATAGGGTAGAATAAGAGAATAAGCTGAGTATTTAAACTAGGGTAACAGATAAAAAGAAAAAAAAAATTCCCTCTCCAAAAAGAGATGATCCCTTAAAAAACAAACAAACAAAAAAGATAATTGTGGTTAATAAAATTAATAAAAATAAATTAGAAAACATTCATAAAACTAAACAAAGTAAAAATCTAATCAGAATATATCATAAGGACTCAACCCCTAAAGGAGATTTGTGAAGATGAAATGTGATGATTTTGTCCAGGCATGGTGGCTTATTCCTGTAATTAATGCCAGCACTTTGGGAGGCCGAGGCAGATGGATTGCTTGCACCTAGGAGTCCAGGACCAGCCTGAGCAACATAACAAAACCGCATCTCTACAAAAAATGCAAAAATTAGTTGAGCGTGGTGCACGTCTGTAATCCCAGCTACTCTGGAGGCTGAGGTGGGAGAATTGCTTGATCCTGGGAGGCGGAGGTTGCAGTGAGCTGAGATTGTGCCACTGCACTTCAGCCTGGGCTACAGAATGAGACCTATCCAAAAAAAAAAAAAAAGGAAAAGAAATATGATAATTTCATGCTAGATTCATTGAATTGTATCAATGTTCTGATTAGACTAAACTGAACTTGACAAGGCCTATGGTGAATAGATTTACATAGCTGTTAGGTTCATTATTTATAGTTTTAACTATGAAGCAATAAATGATGAATAGACTATAAAGACTACTGTTATATAGGATTTATACTTTACTTTTTTTCCAAAAGGGATTTGAGGTGACTTGCAAAATTAAGCACATATAAAATGGGTCAAAAGACTAATTTTTTAAAATAAAGCACATAAGAAAATATGCTTCCAAATAGATATTATCCTTCATATAGTCACCTTATTAAGGAAAACTTACTCCAATATTGCTTTCTTAGACATTTTAGGAATTCTTTTGGAATTGTTTTCAGAGCCAGCTTATAAACTCAAAACCTGCTTTATTGTTCTACATAGTCATACTTTTTTTTTTTAAACCCAGCTCGTTTTCCCCATTTATTCATTAGTTGCTCCGAATAACCCTCACCTCAATTAAATTCATCACCTGTTGAGGAACAAACATGTGCCACCAGGGAGGATATCTAGAATAATGTGCTGTAGACGCTAAAAGTAATTTTAAAATAAGAATTTTCAATGTTTTGAGTAGTGGTTGCAATACTAGAATAAATACATATTGCTTCTGGATAAATACAATTGCTTCTGCATATTGTTTGTTGTTGTTGTTGTTTTGAGACAGGTTCTTGCTCTGTCACCCAGGCTGCAGCACAGTGGTGCAATTGTAGTTTACTATAACCTTGAACTACTGGGCTCAAGTGATCCTCTTACCTCAAACTCCTGAATAGCAAGGACTATAGGTGTATGCCACCATGGCTGGCTAATTTTTAAATTTTCTGTAGAGAGGGGGCCTTGCTGTGTTGCCCAGTTGGATCTTGAACTGCTGGGCTCAAGCAGTCCTCCTACCCCAGCCCCCAAAAGTGCTGAGACTGTTAAGTGTGAGCCATCACGCCCAGCCTGGTAGTGATTGTTTTGAATGGGTGAAGGCTCATTTCGATGTGTAAGTTCTATTATGTTTGTTTTTAACAGATATTATTACTCATATCTCATAATACAGTTTGATTATTTTCATTTCAGAATTCCATTTTTGTTTCTGTTATTTTGAGATAATTGTCTTTTAGAGAGAGACAGCTTATTTTGGAGCAAATCCATTGATCGTTAGGTAAAAATACTCGTCATTTGTAGTTTGTTTCTTTAACTGAACTAAGCTTTATTTAAACTAAGCTACTTTGGTGTCGTCCCTTATTTAAAAATTTTTCTCAGTGGTTACACTGTTTTATTTTCTTTGGCCCAATATATTACCTATCTCTTGCTCTGATTTTCCAAGAATATTAATACCTAATAATAATACCAGTACTATCTTACCAAAAGAACAATGCTGTTGGTAGAACAGGTTTTCTCATTAAGGCTATAATATTGACAACATAGTATAGTTACAATATTTCTGGGCTGGGCATCGTGTTTCATGACTGTAATTGCAGTGCTTTGGGCAGCCAAGGCGAGAGGATCACTTAAGGCCAGGAGTTCTAGACCAGCCTGGGCAATATGGTGAGACCCCATCTTTAAAAAAAAAAAAAAATTAGCCAGGTGTGGTGGTGGATGTTGGTAAGCCCCAGCTACTGGGGAGGCTGAGGCTGAGGAGGAGGATTGCTTGAGCCTAGTAGTTTGAGGATACAGTGAGCTATGATCATGCTAGGGCATTCCAGCCAGGATGGCAGAGCAAAAAAAAAAAAAGAAAAAAAAAAAAGAAAAAAATCTGAAGCAGCCCTTAATTTGGAAGCCTCTTCTAACTAATTGCTGATAAAAGACTTCGAGTATTGCATGGACCTCTAAGTGGGGAGGAAATTTAAGCAGTAATTAAAGGAACAACTCAACTAGTTAATAAAATAATTCTGTATGTGTGATACATAATACTTGTGTACACTTCTGCTATTTAAAATATTTTATGAAAGAACAATGTTAAAACTTTCTGATTTGATAAAATTTATTAAGTTGGGTGAGAATAAGTTAGGGAAGATGGATGAAACAAAAATCCAAAATAGCAAAAGTTGTTAAAGCTGTGTGATGTGTTTAAAGCAGCTCATTACATATTTCCTCTACTTTTGTATGTATGAGTAAAAATATCCTTAATAATATTAAATTTAAAAATCATGTGGCAGAAACTAAAAAAATACCAATAAAATGGTTTTTTTAAAAAGGCATTTAAATGTTAAGGTCCTTTAGTCTTTTCATTTCCATTTGAGATATTATAGTCCTTGTTATTTTAGCTGCTATTATTTTTCTTAAACTTCAGAATTTCTTACACTACCTTCCTCAGGAAATAAAGTACTGTCTACAGTCAGGCAGTGTTTTTGAGGTGGTCCCTCCATGTTAGGAAATAATTTAAAAGAAATAATACTTCAGTGCATTATCTTACTTGTAGATGAAAGGCCTTTGTATTCATTGAGATAAACACCCTCAATACTATTATTTTTAGATATATATATTACATATGAAATATATGGCATATTTTAGGTGTATATTATTTACTTCTTAGACAACTTTTTAATATATGAGTCTATACTTAGTTTCCAAGCTTTGATTCCCTTTATGTCAAGTCTGTATCCCAGTTAAAGTTTTCACTAATATTAAATTAATCTCTCTGAATTGCAGTAATACTTGGTTTGTTTCTAGATTAGGAAATTTAAAAGATTGCTTAATAAAACCCATTTCATCTCCATTACATGGTAAGTGATAGAAAGAATCAATTACTAGTGTTTATGATCTTTACTTTTTATTGCCAATTATAAAAGCATTCAAATGTAGGCCAGATTTTTTGTGTGAATAAATGTCATGTAATAATATTAGTGGCATCAGTGAAGTTATTAAGATGAATTTTTCGCTCCCAGCATCCAGGCTATTTTCTTTTTTTTTTATTCTGGAGACGGAGTCTTGCTCTGTCACCCAGGCAAGAATGCATTGGCACAATCTCGACTCACTGCAACCTCCGCCTCCCGGGTTCAAGCAATTCTCCTGCCTCAGCCTCCTGAGTAGCTGGGACTACAGATGCACACTGCCATGCCCGGCTAATTTTTTTGTATTTTAGTAGAGACGGGGTTTCACTGTGTTGCCCAGGCAGGTCTGGAACTCCTGAGCTCAGGTAGTCCACCTGCCTCGGCCTCCCAAAGTGCTGGGGTTATAGGCGTGAGCCACCGCGCCCAGCCAAAGGCTATTTTCAACATGACTAAACTTGTTTTCAGCATACTTCTAACATAATAGCTACCTTTGATTCATTATCTCCTTTCTGCTTACACATTCTCTGGATGTTTGTTTTATCATGCAGATAATGGCCAATGAGGAAAGGACAAATGATAATGGAATTAAGTTGTATAGCAAAGATTTAGGTTAAACCTTATGAATAAGACACTAATACTGTAGTTGGTTACCTAAGCAGATCATGAGGATGTTGTGATTCTGTCACTGGGAACATTTGTTCGGTTTTGATAATCTAGTGAAGAAATCAGATTCAGACGATTATAGGGGTCCACATCAAGTTACCACATAGAGGTTCTTTTATTTTCTGTTTTTAATCCACTTCCTCCGTTTTTTCTTGGGATGAATAGACTGACAGTATTACCCAGAATACTTTATGTTATTAAAGAATGAATGTATTTCCATCTAGATTTCCAATTCATTAAGTACCTAAATTCTATTTATTTCCTTAAGACTCTTTGAAGAAGGTAGTCAAACACTTCAATTAAATGGGATAGATAATGTATGTGGAAGTATATGACCTAAAGTATAGGCTAGAGGTGCACACTGTTGGCCCATGGACCCAACTTAGACCACAGACCATAGTTTGGCTGAAAGAGTTTTTGTTTATTTAATTGGGTCAGTATTTTTATTTTTATTTTTTATTTATTTATTTATTTTTGAGACAGAGTCTCGCTCTGTCACCCAGGCTGGAGTGCAGTGGCGTGATCTCAGCTCACTGCAACCTCCGCCTCCCTGGTACCAGTGATACAGGCACGTGCCACCACGACAGGTGTGCGCCACCACACTCGGCTAATTTTTTTTGTTGTTGTATTTTTTAGTAGAGACAGGGTTTCACCATATTGGCCAGGCTGGTCTCGAACTCCTTACCTCGTGATCCGCCCACCTTGGCCTCCCAAAGTGCTGGGATTACAGGCGTGAGCCACCAAGCCGGCCTAATTGGGTCAGTGTTATACAGTTGAGAGACTACAGGTAAAAGTCTAGGTTGGCTGTTATCACGCAATTGGGAACATTTGGCTCCCATTCCCTCAGGGAAGTCAGCTACACTTGAGTAGCCACTTCCTCCTCTAGACAAGATGTGCACCCTCATGTATCCCACTTCACACATTAATTCACTTGCCTAGTCTTGACATAGATGTTTGTAATGTATTAGTTGAATCTGAATTTCAGAGAGTTGTCAGGTAAACTTTATAGTACCTTGAGAAATTGGTTATAAAAATGAGTTATCTGTATAAGCCTGAATAAGTCAGACATAAATCATGCATAGGTTTTAAGAAGACTTCCTGGGCTGGATTGATTGGTCCTCTTTTTGTCTCTCTATACTTTCTTAGTCATTTGATTAGTCTTAGTTATTGATCTCCTAAAACTTATTATAAATATCTAAATGTATATCCCCTCTAATATGCCATGAGCTATAAGCTCTTTCACGGCCCAGGATCATACATTATTTTGTTTCTTCTTCTCAGCTTCTAGTACCTGGTACACTGTAGGTATCCAAATGTTTGTTAAATTCTTCTAACTTTAGTATAGGCATTTGAGTGCTGTGATCTGTTTTTATTTTTGAAAAAAAAAATATTAGCTATTTCTGTTTTTGTATTACAAGCAGCTCCTTTGGTTAAAGACGATTTTTAAAAGTTATTTCAATAATTTTCAATTTTTCTGTCTTAAATTGAAAACAGTACTGAAAATACAAGATATTTGTAAGTGTTCAGATTCTCAGATGGAATATTTTTGAAGTAGGTATTTTTTTCATTTTATTTAAAAATATTCTTCTAATATTCTTAGTATTTTTTAAACAAATAACTCTTAATTACCATTTAATTTTGCATTTGCTTGCAATAAACTGAAATTGGCAGTTGCTCAAACTCCACTTTACTTATTTACACATCTAGTTATTTGGGAATGTGTTTTACTTTGTATTACTAAAAGTATTGCTATGATATCTAGCTGTTTTAAGTAAATTAAAATTGAGGCCATTTTAGGAAATTTGCTTTGAAAATTTAGAAAGATATGAAAATATCTTTTTTAGGTCATTTGTGATCTCTTAGGTTAGAGATAGGATTTTTGCCTGTGTCTATTTAATGTGTTAGGAGGATTTTCATATAGTTTTGGAAAATGGAAAAAAGTCCTTGGGCATTTGTTTATATGATAATTGGAAAGATCTCACTTAAAATTTTCTCAGAGAAAAATGTGCGTTATCACCTTTTCTAGTTAGAGGCTTAGAGAACCAACATCATGTAGCCTACAGCTAAATAGATGAGCATGTTGATGTTGATCATTCTTATAACATAAAAGCAAATGACTATTCTTGGGTGGTTGGGTTGCATTTTTGGTTTTCATTGTGACTGTTGGTAGTGTTGTAATGCTTTTAGGACTTTTAGACATTGCATCTGGTCATTTCTGCTCTTCGGTTGAGTACCCCAAAAATCCAAGAATTGGAGGAGCCCAGTGACATGTTTTCAAAAACCTAAATGTCTCTAGGGAAAATGACTCCCTATAAAGTTAAACATAATGCATATCTTTAAAGTGTCAGTATATTTAATGGATTATGTATCTTCAACTCAGTTATTTTACTAGACTAGGTAGTTTCTTTTAACTTTATAGAGTATAAATTGGCTTACTAAGGGCAGATTTCCACTGACAATCAAAATTTAAAAATTTCCTTCCATTCCAAATTTAGATATCTGGTTAGATTTTTAGCAGTGTGCAGTTGATTCTAGTCATCTTGATAATGATGACTAGAATCTTGATAATGACTAACCTAGTAGTTAGGTATAGGTAGACTCAGCTAAAATGGGTACTTGGAAGCAAGATGAGGCCACTCTGGTATTTGTATCCTTTATTCAGTCTGTTTCACTACCCATAGTTTAATTTTAAACACCATTTGCCAGCTGTATTCAGTTTCTATCGTGTTAGCCTGAAATGTGCTAGAGAAAATAAACTAAGACCAATAGACTTATTTTTCTGTTTGTCTTTCGACTTAACATTTTAGGATCAGACTTGGCTTGTATTCCAGACTCAGGGTGCCAGAAAAGTAAATAATACACAATAATACTTAGGCTTATCTTCAATACCCTTGTTTTGTTATGGCCAATTAGGCTAATTTTAGTGATGGTCAGAGGCTTCTAAATTGGAGGGCAGTAGTAACTCCTGTAAATACCAATTTCCAAATGGTATCTCTCTGTTCCAGCCCATCACAACAGTTTTAAAACCAGCTTTTGTTTTTGTTTTTGTTTTGTTTTGTTGCTTTTTGTTTTTTAACAGGAGAGCCAGTGTAACTCCTTCAAGACTGGAGTGACACACACTGCATCTGCATCTGCCTCATGTGAGTTCTCATTTTGGCAGCAGCACTCTGCTAGGCTGGAACCTCTGTAGAGGTTTGCCCTTTATTTTTCTAAATCTATAAATTACTACATAGTGTGTCTTGGTGGCAATGGTAAAAAGTGCATGAGAATTCCAAACTTCTCTGCAGAAAGTTTTCTGCTCATTCCAAAGGGACTTTGTCCTTTAATATGTATTCTATCTTGTATGAACAGCATCTACTCAAAACAGAGCCCACAACTTTCATCCTGAAAACATAGTTATTTTTTGAAGAACTGTTTTTTCCTTGCAGATTATGGAGTAAAGAATATCTTTAAATGCTCTCAGTAACTTCAACTTTCAAAGCGTTGGTTGTTTTCTTTATAGTCTAATTATGTAACCTGAGAACACTGTGTGCTGTCCTAGTGGCTGAAGCAGTCCTCCTTTTGGGACTCTAGCCCTTAAAATAGCTTCTTCCTTTGTCTTCCGATATTGAGTAACTAGGGGTAGGCCAGAGTACCTTCTGGGAGAAGAAATAAGCAGATATTGTGTGAAGTTATGTTTACTCTGAAGCTATTGCCTGGGTTTTGGAACCACAGAAAGTCAATTGTGAGAGTTGAGCTTGAAGCTGTGCATCATTTACTTGCCACAGTTGTGGGAGAGAAATTGAAATTAGAGCCTTTGCAGCTGTGGAGAGGCATAAAGCTCTAAGTCTGAGGAGATATATGTGGTTTCCTATAAATATCTGAGGCTGGCTTTGTAGGGCCTGGTTGATTAAAAAAGGAATTTTATTTTTTATATTTTACTTTTATTTTTAAAGGAATGGCAGTACTTAGCTTCAGGAATTTTTGCCACCAGGTCACAATAAATATGTTTATCACTGAGGGACACTTAGAATAAAACATCTAAATTCATGCTCTGTGTGGCTGCAATTCTGCGTCTCCAACCTTGGTTGTACTATATAGCAGATAATTTAATGACCAAGGAGTTTGTGTTGCTGAAATGATTATCTGGGAAAATCATTTGTGATTATCTGGGAAAACTGACATTTTCTCATAAGCTTGTAGGTCTTACTGATTAATAGAGCTTGATGAAATAGTGTTGTCAGGGTAGAACTTGGACTCTCTTTATTAAATCCATTCCCACTTGTGAGTAGAGCAGTTTATTTTGGACTAGTTGAAAAAAATTGGAGGGAGAAGTGTATGTTTCAACACCCAAGCTTAAGTTTTGATGGCTTATGTAATCTAGAAATTCACTTTTTGCAGTGGTAGTATATATACCCTATCACAAAGAGCTTTTGTTTGTTTGCTTTTTGAGATGAAGTCTCACTCTGTTGCCCAGACTGGAGTGCAGTGGTGCAGTCTTGGATCACTGCAACCTCCGCCTCCTGGGTTCAAGCATTTCTCCTGCCTCAGCCTCCTAAGTAGCTGGGACTGCAGGTGCGAGCCACCACGCCCAGCTAATTTTTGTGTTTTTAGTAGAGACGGGGTTTCGCCATATTGGCCAGGGTGGTCTCAAACTCCTGACCTCAAGTGATCCACACGCCCCGGCCTCCCAAAGTGCTGGGATTACAGGTGTAAGTGCTGGGATTACAGGTGTGAGTTACCACTCCTGGCCTTACAAAGAGCTTTTGGAGACTCAAAGAGACCTAAATTTTGGCTTCAGCTGATGTTTGTACTTGCTATATAACTTCACGTCAGCAAATGGGGAAGATATATCATATTTTTAGGAAGTACTCTGAGTTCATTGAGAAAAAGGAAATTTAAAGTATTTCCATAGGTGGAATTTCTAGAAAGTCACTTCGGTTGAACACTTGGGAAATTCTGCCCTGCCAATAAATATAATGTGGCAAGTATAGTGTTTTTATTTTCTGCTATTCTAGGATTTGTGCTGTCAAAATGGGGATTTGAGACTTTTTCTCTCCTGTATTGTTTTTCACTGAAAATTATGAGTACATTAATTTGTGCTTCAAATCCAAATTGTCTCATAGACATAGGTTTTACTCGATAGTCACTCCATTGCTCTATAGTTACCTAATTTCTCTAGCTGGAGAAATTGCTGATTTAGGGGTGAGTGTGGGTGGGAGTAATTAAGGTTTGTTTTTTGTCTCCCACTCTTAAGGCATATCCAGCAAATTGTCCTTCTGAAAAAATTAACAATTGAAAACATTTTATATGGACCAAATCCTGTAAGAATAAATGTCAGTAGATTACCCAAATTACTTAGCTATACTGGAACTTTATTTCATTAAATACAGTTTGAAATAAATGGGGCCTTGGTTAGGATTGAGAAATAATTTTTGTTTTATGGAGATTGTACTAAAATGAGATTTACTTGCAACTGGGGTGGGAGCATGGGGCATTGAGGAGGGTAAGGTGAGAGTGGTTATACTTATAACAAATTTACAACAGTAGGTGCCATGCCTTATGGTTTTATGATACACCAGCTCTTACTCTATTAGTGTATATAGCACTTTATTTTTTTATCCACAGTGTACATCATATAGATTTAGGAATTCCACACTTAAGTCTTCAACAAGTTTTTTTTAGGGGGATGGGAGAGGATGAGGCAGGATTTAAGGGGAAGAAGGTAATATAGCCAGTTTTGAAAATGTTAGCCATGGCTGGGCATGGTGGCTCAGCCTGTAATAGCAGCACTTTGGGAGCCCGAGGCAGGCGGATCACTTGAGGTCAGGAGTTCGAGACCAGCCTGGCCAACATGGTGAAACCCCCGTCTCAACTAAAAATACCAGGTGTGGTGGCGGGCACCTGTAATCCCAGCTACTTGGGAGGCTGAGTCATGAGAATCGCTTGAATCTGGGAGGCAGAGGTTGCAGTGAGTCAAGATCACGGCCACTGCACTCCAGCCTGGGCAATGGAGCGAGACTCTGACTCAGAAAAAAAGAAAAAGAAAAAGAAAAAAAAAAGTTAGCCAGGGTTAGCATTGGCATTAAATTATTATTACCCTTGTGACAACAAAAGAAATAAAGATGGTTTTTTTCTTTTGGCATTGTTCTGATGAGACTCAAAAGACCTTAAAAGGCTTCTGGTTTTAAAATCTGACAAATATTTATTAAAGGATTTTGAAAGCCCAGCTTGCTTTTTAAAAACTTCAGTTTAATTTTAAAAATAGATATACATTAATGTAAGTTTTAAAGGTACAAGAAGTACATGACAGTTTCCTTCCCTGTCTCTTAAAGGCCACTCAGTTCCTTTCCTACGTGGCAACTAGTATTACTGTTATATATTTCCAGAAATATTCTAAAGGATTGTTTTTGGAAAGGGAAAGTTGAATCACACTCATTAAAGTATTAGCACCAACTTGGATAGGTAGACTAATTGCAATGAAAAATCAGTTTGCGCCAAAAGCTAAAGATGTTAATAGTAGATGGAAGAACTATAATAATAATAGTTGCATTATTATGAGATTACAAGAATAGGATGGATATTTTTGCCTCATTTGGCATTTAGCAAGCTAGCAGGTCTTTTTAGCTGTTATTTTTAATATGGCTTACTCACTCCTGGAGACTGATGGAAAGATGCTTACCTAAATATTTCATTTGGAAGAAACCTATTTAAAGGAGCAACATTTTCTTTTCTTTTCTTTTTTTTCTTTTTGAGACAGTCTCACTCTGTCGCCAAGGCTGGAGTGTAGTGGCACGGTCTCGGCTCACTGCAGCCTCCACCTCCTGGGTTCAAGCGATTCTCCTGCCTCACCCTCCCGAGTAGCTGGGATTACAGGTGCCCGCCACAACGTCCAACTAATTTTTGTGTTTTTAGTAGAGACGGGGTTTCACTGTGTTGGCCAGGCTGGTCTGGAACTCCTGACCTCAAGTGATCCGCCCGCCTTGGGCTCCCAAAGTGCTGGGATTACAGGCGTGAGCCACCGCACCTGGCCGCAACATTTTCTTTCTGCTTGAATTTCAGTAGTAAACTCTGAAAAGTTTTTTCATTATGGAAAATTTCAGACTTACACAATAGAGAGAGAACCCCTCATTGCCTGAAATCCCTGTTATTTGACCTGTAACAAACTCAATGCTCCTTTGGCAGATAAGGAGAGATTTAGTTTTATATACACATTTGCATATTTTTTTTTTTTAGACAGAGTCTCGCTCTGTCACCCAGGCTGGAGTGCAGTGGCATGATCTCAGTTCACTGCAACCTCTGCCTCTCAGGTTCAAGCGATTCTCCCACCTCAGCCTCCTAGCTGGGACAACAGGCATGCGCCACCACACCCGGCTAATTTTTTGTATTTTTAATAGAGACGGGGGTTTCACCATGTTGGTCAGGCTGGTCTCGAACTCTTCACCTCAAGTGATCTGCCCGCCTCGGCTTCTCAAAGTGCTGGAACTACAGGCATGAGCCACCACGCCTGACCAATTCTTCAATATCTAACTCCATTTCATATTTAGATTTCCCTAATTGTCACAAACATGTCTTTTTATGGTTGGTTTACAATAATAACCTGCAAAATACAATTTTGATGGCATACATTGTTAGAGCTGATAAGAAAACAGTTAATCTAACAAGTGGAACAAATATGTTGATTGGAGAAGGCATATAAAGCAATTACCCAAGCCAAACAGGAATTCCAAAAATAAATTATTTTAAAAGTTCATTTTGAAGGATTTCTGCAACAATTATGCACAACACCGAAGCCTTCAGCATACATAGACCTCCCTTACCTAGTTTTCTGTGTACTTTTATTCTCACGATTAATATCACAGCTATGCATATTCATTTTTTTAAACTGTGGGAATGAAAGAATAAAGGAAAAAAAAGTTTGGAATAGGTTTCCTGAGAATGAAGGAACTATACTGAATAATTTGATAATTCAGCTTGTTGCTGTGCTCCTGCTATATAATATGACCTATTTCCACAGACTAACAATTGAGTTCTCTAATTACTTGGGGCAATACAGAACATGGAGTTTGAGGGGGAAGAAGAAAAATGGCAGAATTAGGAGGGGGGAAGAACTGGGAAAGAGCAGAAATTCATTCATTTGCATTCTGTTTTAATTGGCTGTTCTTTCTGCTAACTAATGAAAACCTCCTCTTTGTGCAGTGTACAAGTCCCCAGAGTATGAGTCCCTTGGTTTTGAGCTTACTGTGGAGAGATTAGTTTCTATTGGCTATCCCCAGGAGTTGCTCAGCTTTGCTTATGATTCTACATTCCCTACCAGGTAATTTTTAAAGATATTTTTGGATTAAGACTAGATTAAGACTACTTTCCTTACCCCTCAAATTAGACATTCCAGATTTATCCTTAACAAAAAAACCCCCCAAAACATTGAATAATTCTTTGTTGTTTTTTTGGTTGGTTGATGTTGATTCTAAAATTACCATGAACTTTCCATATACACCATATCTTGGTGTTCCTGAATTAAGCTCAGTTTATTGCAACTGAGGAAGACCCACTTACAGGTAAAAAAGGAGATTACTAAAACTGATGGGCAGTAATCACAGGTGGTGCTATTTGGGGCTGTTGGCAAATAGGTACGTGTTTCTCTAATACACTTAACATGATAGAAGCTTGGCAGTTTCCATTTCTGGATTTGATAGGGAATATTTAAGATTAAGAAAATGATGTTTGAGATGCTATCATATATATCCCACATACAGCATCTAATGGAGAAAAATATAAGCCTTCTCAGTTGTCCAAGAAAAAAGACTATGTTTTAGAATGGTACCAGCTGTGTAGTAAGAAGAATGTTTTTTATACCTTGTTTGATTAAGCACTTATTCCTTACAGAAAACAATTATGATTTTCTGTCTGGACGGAGTCAATATTTTTTAGTTGCTTTAGAATTAGTTTTTAAGATTTTACTCACTTTAGCTATATTAGGACATACTTTGAGTTGGTACAAAGCTTGAATTAAATGAGGTTGGTTCATGATGATTAAATACTACTACATAAAATTATTGCCTGTATTACTTTGCATTATCAATAATGTCTTCATTTTCACATAGGGGACTTGTCTTTGACACACTGTATGGAAATCTTTTGAAAGTCGATGCCTATGGAAACCTCTTGGTCTGTGCACATGGATTTAACTTTATAAGGGGGTGAGTACAGAGAACCTTTAGCCTCTTTCTAATGTTAAAGTCAAACAATGTGAAGATGACATCATCTCCCCAGATGTAATATATTTCCCTATTACTTTTCATCATTAAAGAGCAAATTCCCTTACATAAGGTTAGTTAACAGTTATTTATTAGGCAGTTGGAACCCAAACTGACATATAGTTAGCAATTACATTTTGTTTAAATTAAGTGCCTTCCAATTATACAGCATACAACAAAACTAATCTTAAAACTTGCCCAGAAGAACTTTAGTAGTTTTGACTTATTTGAAATTCTAAGATTTTTATTTTCTTCTTTCTAATACAGTTCTCAGGTAGCTGTTCAGAAGAGGTATGTATATAAAAATGCTTTGAAAAAATTTTAAACTATAGCAATTTAAATGATTAAGAGATTTTTAATAGCCAATACGTTTTTTAGATTCTAATGAATCTAAACTTTGAATCCTGACATTTGATTGTGTCATTAAAAAAATGTAAACATAAGGTTAAAGTGAATATGTGCTAATAATATTTTAAACAAATAAGAATAAGCTTTATTTTCAAAATAAAAATATTTCCACTATTGTCACTAATTTGAACTTTTTACCCTAGTAAACAGCAGATGAAATTTAGTATCTACTATTTTTTTGTGAAATGTCCCGATATTTTCAAATCATAATGCCACAATTTGACAACTTCTGTAGCTATAGCTTTACTGTTATACATTTTCTCTACTGTTATGCCACCTTATTTACTATTGACATTGTATTAAGGTCAGAACAACAGCTCGTAAAACCAGAATAGGATGTGTGTCAGTCTCTTATGTAACTTTTCCATTTACTATTCATTCTTGATGGCAGAATAGGAAAAACACCAGGCTACATTGAAATGTTTAAAAAGACAATGTCTTTTTTTGTGATAAGAGGCACAAACCAACTGTAATTGTACCAGAGCTTCCTTTAGATTTGAGGTCACAGGATGCCCCTTAGAATTGAAGCATCTAAGACTCTTTAGTTGGCATTACTGACATTACACAGGCTCAGAGATTTCCATGTATACATGAGAACGGTGTGAAGTAAACACCCATCTTGACACATCTGAGCAGGCCAGTGATTACATCCACATTTCTTTCACTGTTTCTTTCATGAGGGGGTTTGTTCAGGATCCATGAAAATATCAGGAAACAGGATTTAGAATATGAAGTAATTACAGGTTGTACTAGTAACTTAAGCTATTTTATACACAGATATTGTCATCATAACTCAGAATCTCAATGAAGATGAACCAGGGTTCTATTATGTCTAAAAAGGAATTTTTGTATTATAAGGGAGGGGTAGGCAGAGAAGAAAAGAGAAGCAGTTGGATAAGTTAGTACTACGATCAAATTTCCAACTCAAGATCCACAGACTTCCTCTCTTCCCTTAAATAAGCCAATAAAGTTTCCACATAGCTCCTTTGCTAATGCATTTAATAGTGTTTCAAAAATAAGTCATTTATGAGTAAATGCAGAATCATTCAAATAGCACTTAGCACTGTGCAGTCTTTAGAGTTAAACAGAAAAGCTGGCCAGGCACAGTGGCTTACGCCTATAATCTCAGCACTTTGGGAGGACAAGGCAAGAAGACTTCTTGAGCCTAGGAGACCAGCCTGGACAATAAAGTGAAACCCTATCTCTACAAATATCAAAAATTAGCTGGGCATGGTGGTACATGCCTTTGGTCCCAGCTATATGGGAGACTGAGGCAGGAGGAGTGCTTGAGCCCAGGAGGTTGAGGCTGCAGTGAGCTGTGTTGGTGCCACTGTAGTACAGCCTGTGTAACAGAGCAAGACCCTATCTCAAAAAAATAAAAATAAATTAATAAAATTAAAATTCCCATGAAAAGAAGAGACTGAAGATAGAGGGAAAGAAAGTTATCGAAGCTATTACAGTGGTAGACAAGGCTGGAAAAGAAGGACTCCATCAGGCTTTGCTAATGAGTTAGGACCTTATTTTTTGATAAATTTTTATTCTGTGGGTCACAGAAAGTTAGTAGTAATCTGTGCTGTAACTGTTTTCTTCCCATTCCAAGTGTAGCATTTCTTTTATGATATATTACCTCCCCCAAATTGATTTTTATTTTAAATATATACTAGTGTGATTTGACACTGAAGTTTACAATGTAATTGCTAACTATATTTATAAATCAATTTGGGTTCTAACTGCCTAATAAATGTTAACCATCTTTATGTAAAGGAATTTTTCTTTAATGATGGAGGGAATAGGGAAGTATATTGTATCTAAGGAGACAGTGTCAGCTTATTAAATCTAACTGAAGAAAGTATATTTTTACTGTTACCTTCCACCTTACTTTTATTAAAGAAAATCTTGGAAAGCTAGAAGATAAGATACTCTACAAAGTTATTCATTATTGGGAACTCTCATCTCAGAAGAGTGACTTAAGACAGGGAGCTAATGTGATTTTTATATGTCTAACTAGAGTTTATGCCATTTGTAGTTAACAAACCCAGGCAGGAATTAATCCAGGTCACTCTGAGTGTGAGCTTTAAATTTGATTTCCTTTATTTACATTGTTAATCTCCATGTATTCACTGTCAGAACTGTGCATTTTTATATTTTAGTATTTTTCCCTTTGAGTTTCTCTGAAATGTTTTCTTCTAGAAGTGTTTTTGCATCTTTAACAAATTCTGCTTCACTGGCTTTTTTCTTTTAAACCTTGAATTTTCTTCATGGTTCTGTTCTGTCTCTTCTCTTCCTTCTCTGCACACTAAGTGGTTTCATCTCCTCTAATACTTTTCATGATTCCATCTAGTATCTGTACGTAGATGATCTCAGTTATCTCTCAAGGCTGAATCTCTTTTAAGTTCTTGACCTTTGTTTCTAATTGCCTAATAAAAATCAGTTTACTTCAAACTTAGTATCACTAAAATAGAACTACTCTCACATCACTTCTTATCTAGTTTTCATATTTCTGTTCATCGTACCAACCACCTCTCAGAGACACCTTAGCATGGACATCATCATCTTTGACTCTTTAATGTTCCCCCAGCCAAATCTGCTCAGTTTGCCGGGTCTTATTTTACCTTGGTAATCTCTCTTGAATATATGAGTGAGCTGAGATCACGCCACTGCACTCCAGCCTGGCCGACAGAGTGAGACTCTGTCTCAAAAAAAAAAAAAGAAAAAAGAAAAAATTCTGAGAGTCAACTGGGTGATTCTGGGTTGCACAGCTGATCTCTCTATGCTCTTTCACATGTCTGTGGTTAGCTGGTGGGTGACCTGGCATCTGATCTACAATGGCCTCATGCACATGTCTGGCATTCACAGGCTGTTGGCCGAGTGCTTCATTTCTACATGTAGCCTTCTATCCTCCAGCAGACTATCTCACTGTCATGCACATAGTAGTCCATGGTTCCAAGTGCTGCAAGAGAGATTAAGCCTCAATACACACATGTTTTTCTAGGTCTCTGCTTGGATCCCATTTGCTGCTATACAAGCCTATATTCAAGGATAGAGAAATAGACTGAGTTCTAATGGGAGGAGCCACAAAATTGCATCACAAAGAGACAGGAAGAATTTGTGGCCATTGTTGGAGTGCATCACATTGTCTTTCCCCAGTTTATCCTAAAACAGCCACTAATTTAATTTTGTTTTACAACTCAGCCCCGATGGGATTATCCTCTGCTTTAAAACTGTCAGTAGTACCCTCTTGCCCCTAAATGGTGTAGAAACAGTAGCTTAATCTGCCTCAACCCATCTTTCTAGCTTAATTTTTCTCTGCTCCCCTTTCTCTACCCAAGTTGGACTAGTTTCACAACTGGTCCACCTAGCCTTTAAGGCCCAGCTCATATACCAGCACGTGCATGAATCCTTCCTAGATTTTCCTCTCCTTAGTCCTCACATTTGCTTCTCTCTACCTCTTAAGTTGAAATGGTGTTCCCTTCTTTGGTTTTCTCATAAATGTTTGCACCTTTCTTGTAGTAGTTGTGATTTTTTACCTTATAATTATATGTGTATGTGACCCACCTCGCCCACCACACTGACAACTCTTTTAAGAGCTGGAACCTAAGCTGGACATCACACCTGTAATCCCAGCTACTTGGGAGGCTGAGGTGGGAAGATTGCTTGAGCAATCTTCAGGAGTTTGAGTCCAGCCTGGACTTAAAATAGCAAGACTGTCTTAAAAAAAAAAAAAAATTAAAATTAAAAAAAATAAAGAGCTGGAACCTGAACTCGTTCATCTTCATAGCTATCCATGCGTAATATTCGGAATTCTGTCTTGCACATAGCCATCAAAATATTTGAGTTAATTTTTGAATAATGCTATTTCCCAATTATTATAATGTTATTTTAAAAATCAGTTAATTTTTAAATTTTTCTTTCAGACCAGAAACTAGAGAACAGTATCCAAATAAATTTATCCAGCGAGATGATACTGAAAGATTTTACATTCTGAACACACTATTCAACCTACCAGGTAGATTCATTCTATGCTTATTTATACTGATGCTTTCCCTTCTGTGACCATTAGTCTGTATTCAAGGGAGGTAATGAAATAAGTTTGAATTATTTCATTATAGCTTATGAATATCTGTTCTTCATTTTTCAGAGACCTACCTGTTGGCCTGCCTAGTAGATTTTTTTACTAATTGTCCCAGATATACCAGGTATGTATATACTATAATTATTTTTTTCCAATTGATTTTTAAAATTAATGCACAGGGTTTTAGAGAACTGGCCATTGTAGGTCTTTTCTGCTTTTCTAAAGTGAATTTAGTGCTAGTGAGAGATGCCACATTGCCAACCTGAGAGATGGGACAGCACCAGCAGCTCCATGCAGGCTCTCACCTCCCACACGGCCCCTCTCCTTGCCAGTGTGCTGCAGCCACCACTTCTGATTGGCTTCTCCTGGGAATGAAGACGGCCAGCAGAGGTGCTAATTGTGACAACTGAGTGGGAGGTTTGTGTGATGATTATCTGTCCAAGCAGAATTACACTAAAACCCCCCAACTCATTTCACAGCAGCTACCCAGGAGCCATTCAGGGATGGTAATTTAATTTCATTCCCAGGCCAGGCAAGATTTGATTAAGGAATAAATACTGTGTATCTTATCAGAAGTAAAATTTTGCGTAAGTCTTAAACAAGTTATCCTCTCCCTTTAGGGAGAATTATATAGCCAATACTGAAAGTTTAGCCATCTATATACCAGAGTTGGCTAACTTCTTATCCTCTTTGGGCTTTATCCACTTGAAGACACTAAATTTGGTGGAAAGCTGAGTCACTGAACTAAATAAAAAAATGGACAGTACCTTTGTACTTAGGGACAGTGTCAGGAAAGTCAGGGTGGAAAGAACCTAAATGACCAATTTTAAGTTTTAAATGTTTCTTCAACCTGTTTCTAAAAAGTGATAAATAAAAAAACCTGACATTTTTGGAACTTTGGCCTTTTAGCTTCCATTCAATATATTCTTCTATCACTTTGTATTTGTTCACAATTACTGTATTCCATTGAACACTATAGCCATTTCTGGTGGTCAAAGTGGACTTTCATTAGGGAGTAATTATTTTCCTCATTAGCCACAGCCTTTACCCATGTGATATGGAACCTTTGGGTCCCCTGGGAAATTTTTGATATATATTTTGTTTACCCTGTTTTGGATCCCCTGTCATGTTATTTTTATCTTTCTGTAGTTGTGAAACAGGATTTAAAGATGGGGACCTCTTCATGTCCTACCGGAGTATGTTCCAGGATGTAAGAGATGCTGTTGACTGGGTTCATTACAAGGTACCTAGAAGCTGTTTCTTCACCTGCTTGCTTTCTGGCATGTATTTTATGGCGTGGCATTAACTTTCCAAATGGAGCAGAATATTTCTTTTTTTAAAAAAAGAAAAAACAGATTTGCCCCCGCCTAGTGATAGCCCTCTAGAATACATTTGTTCTTGTCTTTGGTCTCGGTGGTAATGTTGATCTTTCCTCAGTGATGGTGTTTGGCTTCTGGATTTTATTTTAGTTTGCATTTCTCAAACTTAGAAGAGGTTTTAGTGTATTACATTATACTTAACATATCCTTTGTGGATGACAGTGGTCCATTTTTTTTGTCCAGATACCTCCCACCCGACTAATAACATTAATAAATATTAAATTTACATGTATTATAAACTATTGAATAAAATATGAAATGCCTTTTAATTTCAAACTTAAAATAGAAACTGTTTTATATTTTGAAGACAAATTTTAGAGGCAGGGTTGCAGCAAATCATACCTGCTACTTTTTTCTGGCCTTCTCTAGTTTGTCCACTTTTCCATTTTGGTAAATCCTTAAGAAATGCATTTGGGGCTGGGCATGATGGCTCATGCCTGTAATCCCAGCACTTTGTGATGCCAAGGCAGGTGGATTGCTTGAGCTCAGGAGTTCAAGACTAGCCTGGGCAACATGACAAAACCCTGTCTGTACAAGAAATACAGAAAATTAGCCAGGCATGTTGGTGTGGACCTGTGGTCCTAGCTACTTGGGAGGCTGAAGTGGGAGGATCACCTGAGCCTGGGGAGGTCGAGGCTGCAGTGAGCTGAGATTGTACCACTGCACTCTAGCATGGGCAACAGGGTGACCTTGTCTCAAAAAAAGAAAGGATTTGGGTTGATTAGTAAAAACCATTTTTCTTATAAACTACATGTTAAAAACTGATTTTGTTCTTTTCTTAATTCTTTTTTTTGTCTTCCTCCAGGGCTCCCTTAAGGAAAAGACAGTTGAAAATCTTGAGAAGTATGTAGTCAAAGATGTAAGTAATATAGGGGAAAATAGATCTGCATAATAGCTCATTTTACCTATTAGGGAAATTAATAACAAGCTGATTTATAATGAAATGGACAAAAGAAGAGATTTGTCTTGGCATAGTATGTGTCGGGTATAATCACCAAGAATATTCAGCTAGAGCATAGGTCTTAGTAGAGTTTTTCCTGTTTCTTGATAGGCAAGAAGACTCAGTATTTCATTTTTCCTGTTTCTTGATAGGCAAGAAGACTCAGTATTGCATTTGTTCGCTTAGCTTCAATTATAATAGCAGTTAGAGGTTTACTGTATGCACATCATCACCATGCTAAGTGATTACATGCATTATGCCATTTAATCTTCTGTATGACCTTGAGTTAGGTATTATTGTTGCCTCTGTTTTATAGATAAAAAACCTGAGAAATAGAGGGATTAAATAACTTGCCAGAGGTCACACAGTTAGTAAGTAGTAAAGCTAAGTCACACCCAAATCATAACTACTGCACTAGATCATCTCAAAAATGTGCATATATGTTACTGTTATTTAAAATGCCTTTAACCTGTCAACAGAGAGTAATGAGGAAAGCTTTAAAGTACCTTAAAAGGCATTAGTGGCAAACCTGATAAAATTTTTTAAAAAATCTGTGGTTAATAGTATTGTACCAATGTTAATTTCATACTTTTCATAATTATACTGTGGTTATATAAGATGTTAATATTAAGGGAAACTGGAGGAAGAATATATGGGAACTCTTTATTTTCACAGCTTTTCTATAAGTCTAGAACTGTTTTAGAATAAAAATTAAACACACATAGTGCCCCAAGATGACATACTTCTTTCTTTTCCTACAGAGTAAAAGTAGCAGAATACAGTATTTTCTCAAAGTACTGTGGTAAAGATTTCTTGTTTTCAGTTTTTGTGCTTCCTATTTTCACCCACCTCCCTTATTTCAAGAAAGAACACTGAATGGGGAGGGTCCGGGAGAATTTGAGTGAAGGAATCTATTTGCTATGCGAGAAGGAAAAGATATTTTTCTTTCCAGGCACATGAGGGGTTAGAATTTCCTCATTTAAGCGCACGTGGGTGTGGGTATTTCTAGGTAGCATCTGCACATGTCATTTCATTCTGCAAGGTGTTTTATAAAACCATAGTGTACACACTGAAAGCCATATCTAATAATCTCTATGTAGAGCATGTTTAAATCAGCTTCTGCTGACCTTTAACACACCTCACATACTTCAAGAAATCTCAAGGTAATTTAAACTCTTTCCTGAGGCAGACATCATGAGGAAGGTAGAGATATGTTGTTAACAGCCATATAACCCCTATAAATATGTGTATAATTTTACATGTAAATCTATTACATACACTGTGTATACTACATATGTTAATACTTTATTCATTTATAGTGATAATGTGGGCTTTTAAGTGCAAAATTCTGAAATCAGCTAACCCTTAAAAGGTTCCCCCATTCCTGTTGTGGACAGAAATCCAGTATTTGACAACTCCAAAGTGTAAAGATAAAAATGTTTTCGTGTTTCACTCATTATCCAATTACATTTCAGGGAAAACTGCCTTTGCTTCTGAGCCGGATGAAGGAAGTAGGGAAAGTATTTCTTGCTACCAACAGTGACTATAAATATACAGATGTAAGTGCTTCATGTGTATATTTATTTATGCAGTGGAATTATTTTGGCCTAAAGAACTGTGAAGACAATGAGGAAGATAGAAGTTTATTAAGTGAAAATAGTTTCTTGCCTTCTCATTTTCAAAGAGTAAAAAGGCAAAAATATACAGGATAACAGTGGTTCTCAAATTTTTCTAGAAATTTATTTTAACCATTTTCACTGATTATAATTGGCTACTTGAAAATTTTAATCTTGGGGTTATTTAAAACATTTGTAAAGATTAAAATGGCTTTTGTGTCTCTTTGGAGCATCATTTCTATAAACTTGAGCAGTCACACCCCTTATTGATGTGTATGTATGACTTTCCCTGCTGTTGGAAGACCTGCAGCAATAGATGCTGCACAGATGTTTTGGCTCTTAGCTGTCAAAATTTATATATCTTTTTTTTTTTTTTTTTTTTTTTTTTGAGACAGAGTCTCACTCTGTCGCCCAGGCTGGGGTGCAGTGGTGCGATCTCGGCTCACTGCAACCTCTGCCGCCTGGGTTCAAGCAATTCTCCTGCCTCAGCCTCCCAAGTAGCTGGGATTACAGGCACCTGCCACTGCGCCTGGCTAATTTTTTTGTATTTTTAGTAGAGACGAGGTTTTAACATCTTGGACAGGCTGGTCTTGAACTCCTGACCTCGTGATCCACCCACCTTGGCCTCCCAAAGTGCTGGGATTACAGGCGTGAGTCACTGTGCCCAGCCCAAAATTTACTACCTCTTAAAAACAGTTTTTTCCCATGATTAAAGCATGTGGAAAAACTGATCTAACTCCTTAACTTCATCTTACTTTTGCTGAGACACTTAAAAATTTATAGTACTGGCAAGAAGTTCCACTTCCCCCAATTCGCTGTACATGTAAACTTGATTTAGACACCTGGTGATTTGTAGTAAACAGTCTTACATAAACCGTTGGTTTGTTGACTTAGTTGGTCTAGGGATGGCAGTAGCGAAGCCAAGGTGATAGGTTATTTCTGTGTGAGTCATTAGTTTTCTCTATACCCCTACCTCATATGCTCCTTTCCTCCAAATGTGTGTTCAAAAACATCTTCCAGAGGAAGTATGTATCCTCCCTGAGAATGTCAGAAGCCTTTTTTTCTTTTTGGTATATGGTAAAGCATTAATTTCTGGCTTCCACTGCCATGATTTCATAAAATTTAGAGGAAACAAGAATGTGGTGAGTCCTATGTTGAAAAAGACATGTTTTGTGAAAAGCTTGTAATTTCTTTAGGTTATATACCTTTTGCAAAAGTAGTATATGGACCTTATGTTAAATTTTTTTTTCCAGAAAATTATGACTTACCTGTTTGACTTCCCACATGGCCCCAAGGTACCGTATGTGACTCAATAGACCACTGCTTTAATAACAATGAATGCATTTAATCATTCTGGAATATTAAGGGGGAAAGAATTGGTCAGAACCCACCCAGAAAAGTCCTACTTTTTAAGCCTATTGTCTAATCTTCATTAACATTAGAAGTAATCCAGGAGCTAGTAGAATTTAAAATCAAATTGCTAATTTAGAGTCCGCAACTTGAATACTTAATAGACAGAAATAAAAGGGATATTCATGTGATATTTAGTAGGATGGGATCAGAATAATTTTATGCCCAAGAAGTTCTATGCAAAATTAAGTTTGTGTGGCAATGAAAGGAATTTTCAGGTTGTGGATGATATTTGATTAACAGAAACAGAAAATGTATGTGTATTCTTGACAACTTCTAGATTTTGTATTAGTTGTTGCTAAGTTTTTGCCAAGAGAGCACTCAGCCTTGATATTTAGCAGAGAAGTCTTCATTTCTGCAGTACGGCTGCACTTAGGTTTAAGGAATACTCCTTGCAACTTAGTCACATACTTACAGAATTTTAGTCCTAGACTTTAGTGAATAAACATCAGCAAATCCCTGTTTTGAGAACACCTGAAATCACAGTGTGCAGTGCCCTTCAGGTTGGTCTTAAAAGGTTAATGCCAGGGTTCCATTTCAGGATAGTCATGATTTTAATGGGCATAACTCAGTATTGTGATTAGCTTACACTGTGAGCCAAAAGCCAGTGTGTACCTAGAGCCATCATTCTGAGAATGTAACCAGTAAAATTTCCTAATAGTTCCATGTTAGTTTGTATACTTTAGCTCTGATGCCTGCCTCTGTCTTAATCTGTCCCTTGGGTATTGATTTGCATCTCTCCCTAGCTCTTTTGAGCTCCTTTTAGCAAATTTCAGGTGAGCACACTTTCATAAAGTGCTGTAAAATAAGTATTGTAATTTAGTAGTAGATGAAATGATTTAATGTATAGAATGTGTTATTACAGTTATTTATTATTTATATCTTGTCTGCTTCCCAAAGGATATGGCTTATAATACATAGACACAATTTTTTTTTTTTTTTTGAGATGGAGTCTTGCTCTGTTGCCAAGCTGGAGTGCAGTGGCACGATCTCGGCTCACTGCAACCTCCCCCTCCTAGGTTCAAGCGATTCTCGAGCCTCAGCCTCCCAAGTAGCTGGGACTACAGGCGCCCGCCACCACGCCCGGCTAATTTTTGTAGTTTTAGTAGAGACAGGTTTTCACCATGTTGGCCAGGATGGTCTTGATTTCCGGACCTTGTGATCTGCCCGCCTCGGCCTCCCAAAGTACTGGGATTACAGGTGTGAGCCACTGTGCCTGGCTGACACAATACCTTTTTAAAAAATAAAATAGTGGGATCTTCTGGCTATACTTAGTATTTTTATATTCCTTGCATCTGAGTGAGATTAAATAGTAATGCCTTAAGGTAAGGAGTGATGTTTCAACTTTTGCTGTTTCTCCTTCACCAGCCTGGGAGCTCCCATCGACCATGGCAGTCCTACTTTGACTTGATCTTGGTGGATGCACGGAAACCACTCTTTTTTGGAGAAGGCACAGTACTGCGTCAGGTGGATACTGTAAGTCATGAGAATGATCTGTCTTGCTAGCACATTGTCCTTAATGTTTCTCCTTCCCCCACTCTTACTCTACATAAGGAAACAGGAATTTTTTTTTTTTAATTAGCCGTATCTCTCTTTTGAAATTAAGAGTTTTGGTCTTAACTGAAACAGTCAAACAAACCCACTAATTGAAAAGAGTAAGTGCCATTCATTTGGCTGTCTGGCCAAGTAGCACTGGTGGTGGGGGGTGGGATGGGAGGGTTGTGGGGTGAGGGGAGGATTGTGATAGGATGATAAAGTATTACAAAATCCATATTCTTCATACAGAAAACTGGCAAGCTGAAAATTGGTACCTACACAGGGCCCCTACAGCATGGTATCGTCTACTCAGGAGGTAAGTCACAGACTTCCCTTTATTTAATGTCTTTGCTCAGACCTCACAGTGAAAGCTTTGGTAATCTCTCAGCAAAGTGCCACATATACTGTTTAGTAGTCTAAGATGTCATCTACTGAAGGTAAATAGTTTAGTCACCTCTTAATGCAATAGGAGTCTGGGTTTGAGCAGTTGTTAGTATATCCTAATGAATCTGATTTTCACTAAAATGATCAGTTTTTTTTTTAAATCCTATTGGAGGCTTTTTCTCAGTGCTTCGAATCACTTGGGGGTACTTCTCAATATGTTCTCAAGGGTTTCTCAAGGAGTTCCATGGGTATAGGTACATAGTATGTTGGAGTTATAAACAGTTGAGTAAAGCCAGCTTAATGGCAGATTTGTGATGAAATTGGCAGTGGCTGTTTTGAAGGTTATTTTCACTAAGCTGAGGATGTAGTTTTGTTGCTCTTGGATTTGGTGAGCAAGAGCTCTGGTCAGCACAGTGGAGCTGAAGGCCTTGTCTTAGAAGGCAGTAAAAAGAGAATGGTGAGTCTTTGTCTATTCTTCCTAGTCTGTTCCTCATATAAGAATAAAATGAATCATAGTATTTAATGGTTAAATACTATTGGAATGCTGATTTTAATATAGGGACAGTTTTCTCATTGTTCACTCTGTTGGTTCAGGTTCTTCTGATACGATCTGTGACCTGTTGGGAGCCAAGGGAAAAGACATTTTGTATATTGGAGATCACATTTTTGGGGACATTTTAAAATCAAAGAAACGGCAAGGGTGGCGAACTTTTTTGGTGATTCCTGAACTCGCACAGGAGCTACATGTCTGGACTGACAAGAGTTGTAAGCCATTCATAAATCTTTGGTGTAATTTATATCTAAATGACCAGCTTTGAATCAGTCGTCTTTGATAAACCATTACTTTGTATTCAGGAAGTCAGAGGTGGTCAAAAGGCAGGCCTTGATATTTGGATACTTCCTTCCCATAGAATATTCAGATATTTCACAGAACTCCAGAATTTGAATAAATATGAGAGGTTATCTTGTTTAACCTTCTTGAATCTCTTCGAGGTTAAGTTTAGAATGTTGGCGTCTTGAGTTGTGTTACAGTAACACTAAGTTGTGAACTGGAGCTCAACTTTTCCTCTGTGGTCCCATATTTCCCCAACCATGCCTAGCAGTCCCAGTCTCTCTGCTAACAGCCCATATCTGTGATTCTGGGGCAGTGATGGCTCTGAATGTTAATCACCTCTGGTATTTTTTATTTACTCTTCTGAGATCTAGAGAATGAGGCCATATTGTATTCTTGAACTAAGCTATGCTGTGTATATGCAGTATACACACTGTGCTGAACTGAGTTACGGATATAGTTCTGTAAAAGTGCTTGATATACAAGTTCTCCAGCCAGCCTTGATGCGCATTACCTGCAGTGTGGTGAAGGTGACTCCGGAAACTCAGCCTGCCTGGGGTAGGAGCCCTGGCTCCATAACTTGAAATCTGCATGCCGTTAGGCAAGTTAATGAGATACCCTGTGCCTTAGTTTCCTCAAATGTAAAAATGGGGATAATACCTACCTCCTAAAGCTGATGAAAAACGGAGGTAATATGTGTATAAAGATAGACATGACAGCCTTTCTCAACCAAGGCTCCATATCCGAAACACAGAAAATTATTACTATTATTTTACCTTTCCAATGGAGCTGAATACAGAAAATTATTTGAGTAACACTTTTCTCAATTCTCCTAAAGATGGTAGATAGAAGAAAATGTGTTACATACAGTAGATGAAGGAGGGCTTGTCTTGAGGAACCCAGACTGACAAAGGCTGCAACACACCGGCAGCATGCTGTAGATGCTGGCTGTTGCTGTTACTGTCTGTACTATCAGTGGGATTTTCTGGCTAGCCTTTCATTCACATTTTCAACTTTCTACCTATGAAGTTTTAGAAATCTAGTTGATTTGGCCCTGGACCTGTGACTCAGGAAAAGTCACCTGATTCTCAATCTTTCATCTGAAAATGGGACTGTTAACATTTGCTTAGCTGACTGCACCTGAGACAGCATGTAAATTCTGGTACTTTACAAGCTCAGAATGAGCGTGCAGCTGGAAGGGAAAGTTGTCATCATGGTGTTTAAGCAGGAGGAAAGGCAGTTAAAGAGAAGGTGATGGTGTTCATCTGTTGTCAGACTCCAAGCAGGTATCAGTGAGTTATCCTGAAGAGGGGAAGAGGAGGTAACTGTACACTCAGCATGTTAGTCCCAGGTTCTACTTTCCAGTCACATCTGCAACCTTTTAGTTTAGCAGCAGTTAAGAACTAGGTGCTTATTTATTTAAAATGTCTTCCTTTTCCTTCCAAACCTTAACTAGCACTTTTCGAAGAACTTCAGAGCTTGGATATTTTCTTGGCTGAACTCTACAAGTAAGTTTTCTAAAAATTTCTTTCCCAAAAACTTACTCAGGAATCACTTAGATATAAGAAATGTTCTTTCCAGGCCAGTAATCCCAGCTATTTGGGAGGCTGAGGCAGGAGAATCGTTTGAACCGGGGAAATGGAGGTTGCAGTGAGCTGAGATTGCACCATTGCACTCCAGCCTGGGCGACAAGAGTGAAACTCCGTCTCAAAAAAAAAAAAAGTTCTTTCCAGGCCAGGCGCAGTGGCTCATGCCTGTAATCCCAGCACTTTGGGAGGCCAAGGCAGGCGGGTTGCTTGAGGCCAGAAGTTTGAGACCAGCCTGACCAACATGGCAAACGAAACCCCATCTCTACCAGAAATACAAAAAGTAGCTGAGTGTGGTGGCACATGCCTGTAATCCCAGCTAATTAGGGTGGCTGAGGCAGGAGAATCGCTTGAAGCTGGGAGGCAGAGGTTGCAGTGAGCCGCGATCACACCCCTGCACTCCAGCCTGAGTGACAGAATGAGACTGTCTTAAAGAATAAAAAAAAGCTCTTCCCAGAGATTTTCACTGAGTTTTTCTTTTATCTTTAGGCATCTTGACAGCAGTAGCAATGAGCGTCCAGACATCAGTTCCATCCAGAGACGTATTAAGGTATCCAAATGGGATTTGGGAGAAAACTTGGGAAATAAGTTTAAATGCTTTTTTCACATTCCTGATTTATTATAGAGACTAGCATTCAACTACTGCTCAATAAATATTTGTTGAATGAGCCAAGAATCAATCTTGTTCTTTGTTTTAGAAAGTAACTCATGACATGGACATGTGCTATGGGATGATGGGAAGCCTGTTTCGCAGTGGCTCCCGGCAGACCCTTTTTGCCAGTCAAGTGATGCGTTATGCTGACCTCTATGCAGCATCTTTCATCAACCTGCTGTATTACCCTTTCAGCTACCTCTTCAGGGCTGCCCATGTCTTGGTGAGTTAAAGCTGTAATGGACAGCCAAGATGTACTCTAAGCCCAGGGTCAGCAACCACCTTTGTGAGATGGCACAGGAGATAGTTTGAACATTTCTTTCTGATGTACAGAGCCCAGGGGCAGGTTATATGGTTGCATAAGAAGGGGTCTTTGAGAAAGTAGAACCAACATTGGAAGTTAAGAGTGTAACTTTACTCTCTGAAGTCTACTCTATTAAAAGCTGTATGTGGGCCAGGCATGGTGGCTCATGCCTGTAACCCCAGAACTTTAGAGGCTGAGGTGGGAGGATTGATTGAGCCCAGGAAGTCGAGGCTGCAGTGGGCTGTGATTGCTCCACTGTACTCCAGCCTGGGTGACAGCGAGAGACCATCTCAAGAAAAAGAAAATGTGGTTTTTACATTCCTTTATTCTGATCTGTTTCAGGACTATCTTGTTTTTGCTGTAAAATAGAAAGTAAACTCCCCTCTCCATCTTTTCCAATTTCCAGCTGCAGTAGACAATATGGGCACCATTTTGAGGGGCAGGGAGAGAGGAAGACAGGCAACTATAAGTAGTTCTATGAAGATAAGTCTATATTGACTTGTCCTGTGGTCCATTATAGATGTAATTGCATGGCCACCTAACAGAGGAGAGGGGTTAGGATTTGGGGAGTAGCTACTTTGCTCTGCCTGCTTTCTGAGCCTCTAGCTTTTTTCTGTCTAGATGCCTCATGAATCAACGGTGGAGCACACACACGTAGATATCAATGAGATGGAGTCTCCTCTTGCCACCCGGAACCGCACATCAGTGGATTTCAAAGACACTGACTACAAGCGGCACCAGCTGACACGGTCAATTAGTGAGATTAAACCTCCCAACCTCTTCCCACTGGCCCCCCAGGAAATTACACACTGCCATGACGAAGATGATGATGAAGAGGAGGAGGAGGAGGAAGAATAAGGAGGAAAACCAAAACCCCAAGCACCCATTAAACAAGTCCTGGCAGGACTCACAGGAACAAACGAGGTCCCTGTTAGGGTTCTACTCGGGGGAGGGAGGGGGCTCCATGAAAGGTACGTCTGAAAAGTTTCTGAAGATTTTATTATCATAGATACTTGTTTTGGTTTTGTGTATCTGTACTCTCTGCAGATGGTCCAAAATTGTAATGGAGTCTGTATTAGAAGAAAATAAGGGTAAAATCAGGCTGAACTGCATGTATATGGCTCCACTGTGGCTTGTGACACTTTTAAAATCATCCGTATGTCAGTGTATCTGGATACACGAGGAAAAGGAAAGAGTCTCAGAGTGGAACAAAGAGTGGGAAGAGGTGATCTGTAATGTTACAAATTGTGCTATTACTCCAAGGTCCAACTTTTCCAGTGCATTACATGGTATTGTATATCAGTGGAGAAATGTATTATTTCCATGATCAAATGTAGTCTCTGTTAAGGTCAAGTTTTCTTTTATAAGCCTTTAATTCATCCTCAGTGACTCTGGCAAGGCTGCTTCTCTATCACTGGCTTTGCACAGAAGTATGCTCTACTTGCGTTGCTTTAGGGCAGGATTCTATTTTGAGGGAAAAGACAGTATCCTTATTACCTTTTGTTTGTTTAATAGCACAAATGCTTATTTGTTATCCAAAAACAACCTCCTTCTTATCTGTGATAAATCTATAGAAAGAATTTAGCTGCAAGTGGACAAAGGAACAAGCCCCCAGAAAAGAAAGGGAAGAACTGCCTTCTTATACTACAGAACATGCATTAGTGTGGGCTATATAGCTGTGGCTCATGCTACCCAATTCCAGATTTCTTTGTCCTCTAAGAGTTGATTGCTGTATATTAAAATTGAACATCAGAGGATGGGAAGAGGGCTCTGTAAGCCAGAACCTTACTAAAGTAGAGGGCACAATCAGTGTGAATAAATTCACTTCAGAATCTCAAGTCAAGGCCAGGCACGGCGGCTCACGCCTGTAATCCCAGCACTTTGGGAGGCCGAGACAGGCGGATCACCTGAGGTCGGGAGTTCGAGACCAGCCTTACCAACATGGAGAAACCCCATCTCTACTAAAAATACAAAATTACCTGGGCGTGGTGGTGCATGCCTGTAATCCCATCATCTACTCAGGAGGCTGAGGCAGGAGAATTGCTTGAACCCAGGAGGCGGAGGTTGCAGTGAGCCAGGATTGTGCCATTGCACTCCAGCCTGGGCAACAAGAACAAAACTCCATCTCAAAAAATAAAAATCCCAATCCCAAGTCGAAATCACCTCTTGTTTTAAACAAGAATGAATCATTACTGTGTATGTTAGGGTATTAAAACTGTTTCACCAGTACAGTGAAAGTTGTTTCAACATTTTAAACAAACAGTGGTTATAGACTCTTTCTTTAACCATTGTATATTTTCTTCCATTCTTGTCATTGGTCAATAGGGGAGGGTAGATTAGCTGCTCCAGAATTCAATAAAGTGTAATATTTCTAACGGTGACTTTGACCTATTCTGTAGTACAACTGTAATAGCTATTGGTCTTCAAGTGGGTTTAGATTTGGTGACATCAGTTTGATATTCTCTTAAAGGAAATAAATATTCAAGAACTGATTATGTTCTAACATGATTATATTCATGGTGTTACATAGGCCTCAATTTTTTCACAGAAAGATTTTTGGAACAGGACTGTGAAGTGAGGCTTTTTAAAAAATTATTTTATAAGCAGAGAACACAGCCTGATAACTTAGTCAAGGATATACTGTCTGTCTCACTACTTTGGACTTATATGGCTTCAGATTAAGTCATCCAAGAAACATACATACATTCTAAATGGTATATATTGGGAATATATGCCCCTTTAAAAGAATCAGGTCAGAAATGCAATAACAATTAGACTAGACTGTTGCCCGTGTTAGGAGAATGTGTGGTCATCCTAGTTACTAATTACTCTCACTCAAGATGGAGATGTTGTCCAGTTTAACATAGTCTTAAGTTTTCTTAAACCCAAATAATTTATGAGTAGCTTATTACATCTGCAGAGCTACCTTATTATAATAGTACATTTACATATTGTCTCTTTTAGAGTAAGGACCACATGATTGCTTTGCTTTAATTTACCACTTTTTGTATTGCATCCATATAAGAGTGTCTTACTAGCCAGATGATTCCATGGCAAATGATTCTCTGGGTCCAAAGATCGGAAAGTGAAAAGCACACAGCTGGAATAAGCAACAACTCCACTGCTAGTTACAGCTCTCCGTAGGACCACCAAAACGTATTCAAGAGCTCTAGGATTCCATAAGACCCAGAGCAAAATGGTGCCTCTCTGTATATTATTCTTAAGAGTGTGCTGGGAAGTCAATGGTCCATGGGTAGGCAGGGCAGCTGTAACTGGGCTTTTTAAAACAAATTATGAGTTTTCTCTCTGTTGCCAGTAGTTAAGGAAGCTGAACTTAAAAGGTATACTTTTTTCCTTAAAAAAAAAAAAAAAAAAAAAAAAAAAAAAAATCCTGCGGAGTTTTATACCGTGAGAAGACCATTCTGCCACTTCTTTTGAGAATTTTTTCCCAGGCATTTTGAAAACACTATAGGCATTGTAGAACACCAGGCAACCCCTTCTTGGTTGCTAGACTGAACTCCCAACCTTACAGCATGTACTGACAGGTCCCCTAGCCTCCCCAGCAGTTGGTCAGTGGTACAGCAGACCCAGGCCCTGCTGGGTTTCCTTGGGCAGAGGAATTGCCCAGTACATTCATTCATCTCTGCAAAGATAGATAGTCAGTGAAAACTCTGATGGTGTACTTCAGAAAAGTTGGTCACAGCCAAGAAAGTTTAGGGTTCTATTTAGACCTAAGATTTTTCTCTTGCCATAAGCATACCTCTGCTGAGACCTAAAATAATAACGCAAACCCTTCAAGCTACCCTAAGATACTTTTAGAAGTCGTTTTTAATAGAACTACAAATCCTTAAGTCACATTAGCATTGTTAAGAAACCACTTTAAAAAGCCACATGCAGTTGCATGTCAGATTTAGAAGTATTTTGTCCATGTTTAGGTATTTCTAAATCAGATGTATTTATTTAAGAAATACTTTGTCAACAACTTTAAAGCCCAGCAATTTTTCCAAGGCTGCCTGGTCATTTTAAAATAAATACTCTGCTTATTCACCACGAATAGCCTGAGACAACTACATATTTAAGTCTGTATTAGGGTAGGAACCTTACCCACATTCCATGTTATGGAAACTATTTAATCTGTCTTTGATGGTGGGAAAAATGGTAACTATGATCTAGCTATTGCCATACAGTTAACGCTCCAATTCCTCACTGGGCTTAGTAGTTTAGGGCTCAAATACTTATGTTTCTCATGATGATCTTTAGTGGTGATCAGGGAATCCAGCTTTTCTTAAAAGTTTTTCCTCAAATAGAACAATTTCAAATGATACACAACTTTTGGGAGGCCCTGAGAGTGAAATCTCTACCATGGAGCTACCAGAGCAACCCTGCAGATAGAAGAAAAACATGCACTACTGCTAAGGAGCAGGGATGACCACAGGCACAGGCAACCAGAAAGCAGAAACAGGTGACTTCCAGAAACCCCCGCTGCCCCGTCACGCACCTCCCGTAACAAGAACGCAGCACGTCACACAGTTCTCGCGCTGCTAGGTATCTAGAAACAGCAGAAAGCAAGTCCTTTAAACAGGCAGCATGTTCATTTATAGAATGAGTAAAAAGCTTTTCTATTCTTTAACCTGGATTTCTCAACCATTTTTCCCTGTCCTCACACACAATGTCTTCATCCCAAGGCCACAACAGTCTGATTCATTCCAACAAAGGTATGTGATCTCAAAAATAAAATATATACAGAAGTTTCTCTGTAGAGCTTTAACACAAAAAAGTACTCCCCATTGAACACAAACATTTCATCTCAAACTTGCTGACTCTGTTTAAGGATGAGGAATCTATGTTTTCCAATTTAAATTTAAAACACAATGATGAATTTTGAATCTCGTCCCTTTGTTTCTTCACACAAAATAACTAGGTACAACTATGTCCCCAGATGTTCTGGTCTCCCATGGAGCTCTTCCCAAAGCCATGTCTGGCGAGGGGAGTAGACAAGGCCTGAGATAAACCTTCCCACACAAACTGGAGCCCAAGCAGCTGAGCACACATTTTTCCCACGAAAGGCAGCAATAGTCCTTCCACGTCTCACAAGTTCTTGAGATACTTGGAAAGAAGATTTGCCAAGCAAACCTTCCCCACACTGAAAAATGTTTACTCAGTGTCCAGTCTTTGAGAGAGTGTTCTCACCAGAGTTATCTTTGACTTGAGTGTGTGGGTATCTTTAAACAAGTCACTTTTTGGACCCACTGACCTCAAGTCAATGACTTAGTAGAACTGCAGTAGGAAAACTGGCCCCATCTAAAATTTCCTATCATGTGTTGGCCTCCTGTTTGAACACTGCACAGTCACTAATACCCTGACAGGAAAAGCACTTCAGAAGTCGGGCAACTAATTCTCCCTTAGAAACGTGCATCCTCAGTCCTCAGTAATCCACTAGGGGAGATGGCATGCCAGCAGAAAGTCAGAGAAAAGGGCCCTAGAACCATCCCTTTGTCCTGGGACTGCTTGAAAATAAGAGCACAGATATGAGGCCCTTGGAGGGAAAATGACAAAACCACCATACAAAGAAAGCAAAAGAGTTTATTATCCACCTAATAGAATTCAACTTTTTGGCTTTAATAAAGAATCATCTCTTTTAAATTACCTTCAAAAAGTATAAAATAAGTTTCCAGAAATCAACTCCAGGCTATAAAAAGGTCAGTTTTTAACCACTTTCTCTACAAGACCCTCTGATCAATATTTGTTTCCTCAGAAGTGCCGAGTTGAAAAACGGCTCTAGGGAGCACAATTTTTGTGAAATAGAAACCCCGGGTGCATCACGATAAAGCTTAGAAATGAGCGGATGTGTGCGCACTCTGAGGATGCAGGGGGGAGTTTTAGGCAAATCTCATCTTGACAGCAGGAAAAATTGCCTCCATTTTCCTTGGAGCATTTCCTGATTTGAGCTAAGGGCTCATCTAGACCAAGTGAGTAAAACAGGAAAAACAAACCAAGGCAGGAGGCTGGGAGTGAATGTGCTACCATGATTTCTTTCCCTAGCTCTGCTGCCACTTTCTGCCCTGCTTCTAATGAAAGCAAGCAGGGTTCGAAGACAGCATTTCACTGGGCTAAGATACACCTCATTCTACTTTCAGGTAGTTGGGCGATACCTGGGGAGATGGGAGCGGTAGTTAGGTCAGGCAGTGTCTGAAAGCCAATTCTGTCAGCAGTTCTTCCCTGAAATGTCTCCATCCACAGAACAAGTGTAAGTAAAAGACTGCAAATGCCACGGTTAAATAAATTCAGTGGAGACTATAAATGGACCAGTCAAGAGGCTAAATTTTCAGAGCACGATCCTCTTTGGAATGTAAAATAGAGACTAAAAGTGGAGAGAAAAGGGATTCCAAAAAGATGTGGTTTAGGAATGGATCACAGAGGGTCCCTGAAGCTCCACCGTAAGTTCTTCAGGGACTGGTCTCATGTGAGTGATGAGGGTAAGAAGGAACAGAAGACAAAGTAGTGATGGAAAAGAACGTGTATCATACACACCGATTACTGGGGAATGCAGGATATCCACTGAATCCTGAAGACCCACCTGCACACGCCTCGCCACACTCAGGCCGGATGTTTTCCACTTGAAAGTGACTATCCATGCCTGCTCCGACCTTCCTCCCAGGCTTAGCATAGCAGAGGAGGACCTATAAAGCCATCCTTGTTTTCAAGAGCCAATTGAGAGGCCTGAATGAGACCTTTGGTCTTACCTAGGAAATGCCGGCTTAGCCCAGCGGCACTGTGTGTTGTTATTAGTGACTGAGCAGCCAATGTCTGGGGCAATTTGACTGGATACTCCGAATGTTCTTATGTAGAGAGTAACTGATGGAGAACAGATTATAATCCTTGCAAAGAAGGACACCTTCCCCCTAGGATTGGCTGTACCAGGCTGTGACTTGGAGGCACAGAACTAGTACCCACTTCTCTTAAGACTTTACACTGTCCAAAGAAGATGCTCTTCTATGTTGTCATGCTGAGATCCAGTCCCAGCTTTCCCACCAGCAAAGCCAGGCAAGTGGGTAGGGCAGTTGGTTCAGCCAAGCTGAATACAATGGCATGGTTGGTGTTGCACAGATGAAAGGGAAGAGGGAACACACATCTGCTAGCAGGGTGAACAGAACATCATTTATCTAAATAGAATAGAAATAAACAAAAACCTTGTAAAACAATCACAAAATTTACAAATAAATTGGTACAAAATAAATAGGAGAGACTGTACATCTACATCATTTGAATTATAAAATGCATTCATTAAGACAATCAGCTCAATCCTATACATGTCATTTGTGCTTATTTAGGTTTATGTACACAGCTCTGAATACTGTGTTCAGAAAACTTCACTGCTCAAATGCATGACCTGTACACTATGATACAGTGAATAAAGGCTGAGGAGGATCAAAGTCAGACACAAAGCAGGGTCTTACTTGAGGGCCAAGGCAATGTTGGCACTGGGCCTCAAAACCAAGAAAAGGCATATTAAGAGCCCAGATAGGCAGGCAGCTTCCATTATCCAGAAAGATGGATTATGCAATCTAAGGTAAGTGGAAGAAACCATTATCACTGTGGGGCCAGGCAAGTGACCTGCCTTGGGAGGAGGGAGGCCGTGGACTCACAGCTGTACTGTACCCTACATAGGGGAAGAGAGCCTGTCACCAAGAAACCACCTTGGAAATATTTCATGGAGGTACTTGAGAGGCCCTGCCCACAAGGTAGGAGACCTGCCTCCATCCTCATCCAAAACACTGGTCATAAGGAATACAGGTGGGCCCAACTAAAGGGGCTGGGGATGCTAGGGCCAACATAAAAGCAGCAACCTGTTTATAAAAAACAACACTACCCTCTCACCCGCCTTAAAGGACAGCAGAACCCTAGGATCCATGGATGAGGAAGCTTCAAGACAGACCTTGTCCTAGTCACAGACGAAGTACTAACAGGCATATGTACATAATAAATAATATAAAATAAAGCATATACATTTGTGGGTTTAAAGGACTCAAACAAGAAAAAATTGATAACTTCACCTTCACAGTAGATTCAGACTTGGGGAGTAATGATCAGAAGCGAGGCTGGGGCTCTCTGGGGAATGAGAATCCTAAGACCTCATTCTTCCCAACTTTGCTCTGCTCTAGAAGTCTGAGCCTCCAACAAAAAAGGCAGGCACCCAAGCCCCACCAGGCCCATTGGATAGTTCTCTTCAGGGTGAATCTGCAGCCAAATCTGGCCCCCAAAGAACTGCATCCTAAAAGTGAATCCATGTGGATCAGATGCCGGAAGGCGTCCTTCCAAGCGAGGCAAGACAATGCTCCCATTCTTCTCATTTGTTCACGGTCCCAATGGGCATTAAAACCTGAAAACCTTGTGTACTCAAGTCTTTCTTACAGTATGTGTTGGATCTGTGTACATATAAACCTTGGCATACAAACACCTAGAACTTTACTCTCTTGCAGCTAGAACCTTTGTTTCCATGATGCTTGAAGTTCAACCTGGTATTTCCCATCAAAAGATATTTAAAACAATTCTAGTAGAGATGATGTCAGTAGCTCTAGCATACAGAGAGAACGTGCTTACTTGAGCTGAGCCAACCACAGTGGTGTGAGAAGCAAAGAAGGTCCCCAGCCTAGGATGGTGGGAGGAAAGCTGCTCCCTACTCTATGCAGTTGCTGTGAACTGCCATCTCTTCTTCGCATCCGTAGGGTTGACCAGGGACTCTAGAATATGAATCTCCAGATAGGAAAGAAGGTAGCAAAAGGGAAATGGGCAAGTAAACCGTGATCGCAGACAGAAAGCTTGCAAGTGCTAGAGGAGGAAGGCCTACTTGTCACAGCCTTGCTAAGTAACAGCAGCAAGCTATTGGTGCACCACTCACCCCTCAAACGGAGGCAAATGAACCTCAACTTAGAAGTCTCTGAACGTCTCTCTCCTATTAACCAACTTGAACACCTAAGAA
Organism: Homo sapiens; assembly: GCF_000001405.40. Classification (NCBI taxonomy): domain Eukaryota; kingdom Metazoa; phylum Chordata; class Mammalia; order Primates; family Hominidae; genus Homo; species Homo sapiens. The sequence continues at coordinate 103,081,549 of NC_000010.11, read as the reverse complement.
ATAGGAAAAGATAAAGATTTGCAAATGACCCTGAGGTATAAAAATCCACTGAGAAGTTGCTCATTGATACATCAGAAAAATTTCTGAATCCCCAGATCACTTTCCTATTCAAACCCCTATATCCCTACTAAATTCTGGGTTAACCTACAACTCACCCAGATACCCTTGATGGACAGAAGCACCACTAGCCTAGAGCCCAGAATGGAACTACATGGCCCAGGACAAGAGCCAGTTTCCTCAGTAAGGAAGTAAGCAATGGCACCTCAGAGGCCTTCTGGACCCTAACCTACCAGCTCAGTCTTGTATTTCTCCTCAACCCTTTGCAAAGAAAAGCCCATATCTGGGCTCAAAAGCAGAGGGGAGTTTTTCCCATGCCACCAGGGAGCTTGGGTCATGCTACATAGCGTGCAAAGCCAGCCCTCCCTGGCCTGCTCTTGCTTGGAGCCCCAGAGAACAAGGTGAGCACCTTCCTGTGCCAGCCCGGGTGAGTCATCTGCCTAGGATCACCCCTGGGGAACCACAGGGGCAACTCTGGTTGCCCAGGAGACCTCACCTTCCTGGGCCTAGGCAAGGCGAGGATGGCTACAGATCCCCGGCTGGCCTTCAGATGACAGAGGTGGTTGTGTGTTTTTACTAGGCAGGACACAGACTTGATCAGCCAGGGCCTATACAGGTCTGCTCCTCAACCCAAAGAGAGAATTTGAGGGCAGAAGTTCATGGTACCTGCTTAGCTCAAATTCCTATTGCTCTATTTCCTAGGGAAAATGTATTTCTATTTGTATCTACCATTATTTTCCTAGGCTTGGAAAAGCTGGTCCTTTAGTGTACAGTGCTGACGACAGCACAGGTAAATATACTCACAGTTACTGTTCCGTATTAGTGTGAAGCTCTGCATTCAACATTTGCACTGTTCCTTGAAGTCACATTAGAAGATGGTAAGATGCCCCACTCCCTCCCACTTGGGGATGCCAACCACTTCAACATGGCATTGAACTCCCTGCAGGGAGTGAGGTGAGGAGGGAGGAAAGAACAGAGTTCAATGTAACCTTTCAAGTTCAAATTATGTAAGAATCAAGATTTAAGCCAGTTGATTAGCACCCCGATATCTGTGTAAGTCTTAAGATTTTGTTTTCCTAAGAGTTTAAATGTATGATTTTGAATTTGCCTGACGCATATGGGACAAGCAGTGAAGGGACGGAACCTCCAAACAGCAGGAGAAAAGCCCTCCTCATTTACAGAGCAGGCAGAGTGTCCCAGGACTATCTGGATGCTAGGGATTTAGTTTCAGAGGAACCGTGGGGCACCAGTGGCTGCTCAGGAGCAGGTGAGGCTCTGTCCCACCCAGAGAGGCCCCGTAAAGGAGGGTGAGGCCTCCCATCAGTATCCAGAACTCAGGGGTCTGCATCTGGTCCACTCGACCCACTCCCTTCCACACTTGAAAAGGTCACCGCCGCGGGAGGGCAGTCCAGCGGAGGTGCCAAAGAGCAGCCACATCGAGACCGCAGCTATTCCACGGTCTTTCTCTGCCGGACCCCACTGGCTTTGTAGAGATGAATGGCAGAGGCCTTCCAAGCCAAAGTCATTCTCCTGCTGCCCCAAAGAAGCAACAGCCCAGTGTTTCTCCTCCAACCATCTGAGAGGTTGGTTTCCTGAGGGAAAATGGGGCCTGGAGGAGGAATCTGGCCGCTCAGACATGAGTGTTGTTTGAAGGGTCCTAAGCTCTCCCCAAAGGAGATGTTAGCCTTCATTCCTTCAGGGACCTGACAGGAATTATTTTAGATTCCCTAATGTTATAAAATAGTGTGACTAACAGAAGGTAAAGAATAACAGAAAATGAATACGAACTTGGCGGCTAAAATTTCATCCTTTGGGAGCCTCACTGATGCCACTCCTGCCGAGCTCTTTTATAAGAGAATAATTTGCAAGAAGCCATCACACCGAGCACGTAAGACAGTATTAAGAAGTCTGCTTCTCCCTGAAGTCAGAGGCAGCAGCTGGCATCCCCTCTCCTCTCCCCAGACTCAGTTCTTTAGGATTTATAAAGGAACAGCAGAGCTCTGAAAAGGGCACCAACACACTAGCTCTGATTCCAGAGGCTCTCCCAGTAGCAAGGCATCCCCGAGAGACTGTGTGTGGAGAAGCAGACGTGAGCCCAGATAGGTTGACAGGGCAGAGTTCCTGAGGCCAGAGAAGCTGGGCTAGGCAGGCTTGGCTCCCCACAGCTCAGGGAAGGCCAGCACTGCGCAGACCCGAAGAGGGGGATAGATGCCCTCTTCCAGCATGGGCTACGCTTTGCTTTGTTGCAAGGACCCCTCATCTTTATACACTCATCACACTGGTGTTGTGCTCAGTGAGAGGCATCTTAAGAAACTGACTTTTGTATCTAGATGGCTCTGTTTAAAAAAAAGGATGCTTAGAGTGGGGTCCCCTCTAAGGTCAAGCTACGCGGTGGGGCTTCATCCCACGGGGGCAGGTTGCGTGCCAGTAGCAGGCCACTCAGCACCCTCGGGGGGTCCCTGTGACCCTCTACACCAAGTGAGATCAGTACTTCCCCCCACTAAGGGACACGGCACCTTCTGAGGAAGACACTCCAGGACTGGCATCCCAGAGGAAATACTGAGCCGGGCATGCACAACACCCGAGGCACCAAACTGCTCACCAGGCAGCCAGCCCGGCCCGCTGCTGTCTGCTCCTCAGCCACGCTCCCTGCCCCGCACACAGCCCAGCCGTGGCTGAACAGACTTCCTACCTGGAGTAGGGAGAAGAAAACTGCCACTTAGCCAAGGCCTCCCTTTGCGCAGTGAGCCTAAACAGAAAACGCTCTCTCCTTTCCTAGTGATGGATGCGGCGGGCACTGATAATCTTGTGTGTACACTGGTCAGTATGATTTCATTTCAGTGCATGAATAGCGCCAACAACCTGCACATATCCCTCGGGCTAACAAAACACAGATAAGCTATAGTTAAGAATTCAGTCACTCATATACCTCCTGACATAATTTCACTACATGATGAATTTGGTATTAAAATAAGACGGAGACACACATAAAATGGCCACAACACACATTTGGTTTCTGAATCCCTGTTTGGGGCCAAACTGACCCTGGCTGTACAGGCAGCCTCTCTGGCACAGGCCGCATCTGAGGCAGGAGGCACAGAGCCCTCAGGCAGGGGACACAGCCACTGCCGGGCCCCATGGGCCCAGGGACAGGGGAGGAGGGACAGTTGGCTCCCTGGGAGGAGGAGCAGGGGCTGGCAATCCCCAAAGTTCCCTCCTTTAAAAACACGGGTCTAGAAATGCCTTCTCGGCACACAGTACAGAGTGCAGCTAGAAGGTCCGACTCGTTTTCTGTTAAAGTATGTTCTAGTGGGAAGGGGAGGAGCTTGCACTCCACATCACGTGTTTACTGAAAAAGCCCTGTGGAAGATTTCCATTTGGCATCTGTGTAGCAGCATCTTGGGTTAACAAGAGCAAGGACCAGGGAGGTGGGCGACGACACTCTGTGAGCTTAGGCGCTGGGTCGGGGAGGAGGGCTGGCTGGCAGACCCCAGGCTGGAATGACAGGATGAAGTCAACTTGCCTCTTGCCAATGATAAACCATGGGTTTTAAATTCATTAACATTCATTTTGGTGATAAAAATTCCTTAGGGTGGGAGCAAAATCACATTCCCAAGCAAATGTTAAATCTTCCTGAGGGAAAGGGGTACAGTTAAACATTAAATTCTCAAAATACCACTGAGCTCAGAGAGGTGATTGCAGGTCCCTCTGAGGCAGGCTACACCCCACAGTGATGACAGACTTGGCAGGTTCTGCAGTAACACGGTCTTCTTCATTCAGCCAGCGAGATCGACGGTGATGCCCACTGGGGCACAGAGGAAGGGTGCCCCTCGCTGGGAGGGCCAAGGAAGGCTACCGGAGGGGCAAGTCCAGCCCATCAGGGTCACATCATGGGATCACAGCAGAGTTCAGACAGAACAACTTAAAACTCTGCAAAAGACACTTTAAAAACATGATCTCTTGAAAAAATAAATCGCAACAATTTTCAACTTCATGCAAATCGAGGGCAGAGGAGTGTGAATAATGATAAAAGGGAGAGCTGAAAAAATAAACATGATTCTATTTGGGCGGAATCAGTTCATCTCCAAAATCTTGAACGCCATGCCCCGGCTGCCAACTTCACATCTCTCGTTTCCATTCCTCCCTCACTGTCCTCCTCCGCGGCTCCTGGGAAGGGCACAAGGTCTTTGGTCTCAGGATGTTGCAGGGTACAGCATGGCGGACAAGCTCACACCAGTGAAGTCATGGGCAGACAGGGCCGGGCCCTCGGGACTGGGCGGGTGCGGGCCTGGGCGGGTGCAGCCAGCGCGGCCTAGATGGCGCCTTCGTTGTGCAGGCTGTGGTTGGCCTTACTGTGCGTCACACAGTTCTGTTCGTTGAGCAGGTTGGCTGTCTCGTCTGGCAACCCGTCATGCAGCTCCGTAAGAGTCAATTCGATTTTAGTGTTTTCACTGTCTGAAGACTGGGGGGTTTTGTCCATCCGGGATGCCATCAAGGCATTTTGGTATTGCTGTCTTGAGATCTGGGGCCAGAAGATGGCACAGAAAACAAACCAAGATAATGCTTATTTTTAGGTTCTCTGATCTCCACACGTTCAATCCCGACAGGCCCACAGCAGCCTCTCTAGGAGAAAATCACACTTGAGCGCAGTGAGCCACTTTGTCAAGTTCAAGTTGACTTTGGTGAACAAGTCAGTTCTTACTGATGTAACCCACTTCCAAATATTGTCTCAAAATTTTAGGGACTAGAAAATAGAGACTGGTTTCTCCCAGCTAAAGCTGGCTTGTTCTCCAAAAGTCATCTTTATTTCAGACCAAGATGAGTACTCTGACTGCCCGGCAGAAGACAGAGGTGGAGCCTTCCCCGCAACCCTCCAAGTCTCCTGACCTCAGCCTTCCCAGGGCCAGGCAGGGAGCCACGCACCCAGGAGCTCTTTGAAAAGGGGCTACTCTTTTTTCCAGGATCTCTGGCTCCCATTCCCTGAAAGAGCCACATTTGATTTGGCAGCTCATTGGATAGAACCAAGAAGATCAACGTTTTTCTCAACCTGAGGCTTGGGCACAGCAGACGAAGACAGGGTGTGTAGTTGAGAATGGAAGGCAGGGCACCCACAAAGTGACAAAGGGAGAGTTCTGAGGAGGGCAAGGAGCAAAACAGACAATTTGCCAGGGAAGTTGACAACTAACTGCCAGGTCCAGCCACACTGCACTCACGTCTCTCACCTTAACAAACTGCAGATCCGAAAGGGCTCGCACCGAGTAATCGGGGATGTAGACTTGGAGGAGCGAAGAATTGAGCTGGTTATTGCTGCTCCCCAGTGTTGGTGTGACGGCGTCAATCCGGTCGCTTCGACTGAGAGAGTCTGAGTGATTCAAGCCACATGGGCGAGGAGGGGACTTATTTTCACCTGGAAAAGGAGGGAAAAATCCAACTGTTTAAGTGAAGTAGATACAGCCAATAAAACCAGTTATTTTCCAAAATAAAAAATACTAAATGCCACACAAGCCCAGCCAACTGATTCCAGATGTCTCGGCCGCACAGTATGCCAGAGGGTATCCTATGTATGGCGGACTCGCGGGCTTCCCTGTACCAGCAGGCTATGTCCATCTCAGCTGCTTGGCCCTGTGTATGTGACAGACACAATCCTCCCAAGTCTCTAACAGCAAAAACCCTGCACTGTGTGCCTTCGTGAGGAACATTCCCGGGTACTGTGAGATGCTCAGGCGAGGTTGGGCCAAGGCCCAACATGCAGAAGCTGCTTGATATCAAAGGTAGGCTACGCAGAGGACAGCACTTCATTACTTTGCCCGAAGTAAAAACAAGGGACTCTTGAGAATATTAATAAATCAGTATGTATTATAAAGGGATCAAAATACTCATCTGCTCATACCATACCCTCTAGCTGAACCTATTATCTTCGTCTCTGACCCCAGTAAAATCCCCCATCAGGTAGCCCGAGGATGTCTCAGGAATTCAAGAAAGCTAGAAGACACCAAATCCCTAACGAGTTTGAGTAAGTTATCTTGGGTGCTAGAGTCTTCAGTGAGGTTTTGTGGCATCCTTCCCTTAAAACAAAGTGGAAGGAGCGCCAGTCTGGGTGTTGTTGCTCTTAAATGGAAGTTCACTGTGGCTTCTAATGGAAACGTCATTAAAAAATGCCCCCTCATCAAGGCTTCTTTCACTTTTTGCTTTTCTAACCAACTACTGCAGATAGGAACTGTGTGCCCACCCTGGCCAGGTCTTGAATTGCATCGTATCACAGGATTGGAGGGGACCATTTCTCCCATCTGACGCTTGGCTCCTCTTTGCAATGTGTCCCTGACAGCTGCCCTCGGAGGAGCTGGCCCTTGGCTGCACCTGCCCTTCGGCTATCGGGAAAGTTTGTCATTGTGCCCATCCAAATGTGCCTCCCTAACTTCAGATGACAGCCTCACTTCCTCTGTGTGGAGCTTTAGTACCTTTTCTTTCTCTGCTATTCAAAATAGCCCTTAGATAGGTGAAGAGAGTGATGGTCTCCTTAAGTCTCTTCTCTAGGATAAATCTTGCAGCTGTTCATCTCACCCCATCACCGTCTTAAAACAGGACACCCGGAACAAAACATAAGTACTCCAAGAATCTCCAGTGATGAGTTCACTTTCTCCTAATATTTTTTTCTTTTTGAGACAGGGTCTTGCTTTATCACCCAGGCTGGAATGCAGTAGTGTGATCTTGGCTCACTGTAGCTTCAACCTCCTGGGCTCAGGGGATCCTCCTACCTCAGCCTCCTGAGTAGCTGGGACTATAGGCATGTGCCACCATGCCCAGCTAAGTTTTGTATTTTTGGTATAGATGGGGTTTTTGCCATGTTGCCCAGCCTGGTCTTGAACTCCTGAGCTCAAGTGATCTTGTCGCCTCAGCCTCCCAAAGTGCTGGGATTACAGGCGTGAGCCACCGTGCCTGGCCACTTTCTCCTAAAATTTTTGTATCTTAACTCTCCCTCCAATTGTCAAGTCATGAACTAATTTTCCATTGTTAGACAAATTAAATTCAGAGTGGCAGTTCCCCTTGTTTCCATTTCTACGAGAACAAGGCAAATTAACAATTTATCAGACTTATATTTAGCAGAATGGATCTTTGAATAGGTGACCCAATTTTGCTAAGTTTCAGATTCTTTATCTGTAAAATGTGGATGATGGTACCGGGTACCCTTTTGTTTTGTTTTGTTTTGAGACAGTCTCCCTCTCGTCACCCAGGCTGGAATGCAGTGGTGCGATCTTGGCCCACTGCAACCTCCACCTCCCAGGTTCAAGCAATTCTCTTGCCTCAGCCTCCTGAGTAGCTGGGATTATAGGCATGCACCACCACGCCCAGCTAATTTTTGTATTTTTAGTAGAGACGGGGTTTCACCGTGTTGACTAAGCTGGTCTTGAACTCCTGACCTCAGGTGATCCACCTGCCTTGGCCTCCCAAAGTGCTGGGATTACAGGTGTGAGTGCTGCACCCAGCCCTGGTACCCATCTTATAAGGTCTGACAAGGATTAAAAATAAGATCACGTACAAAGTGCTTATCTGACAACAGTAGGTACCCCATAAGTGAGCCCAGCTGGCATTTTCTATTCTTTTTTTTTTTTTTTTTTTTTTTTTTGAGACGGAGTCTCGCTCTGTCGCCCAGGCCAGACTGCGGACTGCAGTGGCGGAATCTCGGCTCACTGCAAGTTCCGCTTCCCGGGTTCACGCCATTCTCCTGCCTCAGCCTCCCGAGTAGCTGGGACTACAGGCGCCCACCACAGCGCCCGGCTAATTTTTTTGTATTTTTAGTAGAGACGGGGTTTCACCTTGTTAGCCAGGATGGTCTCGATCTCCTGACCTCATGATCCACCCGCCTCGGCCTCCGAAAGTGCTGGGATTACAGGCGTGAGCCACCGCGCCCGGCCCATTTTCTATTCTTTCTTGTCAGCTTCCTCCCGGACCTTGCCACCATGCGCCCACCCCATGACCAAGGTTTTGCACATGCAGTGACTTCACCCAGGGTGACAGATTAGTCCTTTTTTTGAAACGAGATCTTACTGTATCCCTGCGCTTTGGCCACCAATCTCATCACCATTTCTAGATACTTTTGAAACAGTGTTTGTGTGTTAACATTTGAAGGCTATAAAAACAAAACATTTCAAGGTACTTTGCTTGTCTGAGGCCTCCTGCAGTAATTCTGAGTCTCCTGTTTTCTCCTGAGAAGGATTTTAGGGGGATTTCTCTGATCTTCCAAAGCATCTAGACTCAGTCTGCTTCCTCTCGCCCCACTGCCCTCTGTTTGTGTGAGTGGACCCTCTCCTCTGCCAAGAGCCTGATGCCTGGCCCCATGGCCACCCTCTGGAGGAGCAGGCCCTGCCTTCCATGTCCCTTTCAACAGCTCGACGGGCGCCAGCGCGAGCAGAGGCGCTGCAACCCTGAGCTTGAGCCCACTGCTCAGAGCCTCAAGTGCCATCTTACTTAAAATATTAATAATAATAAAGGTCCACATTCTTCATCTGAAGCCCTTGGGGGCCAGAGAGATGTTTGAATTCTGGAAGGTGATACAGTCCATACACCCCATGTTACATACACCACCAGCAATTCTGGGGCGGCCCTAGTCCGCAAACACATTAACTTTTGGTGAGACGGACAAGGATTCACAACAAGTAGAGCTAAAACCGTAGTGGCTGACCCCCAGTTCAGGTCAGGTTTTGTGGCCAAGTTTATGTTCCAAAGTTTTATGATAGTAATTATGGAAAAAACTCCGAAGATAAATATAGGAAAATTGTGTTACCAACTAGGAAATCCCAGCAATTTTAATTAAAGACAGATTAAGCCTTTTCCCTTCTTTTTAATAGCTGGACGTATTAGTTAGGACTGGCCACCCTCTCCTGCAGGGCAGTCGGCAGCAGCGGGATAGGAATGTGCCGGGTGTTCACTCCAAAACAAAGTCAGGTGGCAGGGAGAAGCGGGGTCGCCTGCCTGGTGGCGGGGAGAAGCGGGGTCGCCTGCCTGGTGGCGGGGAGAAGCGGGGTCGCCTGCCTGGTGGTGGGGAGAAGCGGGGTCGCCTGCCTGGTGGTGGGGAGAAGTAGGGCCGCCTGCCTGGCGGACAGCAGAGGCGCTCGCGCTCCACTCACACGGATGTGGGAAGAACCCAGGATACAAGAATGTCGTGCGCCTGTGTGGATGGGGTATTTTTCTTGCTTACCAAGAAGAGTTCACAGCTCTCAGGCCTTTGGCAAATGTGCTCTATAAAAGCGGCCTCAGGGTTTGAGGCCCTCAGGGCCTCTGCAAACTCCAGATACCATGACTTGCTGAGGTCAGAATAAGAACCAAGAACAGTCCCCTACTGCTGACCTGAAAATTCAAGGTCAGCCACAAGGGCAGGGAGCGCTAACAATCCACACCAGAGCCGCCCTCCCTTTCCATGCTTCATGGCTACTCCTGTGCATGGTGACTTTGCGCTGTTCTGGACTCTCCACCTGCTGTGGCTTATGCTTTCCTGGAGAGCTCGCTATAAAGTTACGGAACCTTAGAGCTTTAGCGCTCCAAGGAACACTGAAAACAGCCTGTCCAGGTAAAGGGAGCAGACCCAGCCAGCCAGGCGTGATGGGGGGCAAGGAAGGCAATCAGGAGAATTACGGAAAGGAAGCATGCAGAATTACCTGGAGAACCTGCTGCTAACAACTCTGTTCTGCTGACAACAAAGGTACGAGACAGGGACAAAGGAACTGAAAAATGGAGAAAAACAGGGTGAGATCGCATCAAAAGGCAAGAACAGAGATCTCTGTAATCAAGGGACAGGAGGGGATACTTGTTCTATCAATACAATATGAGCATTCAGTTGCAGAAATGCAAGTCGGTATGGTATTATAGAAACAAAACAACACACACTGCTTTCCAGGAAGAGGAATACAGGGAGGCCAAGATCAGGAGAAATCCTACCCACGAGTTTGTTACTAACCAAGAAATCTCTTAAGCCACTAATAACCAATTGGGGTTGATAGCTCGAAACCTGCTACTCTTAAGGGCTTAAATCACCAGTAGCTGCGCAAAAGGGGAGCTCGATTAGTCAACTGCCCTAAGAGCCTGACTCAAACCGCTGGCGCCTGCACCCCAATACTCACTCACTGCACAGCCTACAGCTCCCCATCTGTGCAACTTTAGCTCATTTTAATTTTGACCTGAAGCTTTGAATTGTTAGGAACGCTTTCAAATCTCAACATAGAGGAAAGTAAGTAAAGAACGCATACACAGATTTCCTGGGAATGCAGACCAGAGTCATCCTCATCACCACTTACTCACTGCCCCATCAGATTGAAAAGTCTCAGAACATGAAATGTTGAGCAGGAATCACACCTCTGGGGCAGGTAGGTCTTAAGAACTGATTATTGTCGGTTTTCCCCAGACAGCGAACATCAATAAACAGAAACTTTACCTTGTGATATCTGTACTAACTGTGCCTCTCAATGAATATACAAAATCCCAAATCTTAGTTGTAAAGTTAAGTAAAATACTAGGCTTTGGAATAGGTAAGATGCCATTAATGAAATTCCCCCCCCGCTTTTTTAGTTTCAGATGGATTCTCGCTCTGTCACCTGGGCTGGAGTACAGTGGCGTGCTCTGCGCTCACTGCAACCTCCACCTCCCAGGTTCAAGCGATTCTCCTGCCTCAGCCTCCCAAGTAGCTAGGACTACAGGCATGTGCCACCATGCCTGGCTAATTTTTGTATTTTTAGTAGAGATGGGGTTTCACCATGTTGGCCAGGCTGGTCTTGAACTCCTGACCTCAAGTGATTTCCCCTTCCTTTTTAGCAGTTCCAGACTCAGAGGGCTGCTCACCACATCCTCTTCTAAATGAGACTTGTCCTTCCATTACAGTTCAACAGGAACTGCGCTGGTATTTATGTTTCAGGAACCAGTAATTGGTAGAAATGTACAACCCACTCCTAGTTTATTTTCAAAGCCATCTTATAAATCTGGTTCTGCTCACCTGGGGCTAATTTGAGGTCAGCTGCCAAAACTCATCACAGTCAGGCACCTTTCTACTATACTCACATTTCCCCTCATGCTTTCAAGGGGACGAAGCACTTGTGTGAGGATCACTGCATCCTAGTCTTCTAATAATCACATGAGCTGGCATCATTATATCCTCTTAACAAGGATGAGACCAAGGGCCTCGCTCAACACCACACGACCTGCCTGTGATGGAACTGAAGCTATAACCCAGGTCTTCTCATGCCTAGGTAAGAGCTACCCTGTCTCTCTCACTAAGCAGTGAAAACGAAGGTCACCTTCAAGTTTACAACAGAAACCTACTCATTAAGTAGGGTCAGACAGGCCCATGTTCACAGTGGGTGTTGGGTGTTGGTCAGCAGTTGACAGTGGGGACACTGTGCCTCCAGGACTCAAACACCTGCACAAGGATAGTGAGAAGGGGCATTTGGGGCAGAGGAAGTTTAGAAATACGACAGAATTCTTGACGTCTCAGTGACTTTCTAACTGAAACATCTTTGGGTTCCTCAGACTACTGGGTGGAGCAGTCGATGAAGACCAATGTCACAGAAACAGTCTTGTCTGGAGGCATCTCCTCCCCTTGGAAGCCTGGCTTTCAGGAATTCTTTTAAAATGGGTTATTTTTAGGTTTGAGGTTTGTAAATGAAGTTTCCTAAAACCGCACATCATTTGGTGTTTTTGCCACAAGGTGGCACCCCAGCATCTCTGTCGACCTGCCCGACCTGTTCGGGCTGCCTCAGGTATTAATAGCAAGCGTGTGCGCTCTGCCAAGCAGCGCCATCCCCAGAGGCCAGCAAGCCACCAGGTATCTATCTGTGTTCATGTCTGAGAGCACATCTGGCTGGCTGGCATCTTGGAATCTTGTGTTCAGAGAACTGTCAATCCCCCATGGCCACCCACCCTTAACTGGCTGACTCGCCTGGCCAGCTCTCCAGACAAGAGCCGGCCACAGGCAGTCAGTATATAGCAACAACCTCATTCGTCCTCAGAAACATGCAAATTAAGACCTCCCAAACTGCTAACATTTAACAGACTCAACAATACCAAGTGCTGGATGCAGAGCAACCGGAATTCACACAGCACAGGTTGGGAGTAAGCAGGTACATCAGAGCTGAATCCAGAGGCACACCCTCTGACACGTAGCGCCAGTCCCAGGTGCGCACCCAGCAGAAATGGACACACACGTTCACCCAAAGACATGTATAAGAATGTTCAAAGCCACATATTGACAGTAGCCCCAGACGGGACTACCCCAATGTCTATCAGCAATGAAAGGACACGTGCACTGCTGTGTATTCACACAGTGGCATACTAGACATGGCAAGAGGAAATAGTGTGATCACACACAGCAACAGAGGTGATGTGACAAGCACGACACAGAGAAAGGAGCCAGCCTCTGTGTAACACACACAGTGTCTCCATTTATGCAAAGTTCAAAAGCAGGCAGAATTAGGCTGAGAAGTCAAGAAAGCAGTTACTCTGGGGGACCAGTGACTAAAAGGGAGCGTGATGGGAGTTCTGTGGGGCTGGTAACGTCCTGTCTCTTGGTCTGGGTGCCACTTTACACGTGTTCAGTTTGTGAGAATTCATGGAGGTATATACTTAGGATTTGTGCAGATTTTCTGCATATATGATATACTTCAAAAAAAAAGTTCAAAAAGGAAGTGAATGGGGTCAGCTGGCAGATACAGAAAGCAAGATGAAAGGAGAGGGGCCTTACTTCCTAACACGTGGTCCTGCCCTATGCGGCTGGGAACCAAACATACCTGGAGAGGCTGTCAGGGCCATCACGCCATAGTATGAGAAGGCGCTCGCTTCAAACTTCATACCTTCTTTCCCAGCTTCAACTTCCACTTTCCCCTGTGGAGAGAAAAGGCAGGTATTTTCAGTCCAGTTGCAAAAGCCTACTGGCACACTCTGTACAATATTTGGTCCTTCCTTAGATTTTTGTCTGATTTCTTTTCCCAACACTATCGAGGGAGTAAAGCTTCAGCTCATCTTTCCCACTGAGAGGAGGGGGCTCATTCGCTTTAAATATGAAAACTGGATTTGGCTGATTATACAGAGGTGACAGTGTAAATGTGATGTTTATTTTTAAAATAATTCTTAAATTAAAAACTTAAAATACAGTTTTCTTTGTAGAGATAGATCTCCTTATGTTACCTAGGCTGGTTTTGAACTCTTGAGCTCAAATAATCCTGTCTCACTGTCTTGGCCTCCCAAAGTGCTCCCAAAGGGATTACAGGCGTGAATCACTGTGCCTGGCCTGTGATGTTTACTTTCTGTGAGTCCACTTAGTATCTTCCCAATATCTGTAGTTCTTGGATTCTTCAGGAGGCCTCCAGCAATGGAAAGGTGGTGCTCTTGCTCCATCAGTGGGACCAGCACCAAGATGATGCTGGGCGATGGCTGCCTAGGCTGTCCAAGGAGCCAGGGCCGGGGCTGAATCAGGGTCAAGGGCCGACATGGTTTGTGGCCATGGAACAGAGAGGAATAACCTGGGTAGAACCCACTCTGTCTCACGAGCACGGTGTCCTGACCACTGAGCAGACCCCTCGCAGGCTGGTAACTTGCTGTCTACACTCCTGGAGGCACTTAAATTCCATGGGATTTTTCTCCTGTCTTGGAAAAGCAGTTTGAAGAAAGTCTCCTTCCATTAAAATAAAGTTCCCCTCTCCTCCCCCTAAGATTTTCCCTTTTCTTCACTTTCGCTAACTTGTCGACAACTTCTTCTTTACCTTGATGAGTTCTTTTGGGATAGAGTGTCTTATTCATCCCTGGAACCCCAGGGTCCACTATAATCCCTGCATGGTAGGTGCTCATTGTGTTTTCTGGGCTACTGAAATGCTCTAAGTCAGTTTCACTTCTAGTTTCTCAGGCCAAGGGTCAGAAATGCTCTTGTTCCCATTACTACAACTGTGTGAGGCATCCTTTACAATGGGTGAACAAAAATTAAGATGCCATGTATTGAAAAGGAATTGTGCTAACACATCAGTGTTTTATGAATTCATTTAATGTGCACAACTCGATGCAGCAGACAAATCATTGCCCTCCTACAAATCAGGGGAGGGGGGATCAGCAAGATTTAGTAAAGAACAAGCTCTTCATCAGGATGCTAGGAGGCTGGGAGCAGTGGCTCATACCTGTAACCTCAGCACTTTGGGAGACCGAGGCAGGCAAATTGCTTGAGCCCAGGAGTTCAAGATCAGCCTGGGCAACACAGCAAGACCCCATCTCTACAAAAATTAGCCAGGCATGGTGGCGTGCACCTGTAGTCTCAGCTACTTGGGAGGATTACTTGAACCTGTGAGGCAGTGAGCCATGATCACGCCACTGCACTCCAGCCCAGGCCACAGAATGAGACCCTGTCTCAAAGAAAAAAAAAAAAAAAAGATGCTATGCCACCTGATGCAAACTATCATTTTATATTAAGTTTCCAATTACAAAAGGTCTTTCTTGGGCCATAGCTTCAGGAGAAGAACTACTGCCTCTCAGGTTTTCCTGCTCAACAGAAATGACAGTTCACCAGTCCCTAGCCAATTATCTTGCCGTATAAACTTACAACTCCACCCATGATATAAAATCCACCTGCAAATGGGCAGGTGCTACAAACCTTCCCCACACAGGCAGGGCCCTAGAGATGACACTGTGGAGTCGGAGATGACAGCCGTCATCCCCCACGGGCTGACCATGCAGCAGGGACAGGCGAGCACATGAGAAGCAACAGCCCACATGGCACACAAGAGCTCAGCATGAGGAAAAAGACATTGGGAACAGAAGCTCCCAGAAAAATCTTACTTCTTGTTCTTATATAAAGACAAATCGCATACAGGAAGGAAAAGCTGTGGATGACCAAGAGAAAGGGACAGCATGAGGGAGGCCCAGGGTGGCGGCAGCGGCCGGCCAGGCTCTGTGTTTGCAGGGAGGAGTGAGGGCACATCTGGAAGGCAGCTGGGTGAGCAGATCCCCAGGCAATGGGCTGGCAGGGTTGGGTCCTGGGTGGAGGAACAGAGTCTGCTTCCACGAGGGTGGCAGCCACAGGCCTGGGGAGGGAGTGCGGTAGAGAAGCTATTGATAAGGGACCAGCATGATTCGAAGAAGCCATCAGGGAGACAGGAGTATAGGAACCAGAGGCCCATTGGGAGGGGCTGAGGAACAGGGACACCACGAGTGGGAGAAAGAAGGTCTGGAGAGAGGTCAGGGCTGGAGATGGGGACCTGAGACAGGAAAAGGACCGAAGCTCAGCCCGTGACTGAGAGCAGCAGGGAAAACTGAAACCATAACAGGACCATGGCAGAGCCTGAAAAGGGAGGCCCAGACCACGGCACCATGGCAGAAGAGCAGGGGTCAGGAGAATTCCAGGGGCAAGGACGGTCAGGGCCTCAAGGTGCTCAAGGCCGCCGGGAGCAATCACTGACCACAGGCCGCTGGGGGCTGCAGGAGGCTTTCCTACCCTACAGAGGAATCAGTGGGAGGACAGTGGCCCCGGCAGGAGAGGGACAGGCAGCAGGACATCCCCATCTGTGGGGCCATGGGAAGGCTGTTGAAAATTCAGGACTCTGGGTGCTGGGGAAGTCCCTGAAGTAGGGTCCCTTCAAAGAGGAGGGGAGGAACAAGGTTCAGAGATAGCAACACACACAGGAGTAGCCACGGTACATGTCTCCCCAATTCCGTGTCCATCTCTTCCTGAACTGACATGTATGTGCTGGCTGCAAATGTCTGCTTTGTAGTTTGTAACCTCAAGAGTGGCTGCGTGACCAGCTCTGAGCCTGACCCTCCATGCAGGAAATCAGGAGGAAGAGTCAAATGCAGTGGAGCCTCATGGTGACTTCCGTTCCTGGGTGTCTCCAGTTATCTGGAGCATTTGTTGTACAAGTTACAGGGCCTTTTGTGTTGTGTCCCTGCAGACAGATGCCAGGTCACTATTCTTTGGAGATAAAACTGTCAGGACTAGTAGGGCAGGCACAACCAAAACAAGACTGTAAAACAGAAAACTGTACATCTTTTTTTCTATTTAATCCATAGGTTCACACCATCTGTCTCTTGGAAGCGTGCGGTGGTTCCACTCTGAGGCCTGAAGCTCTGCCTTGCACACTCAAAGCAGAGATTCCCAGATTACCGACTCTGGCTCCGGCCCTCGGGCATTCTCATTTAACAATATAGGTGAATCTGGGCATCAGGATTTTATTTAAAAAGATTTCCGGGTGATTCTAGCAAGCCACAAACTTTGGGAATCATTGCTTTAAGGCTCTGTCTGTGAACAATGGCCCCAGCCCTGGAAACTGTGTGCCCTGGCCTCTCAAGGGACTCCCTCAAAGGCAGTGTAGCTGAGTCAACTGATTAAGCAAGGGCGGCTGCAAGACTCAAAACTCCAGACCACTGCCATTCCAGCTGATGCTTCCTCTGTCCTTCCAGACAGGATCCCAGGCAGGGGAGGATCTGCCATCTTCCCTCTGGACTCCATCTAGTTGAGATTCACTGCTGCGGGGTGGATATGCTAAGCTCAGTGATTCCTAGACATTTCCATCCTAACGGCCAGTAAGACGCACCTCTACAGAGACAGATACAGGGAAAGATACGGGGTTGCCAAATTTTTTTTTCATAAAGATGGTTTTAAAATTTATTTTTTCAGACAGGGTCTTACTCTGTCACCCAGGCTGGAGTGCAGTGGTGCAATCATGGCTCACCGCACCGGTGGTGAGAATCCTGCAGCCTTGAACTCCTGAGCTCAAGCAACACTTGTAACTCAGCCTCCTGAGTAGCTGGCACTACAGGTGTGCACCACCATGCCCAGCTAATTTTTCTATTTTTTTATAGAGACGGGGTCTCACTATGTTTCCCAGGCTGGTCTTGAACTCCTGGCTGATCCTCCCTCCTCAGTCTCCCAAAGTGTTGGGATTACAGGCATGAGCCACCGTGCCAGGGCAAAATAAAGGTATTTATTTTAAAAAACACAACTATTGCCAGGCACAGTAGCTCACACCTGTAATCCCAGTTACTGGGGAGGCTGAGGCAGGAGGATTGCTTGAGGTCAGGAGCTCAAGACTAGCCTGGGCGAAATAGTGAGGCACTGTCTCAAAACAAAACAAAACAAAAAAAACAGCTATCTACTGTTACCATCATTTCATAAAAGACCAGACATTTAACCCCTCAAATTTAGAAAATATGTCATTTCAGAGTAATAGGTCTTCAAACTGAATACACATAGCTTTATGAAAAGCTCATCGCAACTGTCTTTATTTTCTCATTCTGCCTCAAACTGGCAAAAACTTTGTTAAAATATCTCAGCACTTAGGAAGAGTTATCACATTAGAGTAATTTTACTTCATATAAAGTTGCAACAGATTAAAGGGTACCTGCAGTTCTTTCAGTTCTATAATAGCATTCTATGACTCTACAATTCCAAGAGTTGTCAAACCTGCCCACCCCACTACATCCCTCTCTATAGGATTTAAGCTTTTCTGGCAGGCAAGTTTTAAAAACATCCAGTAAACGTATCTTATTCATTTACGTGTTAGTGGTTCCAAAAAACATTCATTTTCAAATAACCTACCAGTATACAAAAATTAGGGCACAGGAGGAGATGGCTTACCTGGTTCGAGATTAATTAGGTGTCCTTTCAGATAACAACTTTTTCCATATAAGGAAGCTACATATTGATTTTACTTTTGAAACATCTGTAAGTTTACTCTAGTCGAGCATATCACCAAAAAAACCAGGACAGGACATGATGAATTCCAAGAATTCCCAGAGGGAAGTAGGGCTTCATGCTTATAAACTGACGAACTTGGAAGAAGGACTCACTGGACCAGCAAAGTTGGCTTCCTGAGTAAAGCATCTCTCACAGCATCCTGCCCTTCTTTGGACAAAGGTATCAGATAACCTCTTCTCAAAGTTTCTAAGTGTCCACAACCTACTCAACAGCCCGTGCCATGTCTGGCTTCAAAGTGGAATCCTAAACTTCCCTAGCCAGCGTGGGCACAACCACACTGGTGCAAACAGTGCCAACCCGGGATCAGTGCATGCGGCTCAAGGCGGGACTTCCCCATGCGCCACATGCTGAGCAGCCACCTGGTCTCCCGCTCACCTTCTTGTTTTTTAAATCGCCATCACAAAGTATTCAGGGGGGCCTGACTCCTGAAAGCAGGTGATGAGATGCCAGGGGCACAAAGACTGGGTTGTATTAACCGAGAGAGGAGTTGCAGCACCCAAAGATGCCCACTCAAAGCCTGGGGAGACCTGGTGCCCCGACACTCTCTAGCAATGCTTTCAATCTGGAGTCTGCAATGGAATGGCCAGACTCAGCAAGTTTGCTAAATTTACTTTTCTAAATATTGATGGTCAAAATTAATTTAGACACATTTTGGACCATCTGACTGACCATTTTCCAATCAAGTGCTACCACCAGATGTCAGTGCCAGCACCCGCCTTGGCCACTCTGGTGCCACGTGGTATTACTTGGAGCATCACAGCTAAGCCTTGCTACTGTCAACTGGGAGCTTGCTGGTAACGCAGCATCTCAGACTCCACCCCAGACCTACTGAAGCATTCGTTTCATACTGAAGGATCTGCCGTTCAACAAGACCCACAGGTGAATCCTCTGCACATTAAATTCTGAGAAGCACTGAGCTAATGAGTAGGGAACAGAGTGGGATTTAACAGGGAAGTAATTCAGTCACACCCAGTGGAGGCCAAATAATAGCACGACACACTGTAGAAACATTCAAAGTAGCTCAAATTTGGCAAAGGGCTGGAGGGTGCAGACATCTTGGACACACAAAGGCCCAGGTGTGCTGAATGCAAGGGAGCTCGCAGGGCAGCAGCCCTCCACAGCCCTGGGATGGGGCCCTTCCAGGTCAGCCAAATATCATCTACACATTGAGAATTTATTCATTTGATAGTTTGTTTTGGTTTATAGTTATATATAAGAGTTCTAAGCAAAGGAATCTTATACCTAGTCAATTTTATACTGACATATACTTAAGTAGTATAATTTTAAAAGTTTCAATGCTGGGTGTCCAAGTAAAATGGGTGTGTTATCTGTGCTTGACTCAAGATTAAGGATCCGTTACTGCACTAGGGTACACAGACCGTGCAACTTAAAAACCCATGAGGAGGTTGCTATTAAAAGCTTAAATTCTCCTTCCTATCAGGTGAAGGGTGAAGGCATACTAAGTATTTCAAGGGCTGTATAAATTTTAAGATGCCACCTGCCATACTCCACAAGACGACCCCCGTTTATAGGGAAAAGTCCCTTTTGAATCCATGTCAGATGCTCTAAAAAAGAGTGTGGATGGGCCGGGCACATGCTTTCCACTTCTTCCATTACTACATAGTGATCCCTCATATTATCATCTCACTTTGATTAGCTAGACGTGAACTGTTTCTACTACTTTATAGTTAATAGATTTGCTATAAATATATTTGCATAGATAGCTTTGTAAAACAATGATTTAGATGGGAGGCTACCAGTTTAGGATATGATTTATTGTACTTTTTCTTTTTTGTCTACCATTCAGTTAAAAATTTGAGGGGATGGGGCATCTGTTTCCTAAAATCAGTAATAGATGCTTAACTTTGTCAACTGTCTGACATCTACTGATATAAATATCATTTTTTTTTACTACTTTCCCAATTAATGTGACATATTTTGGTTTTGTTGTTCTTAAACTAGAACTGCATTCCTAAAATAAACCCAGTTCAGTCACAGCCACAAGTCAGTAACCCTGGGTGTGTGTTGCTATCTGCTACCATTTTATTTAGAAATTCTACATCAATGTTAACAAGTGAGATTGGCTTATATTATCAGATTTTAGGATTAAGCCCATATTAGCCTTAAAGAATGCAATTGACTATCATGCCATCTTGTTCTATAATATAGAAATTGTGAGTTTTTTGAAGATTGACTATTTTTTCTAGCAAATCCTTTTATTCTAGCTGCTTTTATAGGAGAGGAGAGAACTTTTTTTTCCTTTTATCACATCAATTATGCCAACAGAACACTGACTCTGTTCATATTTTCAAAGAGCCAAATCTTGATTGTGTTTGTTGGTTATAAGGCATTTTCAATTTTAAATTATTATTATATATATTTTTTTGAGACAGAGTCTCGCTCTGTTGCCCAGGCTGGAGCAGTGGCGCGATCTCAGCTCACTGCAACCTCCGCCTTCTGGGTTCAAGTGATTCTCGGGCCTCAGCTTCCTGAGTAGCTGGGACCACAGGCGCACACCAACACGTCTAGCTAAGTTTTGCATTTTTAGTAGAGACGGGGTTTCACCATGTTGGCCAGGCTGGTCTCAAACTCCTGACCTCAAGTGATCCGCCTGCCTCAGCCTCCCAAAGTGCTGGACAGGTGCAAGCCACCACGCCCGGCCAGTTTATATAACAATCTTTATTAATTTGTTCTTTTTTAGTTTGCTGCTTTGCTCTTTTTCCACATAATTATAGTTCTATTTTCTTTTTAAGTACGTAAGGAATAAGATTTCTTAAAACTGACAGACCACCTCTATGGTATTTACATTATTTAATAATAGACTTTTATGGTAATACTATATATATTTTATTACATTCTATATGTTTTCTCTAACTCAGTTGCTATTTAGGACTTTTATTTTGTCATTAGCTCTATTTTTAAATTAAATAGTACATGCGCATGGTGAGAAATTTAAACTATGCAAGGAAGAAGTCAGTCTTCCTTCCACCCTGTTTTCAACCTTTCAAGTTGCCTCCTTAGAGACTCGTTGTTACCAGTTTATTGGGTAACCTTCTGAAGATATTTCATGTAGATTTGCATGTTTCTTTTACAAAAAAGAGAGTACATTATACACTATGTTCTGTGTCTTGAATATAAACCTACATAAGAGAATGTATCACAATTTTAACATGACTTAGTATTTTTTAATATATGACCTTTTCTTTTTTTAAATTTATCTTATTTTGTTTGGAGATGGGGGTCTCACTCTGTCCCTCAGGCTGGAGTGCAGTGGCACGATCTCGGCTCACTGCAATCTCTGCCTCCCAGGCTCAAGTGATTCTCCCACCTCAGCCTCCTGAGTAGCTGCCACCACTCCTAGCTGATGTTTGTATTTTTGTAAAGACAGGGTTTCACCACATTGCCCAGGCTGGTCTTGAACTCCTGGACTCAAGTGATCTGCCCGCCTCAACCTCCCAAAGTTCTGGGATTACAGGCGTGAGCCACCATGCCCAGCACTTTTATGTATTTTTTATTTCGAATTTTATTTCATTATCATCGATTCAGGTAGTTTCATGAAATTTCTATCTTTTTGTATTTACTAGCATGTACACTGTAACATGATAAATGATCAATTTTTATGAGTCACATAGCTTTTTTATTGAGACATGCTCACTCTGTCGCCCAGGCTGGAGTACAGTGGCACAATCACAGCTCACTGCAGCCTCCAACACCTGGGCTTAAGCAATCCTGCCTCAGCCTCCTGAGCAGCTGGGACTGTAGGTACCTGTCACCAAACCCGGCTAATTTTTAAAAAATTTTTTGTAGAGAAGGGGATCTTGCTCTGTAGCCCAGGCTGATAAACTTCTGGCCTCAAACGATCCTATCTTGACCTCCCAAAGTTCTGGGATTACAGGCATGAGCTACCACACCCAGCCCACATAAGCTTTTTCGAAAGTATATTTCTCTTGATTATGTTTAATTTCCTCCAAATCTGTTAATTCTATTTTACAAGGTATTCAGTTTAAAACTATGACTTTTTTTTTTAGTATGCCTGATCTTCTATGATGGTGGAAAAACACTTCCACCAAAATCATGTTCCTATTTCTTACATACGTATTTTGTTAAGTTATTTAAAGCATGTAGAGCCAATAAAGTTTTTTCCATGATTTACTGTGCTTTTAACTGTCTTTATTGCTTCTGAAATGCATTTTGGTGTAAAAATCTACTTTTACAGATAAAACTTGAAGTTTTGGCTTTTTTATGCATATGTAGTGGGAGGTATGTACATGGTAACTTACAAAATACTCTTGTTTACTTAGGTCATTTTCCTTGAATAATTTGGAATTTATCTTATCTAGGGCTTCAACTAAAAAATGATGTGTTTCTATTTACAATTATATTCCTATCAATTACTTAAAGGGTTTTTTCCTGCAGGGAGAGCATCTCACTGGCACTGAGGCCAGGAAGGGAAGGCAGATATTATTGCTTTTTTCTTATTTAGTGCTCTTGAAATGCAGTGGAGGCCAGACGCGGTGGCTCATGCTTGTAATCCCAGTGCTTTGGGAGGCTAAGGCAGGTGGATCACTTGAGGTCAGGAGTTCAAGACCAGCCTGGCCAACAAGGTGAAACCCCATCTCGACTGAAAATACAAAAATTAGCCGGGTGTGGTGGAGCACGCCTGTAGTCCCAACTACTTGGGAGCCTGAGGCAGGAGAATTGCTTAAATTTGGGAAGCAGAGGTTGCGGTGAGCCAAGATCACACCACTGCACTCTAGCCTGGGTGACAGAGCAAGATTCCCTCTCAAAACAAACAAAAAACAAAACAAACAAAAAAACAAACAAACTCCACAGTGGATCATGCTCCCTAAAGTGGCATGAACTTCCAACGCTGGCTTAGTGACATATTAGGTAGAATATGCTTTGTTAATGATGGCAGCTATGCCAGATTGACTGAGGCTGTGAGGGTGTTTCATTTTGCTCTTCTCTTTGTACCTTAGGTAACTGGCTGTCTGCAAGATCATGGTTTTTCACCAAACATCTCCGTAAGTCCTGTTCATCAAACATACACACTACTTGTAAAACCCCCATGGCATTATCAGCCTAACAGTTCAAAAAACTTGTCACCTTTATATAAGTATTTAACACAAATTGGTATACAAATACAGGTAAATATACATAGATGTCTTATCAAAAATATCTTAAAAGATTTACTTGTAAATGGACAGAGATTATGAAGTCCCTTTTCCATAAGATTTTTAGATCCATGGCTTTCTTATATAGCAATAAAGCATTACTGAATCACAACTTCATAAACACTAACTATATAAAAGTAGACAACTGAAAACCACAGTTTCTAATATTAACACTAAAATTCACAATGTCAATATTCCAATTCCTCCTGTGACAGTCTTTGATGTATCCAGAGTTTCTCCAGGCTTAAGGAATATTCGCATCTCACTCTTATGAGAAACATGAATGTTTTATTCCCTCACTGCAGTAAATAAACTAAATTCCCAACAGTGCACTCAGAGTTACAAGCTTACATTATCTCCAAAGAGGAAAGAAAAAAAACAATTGAGGAAAACTAAATTTAGAAGATGAATCAGCGTACTAAATTAGTAAACTTGCAAACAGAAGTTTCTAAGAAGGACTGTAAGAATGTGACATGTAATCAGCTAACCCTCGGCATTTTCCTACTCCTCACTCCTGCTTCCAAACACCACAATGCTGCCCAAACATGGGGTCACACATGAACACAACACTTTCCCGAGCTTGAATCTACACATTTGATCCACATTAGCATTTTATCGACTAATATCCACCTTGGCCTCCATGCCAAGGATAGAGCTCTATTAAGTGAAACTGTGATAAAACAAGGCCTCCTGTCAACCCAAGCACCAAAGCCACTCAAAGGAAGTTTAGAATGAATTGACCTTCTCACCTCATCTACTGAATTATGTTACAGTGAGAAGGAATTAGCTACTCTGCTGTAAGAGGCTGTAATTATCCTATCAGTTCCTCTATAAAACAGTTTGGTTGGTAACCAGGAATAAAAACAACAACAAATGGATTATTTTGATGGCGTTAATGGAAGAGATGCTAAGATATCTCTAAGAAGCTGTATAAACTTAAGTCCTCATGAAGGATGGAAAAAAGGATGGAAAAAGGACCAATAACCCATGACACTTAAATTTCAAACACCCACTGAGATTCAGACATGTACTGGTAAACTCTCCCACACTCTTCAAAAAATACTAACAATTGAATTCACCATTTTCATCTGACTCAGTAATCACTAGGTGCATCCCCCCAACTTTTTTTTTTTTTTTAAAACAGGGTTTTGCTCTGTCATCCAGGCTGGAGTGCAGTGGTGCAAACATGGCAACCTCCTGGGCTCAAGCAATCCCCGCCCCGCCCCCTGTCTTAGCCTCCCAAGTAGCTGGGACCACAGGTGCATGCCACCACATCCAGCTCATTTTTAAATTTTTTGTAGAGATGGTGGTCTCGCCATGTTGCCCAGGCTGGTCTTGAACTTCTGGCCTCAAGCAATCCTCCCACCTTGGCCTCTCAAAGTGGTGGAATGACAGGTATGTGCCACTGCACCGAGCCTACTAAGCACCTTTTAGTATTGAAAATTAAAGTAACTATTGGCATTGCTTTATATTAGAATTACTTTACAGATATGAAAACAGGAAGATAAAATTCTCCCATGTCTAAGGCTACCCCCTATAGAAAGGTTCAGTATGTACACGGTGACACCCATTCACTTACACCAAACTGAAAGATGGATACTCAGTGAGAGCAAACCACTATTGAATAATTCTTCTGACCTGCAGAATGAGAACGAAGTAGTCTACTGGCTTGTTGCGCTGGTAGAGGTAGTATTCGGGGGCTTTCTTGTTCTTCTCATCATATTTCAGTTCCTGGATGACATTGGGGTGCTTTAGCAGCCTTAGAAGGATCTTCTCTGACATCTGGGATGGGCTAAATGCTTCTACTTCTATAGATATAAACACAACTTGATATTACATTTCAAACAGAGAGAGAAAAATTATACTATTAATAGTAATTGAGGTGTTTAGATAAGAATACTTGGAATCAAAGTGATAGCATTTGAATGGACGAGGCTTCCGTTTGGTGATCCACTGGGGACAGATTACCTGGGAGAAATTAGAAAGTGCTGAATTCTCACATTTGTTCCTTTTACTTCTTTCCTTTTCAACCCATCATTGACTTCAGTCCTCATAAAAGTACACTAATTTCACTGACAGAAACGAAAATCAACGGCAAGCGGGCTCCTTGAGTGCGGGGGATGCCCCTCAACAAGCCATAACAGCCTGACTGTCGACCAACAGCCAAAGGAAGAAGCCAAGGTCAGGAGCATCAGGTGCGGTTAGTGCCAGCGCACACACACAGGTGCCCCACGTCTCCCTCTCCCACTCAACTACCCCAAGGAATGTGGGGAACAAAGAGGGTCGAGACTGGAAATAAGAGCAGGGCATGTGCACACATCAACATGCTAATTTAAAAAAAAAAAGTAATGTTCAAAAGTATTTACAAAGACAGCAATTTTATTTTAAATAACAAAAACAAAAATTACTGACTGAAGGGTGCTATCCTACAACTGGACTCTATGATATCTCAGAAGCAGAGTAGGAGATTTAGTTTTAGTTTTCTTTTTTTTTAATTTAAATTTTTTTTTTTTTTGAGAAGGAGTCTCACTCTGTCACCCAGGCTGGAGTGCAGTGACGCAATCTCGGCTCACTGCAACCGCCACCTCCCGGGTTCAAGTGATTCTTCTGCCTCAGCCTCCCGAGTAACTGGGATTACAGGCACCCACCACCATGCCTGGCTAATTTTTGTATTTTTAGTGGAGATAGAGTTTCATCATGTTGGCCAGACTGGTCTCAAGCAATCAGCCTGCCTTGGCCCCGCCAAGAGCTGAGATTACAGGCAATGAGCCACCATGCCCGGCCTAGATGTTTAGTTTTAATTTGTGGTACTTAAATGAGGAACAGTATTATCAAAATTAGAAAAAGAATAATAAGTGAAAGACATCGTCTGTTCTTTTATTTTCTAATTATGTATTTATGAAAGCTGTAAGTTCTGTATTAACTTGTGACTTTTTTGTAATAAGATAGTAATTACAGGAATTTTAGAAAATACAGAAAAAGAAAGAAGAAAGAAAAACTTATCTATAAGCCAACCACTCAGATTACCATTCTGAGCAATCAAGTGAGCATTTCTTTCCAGTGCCATGCCCAGGCACGTGTGCTCATGTATACATGTGTGTACACACAAAAACACAACTCTAATCTTAATGTACACATAGTTTTAGATTCTGTTTCTCCCCACTTTGTATTAAGCTATATTTTCTGATGTGATAAATATAATATTGTGAGCATTTCCATGTGTCTGAGAACACGACCTTAAAGAGTTAAACAGCATTCCACCATGTGGTTGCGGCTAGCCTTCTTTTAAACATGGTTTAAGTTTACTGCATGCAGATGAAAGGCACTGGCTGCCTATCAGGGACACCGATGTCTTCTAAAGCCACTGGATGCTTTAGACTTTCTCACACTTCCCCTGGCCACCAGAGCTCAACCCTGGAGAGCATCTGGGGATGGGAGAAGGGTTGGTCAGTATCTTAAGTCCATTCAACCTTGACCTCTCTGGAGCAGTCAGTGCCGGCTGGGTTGGTGGTTTAAACAACATGAACACTTGCCTCCTGAAATGGACTCGAGTTAATCTGATCTGAGGAGGCCATCAAGAAATCCATATCAAAGTTCTTAGAATTTGATTTCATTAAAATCATAAAAGATAAAGATTTAATTGTGAAAACCTAGTTTTCTTCTTTGCAAATCACAGCCCCTGTGTTACCACTGATGTCCAACTGTGCTTCCAGGACAAGCTGAAGAGAGATTGGACTCAATTGTCCATCAAACAAGCTGGTGCCAGGCTGGCACCATCAGCCTGCTCCGCCAGCTGGCTCTCCCACGGACCTAGCTGGAAGGAGATGGCCTGGCCTACTGTACACATGCAGTGTGGCACTAACATTCATCCTTACCTTTCAGACCAATTTTAAGTTACTGGTCCACCCCTGGTAAATGTCTCAGAGGGTTCATGCCGACACTGAACATAGGAGAGGAGAGAATTTAAAAAGAAAAAAACAAAACAAAACAAAAAAACAAAAAAAACAAAACACAAAAGTGGCATTACTTATCACCCCATTTCCCAGTGTCCACCCCCAACCCACCCCAGTCAGTGGTGGGTGAGAAACACGCTTCAGGGTTGGTAGAGATCTCAAACTGTGATAAGCTGCACTTGCCTGTTGCTAGGAAACGGTGCATGGCCAGGAGGAGCTGTGGTGATATTTTAACCTTCATCTCACTGTCTGTCTGCTTAAAGGCAGAAAAATCTTGCTTTCGTTCCCGGTGAGCCACTTTCTTTTTCGTTCTGTTGTCAGCTAAGGGAGGAATTAAAAGAGAGAAAAAAAAAGAAATGCATCCCATGAGATGAGGGCTCTTTTTGAATGAAAAAGACAAAATATATTGGAAGAGCTGGACTGTATTTCCAGATGCAGGCGCTCTATGCACAGATGCCACGGGGAAGGAGGGAGGGAGAGCCAGATCCTCATCAAATCAGCACGGCGGCCTGGGCACCACGCAGTCCGCAGCGAGTGACCGCAGGCAGCCTGATTAGTGAATGTACTTCAGGAAGGTCTGTAGAGGGCCCTTGTGAGCACAGCATCAGGCAAATGCTGACAGAGCCTCTCACAAGACCCACAGAAGCACACAGCAACAGGGCGCGCAGCCTGGAGTGCACAGTCCACTGTTGCTCAATGTCACCATCCTCCAGCAAAGGACCACCACTGTGTACACACAAGGGAGGAGTGTCCCTGCCTGTAAGAGGCCCCTTCCCTCTGCTGAAAGACAACACACAAACAAAACCCCCTTAAGAAACAAACATGAATGCTTTCGCAGAGCAGTGTTTTAATAATATGTTTGCTTCACTGCTACTCCAGACCATGAGATCCTCAAGGTCAAGCAGATACGAATGGGATCCGGACAGAGGTCTGCGAACTTCCTCCGAAAAGGGCCAGAGAGTCAATATTTTAGGCTATGTGGGTCTACATAGTCTCCACACTGCTGTTTAGAAAAATGAAGGAGCATGGCTGTTTTCCAATCAAACTTTCTTTATGAACACTGCAATTTGAATTGCATATAATTTTTGCATGTCACAAAGTAATTGTTCTTCTTTTGGTTTCTTTTCTTTTCTTAAGACAGGCTCTTGCTCTATTGCCCAGGCTGGAGTACAGCAGCACAATCGCAGCTCACTGCAGCCTCAACTCCAAGGCTCAAGTGATCCTCTCACCTCTGCCTCCCAAGTAGCTGGGACTGCAGGTGTGTGCCACCACGCCCAGCTAATTTTAAAATTTTTTTTGTAGAGACAGAGTCTCACTATGTTACCCAGGCTGGTATTGAACTCCTGGGCTCAAGCAATCCTCCTGCCTCAGCCTCCCAAAGTGCTGGGATTACAGACATGAGCCACCATGCTTAGCCATTTTGCAACAATTTTAAGATGTGAAAAGACACTCTTAGCTTGCAGGTCACCAGAAGCAGAGTGCAGGCACCCATGGGCTTTGGTTTACCAGTTCCTGACCTGGAAGGTAACTCCTGCAAAACCATCTTTCAAGTATTTTTCTAGACAAATTAATGATCAAGAAAAAACGAGCTTAAAGACAAGACCCCAATTGCTTGCTCCTTCCCAAGGACTGAGTCACTGCATTATTGTTTCTTGCATAAAGCAAAACAGATTGATTACTAGGCTTTTCCTGAGAAGGCGACTGCAACTTCCACTTTCTGTCTGTCTCAATTCTTTTGAGAACCAGACAGTAGAAATCAATACAGAATTTAAAAATAATTTTCTAATGGCAACAGCTGTCACTCCCAATCTCTATCCAGATCAAGAATATACCTGAAATCGGCCAGGCACGGTGACGCCTATAATCCCAGCACTTTGGAAGGCCAAGGCAGGTGGATCACTTGAGGTCAGGAGTTCGAGACCAGCCTGAACAACATGGTGAAACCTTGTCTCTACTAAAAATACAAAAATTAGCCAGGTGTGATGGCGGGTGCCTGTAATCCCAGCTACTCAGGAGGCTGAGGCAGGAGACTCCCTTGAACCCAGGAGGCGGAGGTTGCAGTGAGGTGAGATTGCACCACTGCACTCCAGCCTGGGCAATAGAGCAAGACTTAGTCTAAAAAAAAAAAAAAGAAAAAAACCTGAAACCACAAGTCCAGCATCTTGAGCCAGTAACATCAGGCAACACTTCTGTATGAGATCAGTCCAATCAAGGCTTAAGAGAAGTTAAACTAACATTTGTATAAAACTGAAGTGCAAACATAGGATCTCCTAAATGGTAAATCGCCTTCCTAATGGTAAGTACTACCCCTGGGCAAACAGAAATACAGACACACTCGGTTTGGGTTTTTTTTTTTTTGTTTTTTTTTTTGAGACGGATTCTCACTCTGTCGCCAGGCTGGAGTGCAGTGGTGCGATCTCTGCTCACTGCAACCTCTGCCTCCTGGGTTCAAGTGATTCTCCTGCCTCAGCCTCCCGAGCAGCTGGGACTACAGGCGCACGCCACCACACCCAGCTGATTTTTGTATTTTTTTTTTTAGTAGAGTCAGGGTTTCACCATGTTGACCAGGATGTTCTCCATCTCTTGACCTCATGATCCGCCTGCCTCGCCCTCCCAAAGTGCTGGGATTACAGGCATGAGCCACCACGCCCAGCCACAGTTGGTTTTTAAACAGTCATTTGTGAGGAAGGATGAAAAGAACGTAAACGTACAAATAATATTCTCTGAGACCTCTGACGACCCTCCAAGTGAGGAAAGGATAAAACAGATGTGGGAAAGGGTGTTTTTTAAGAATGCTATTCAGATGTGAGGATAAAACAGGATACGTTTTCAGAAAATAGTCGTTAGTTAAGTGTAAAATTTTTTCTTTTGTGGGTACAGGGAAGACTTTCTCAGTTTTATTTATTTATTTTGAGAGAGTCTCACTCTGTTGCCCAGGCTGGAGTGCAGTGGTGTAATCTCGGCTCACTGCAACCTCCACCTCCTGGGTTCAAGCGATTATCCTGCCTCAGCTTCCTGAGTAGCTGGGATCACAGGTGCGTGCCACCATGCCCAGCTGATTTTTATATTTTTGTAGAGATGGTGTTTCGCCATGTTGGTCAGGCTGGTCTCTAACTCCCGAACTCAAGTGATCCACCCGCCTCGGCCTCCCAAAGTGCTGGCATTACAGGGGTGAGCCACCATGCCCAGTGACTTTCTCAGTTATTATTATCATTTTTTGGAGAGAGAGTCTGGCTCTGTCACCAGGCTGGAGTGCAGTGACGCAATCTCAGCTCACTGCAACCTCCGCCTCCCGGGTTCAAGTGATTCTCCTGCCTCAGCCTCCCAAGTAGCTGAGACTACAGGCATGTGCCACCACGCCCAGCTAATTTTTGTATTTTTAGTAGAGACGGAGTTTCACCATGTTGGCCAGGATGGTCTTGATCTCTTGACTTTGTGATCTACCCACCTCGGCCTCCCAAACTTTCTCAATTTTAAAATGTGGGATGTTTCCTTCTAGCAGGACTGAATAAAAAGCACCCTGCTTTGAGCAAAGCAGACTTTATCCTGAATGACCAGCTTGTTGGGAAGCTCAGACAGTCCATTTCCCCTCCGCCAAGCCATGCTTTAAAACCAGGCAGCATACACAGAGCCCAGATGCTCTTTCTCTATCCCACCCCTGGGACCCCCAAACATCTCAGGCCTGGACCATCTCTGGCTTTATGGAACCCTTGAGCATTGCTAAGGGTGTGGCCAAAGAAGATTTAAGCTCCACAGTCCAGCAATCATATTTTACACTTTAATGAGACAGGACTCAGTTCAACACTCAGTTCAGGATCAAGTCTACACCTGGGCAAATAAGGTATCCATACTTACCTCACCCTGCCCTGATCCAAGCCACTCCCCACTTTCACCTTCCCCCAAAGAGAAAGCAGAGAAGCAGAGAACAGGAAAAACACATTCTTACTGTGTACCCTACCCTATCCTGCTTCCCACACCCCCGACCCACTGCCCCAGCAAGCTACACTTGCACATCTCACCTCCACCCCTGACCCAAGGGTTCTGGAACAAGGAAGTATAAACAGTTGTCATCTATCAGTTTAACAAATCCCATTCACTTTTTTTTTTTTTTTTGAGGTGGACTCTCACTCTGTTAACCAGGCTGGAGTACAGTGGCACAATCTTGGCTCACTGCAACCTCTGTCTCCTGGGTTCAAGCGATTCTCCTGCTTTAGCCTCCAGAGTAGCTGGAATTACAGGCATGCACCACTACCACTACGCCCAGCTAATTTTGTATCTTTAGTAAAGACAAGGTTTCACCATGTCGGCCAGGCTAGTCTCGAACTCCTGACCTCAGGTGATTCACCTGCCTCGGCCTCCTAAAGTGCTGGGATTACACACGTGAGCCACCACGCCCGGCCTCCCATTCACTTTAAAGAGTACTTGAGTTATGAAAAGTACAAACAGAAGTTTATCTGAAAACAATATACCTAGTTGTATAAAATGAAATTTTAGTAGAGATTTTTTTACATATGTAAAATAAAATTTAAAACCAACAGCAGTTTTCTGTTTAGGGCAAGTAATGCCCTCATCAGTGGTTAGAAGCAGCTGGCTGTTCAGAAGAATGCTGTCGCTTGACATTACAGGGTCTGCTCCTTCTGATAAAAGGACTGGAATATACCAACAGGTTGTGCACGGCCTACACACATCATGTGTCATTATAAACAGAGGCAGCAACTGGAGAAACGTCAGAAGACTCACAAACAGCACAACAAAAAAAGCAAAGGTTTCGGGAAATACACTCAGACAATGCTACTTACTGTATAAATCTGTTTCATCAAGAATCTCAGATTTGATGATTTCTTCAATCACATCTTCTAAGGTGACGATTCCCAGAACTTCATAAAATGGATCCCCTTCTCCCTCATTGTTTACCCGCTGCACGATAGCCAGGTGAGATTTACCTTTAGAGACAAGAAAAAGTTTAGGAAGTGACTTTCTGAATTTTCTGAATGACATGTTATATGTGATATGGTAAAAACACCAGCAAACACAGATGTCGAATTATCAAAATCTCTGTTTCAGCATTTTAAAATGGTACTGAGACATCACAAACAAATGGAAGAACTTCAAGAGCCATTAAAAGGCAGAAAGTTACGCCAGAAGAGCGTCACCCTCCACATACATTGCACTGCACCATTGTTCTCTGCTTCCTAATGGTAATGTCTCTTGTTGCGTAACCTTTCGGCAACTGCCACCTAAAGAGAGTGGTTCTCAAAGTGTGGTCCATGGTGCCCTAGGGATTCCCAAGACCCTTATAGGAGGTCCATGAGGCCCAACTATTTTCATAAGAATACTAAGATGCTATTGGCTGTTTTCACTGTGTTGAAATTTGAACTGATGGTGAAAAGGCACCTTAGCACAGATGAACGTAGTGGGAGCAAGCTGCACTTAGTGAACACTGTTCTCTGTCACAACACACATGCAGTAAAGGGAAGGAAGTAGCTTCTCTTAAGAATGTACTTGGCTGGGAGCGATGGCTCACTCTTGTAATCCAAGAGCTTTGGGAGGCCCGGGCGGGAAGACCACTTGAGCCCAGGGGTTCACAATCAGCCTAGGCAACACAGTGAGATCCTGTCTCTACAAAAAAATAAACAGAAAAAGTAGCTGGACATGCAGGCCTACAGTCCCAGCTTCCTGGGAGGCTGAGGTGGGAGGATCCAGGAGTTCGAGGCTGCAGTGAGCTATGATCGAGCCACTGCACTCCAGCCTAGGCGACAGAGTAAGACACTGTCTTAAAAAAAAGTCCTTGCTGAAGCAGTAAACATTAATTTCATTAAATCCTGACCTGAGTACATGTCTTTTGGTAATCTGTATGACAACATGGGAATTGTCATAAAACACTTCTGTTGAATTCTGAAGTATGGCAGCCGTCCTGAGGAAAGACTCTTGTGATTGACTTGCAAGTTGGACTGGCCACTTTCATTGTTGAATGTTTTTACTTCAAACACGACTACTAGACAAACTATGGTTATATAGACTTGGGTATTTGTCAGGCATTTTCTCAAAAATGAACCTGTCACATCAAGGAAAACAATAGGCAGTGTGGACTGCCAATGATAAAATTTGAGCTTTCAACAGACAGTTAAAATTTTAGCTGGGTGCGGTGGCTCACGCCTGTAATCCCAGCGTTTTGGGAGGCTGAGGCAGGTAGATCACCTGAGGTCAGGAGTTTGAGACCAGCCTGGCCAACATGGCAAAACCCCATCTCTACTAAAAATA
The DNA here is from genome assembly GCF_000001405.40 of Homo sapiens. Classification (NCBI taxonomy): domain Eukaryota; kingdom Metazoa; phylum Chordata; class Mammalia; order Primates; family Hominidae; genus Homo; species Homo sapiens. The sequence goes on along the minus strand of NC_000010.11, from coordinate 103,048,388 downwards.
CAAAAACTAGCTGGATGTGGTGGTGTGTGCCTGTGATTCCAGCTACTCAGGAGGCTGAGGTGGGAGAATCACTTGAATCTGGGAGGCGGAGGTTGCAGTGAGCCGAGATTGTGCCACTGCACTCCAGGCCTGGGCAACAGAGTGAGACTCCCACTCAAAAAAAAAAAAAAAAAATGCTGAGCGCAGTGGCTCACATTTGTAATCCCAGCCCTTTGGGAGGCGGATCACTTGAAGTCAGGAGTTCAAGACCAACCTGGCCAACATGGTGAAACCCTGTCTCTACTAAAAATACAAAATAAATTAGCCAGGTGTGGTGGTGCACGCCTGTAATCCCAGCTACTCAGGAGGCTGAGGCAGGAGAATGGCTTGAACCCAGGAGGTGGAGGTTGCAGTGAGCCAAGATCGTGCCATTACACTCCAGCCTGGGCAACAAGTGAGACTCTGTCTCAACAAAAAAGAAAAAAAAGAAAAGAAAATTAAAATTTTGGGAGACTTGTAGCCACGAGCGTAACAGCTTCTCAACAATTAAAGACTTTTCTGATGAGATTGCTGGTGATATTAACAAACGATTGTTAAAAATATTGAATATTGCAATCTGTCAACATTTTGAAGATCTGTATAACTCAGTGAACCAATATTTTCCAAGTGACTATGGCAATGTTACAAAATCATGCACGAGTACACAATCCATTTGGAGTATAAGACAGAACAACAGATTTTTAAAAATTCTTACTTTGGAATAATTTTAGATTTACAGAAAAGTTGCAAAGAGAGTACAGAGAGTTCCTATAAACCCTTCACCCGGTTTCCCCCATTGTTAACATCTTACACTACCATGATATATTTGTCAAAACTAAAAAATTGGCATTGGTACATTACTATTAAGTAAACTCCAGACTTTATTTGGATTTCGCTGATTATTTCTACAACATCCTCTTTGTTTTGTTGTCTGGTTCAGGGCACCACACCACATTTAGTTGTCATGTCTCTTTAGTCTCCTCTGGTCTGTGACAGTTTTTCGGTCTTTGCTTTTTATGACATTGACAATATTGAAGGGTACTGGTCAGGCCTCCTGCAGAATGTCCCCCGATTTGAGCTTGTCTGATGTTTCACCCATGAGTATACTGGGTTATAGGTTTTCTAGTTACATCAGTGGTTATATGACATCACTGCTGACATTCACCTTTTTCATCACTTGGTTAAGGCTGTGTTTCCCAGGTTTCTCCATTGGAAAGTTACTCATTTTTCCCTTTCCTTAATTCTATTATTTGAAAACAAATCACTAAGTCTAGCCCACCCATACAAGGGTGGGAGTTAAGCTCTACTTCCTGGAATATGGGAGTATCTACATGTATTATTTAGAAGGGGGAGTACCTGCATATATTATTCAGTATTCTTCTGTAAAGAAGATTTCGGACCAAACAAAGTTAATGTAAGAGTCCAAAGGTCTACTGGTATGGTTTCAGATTCTACATTACAACTAACCTTTAATAAATTACTATGTATGGAGTTTTGATGTAATATCAAAGGAGAATACCCATCACTGTCCAAAAAAGCTGATACTCCTCCCTTTTCCAAATACATACCTGTGTGAGGCCAGATTCTCCTGATATACTTCAACTAACACAGTATACTGCACAGACTGAATGCACAAGACTGAACCCAGCTGCCTTCCTTTTAGCTTGATTAGACATGCAAAAAGTAAAACAATGGCACTCTTCTACTGTTTGTTTTAGAAAATATTTTTATTAATAACACTATATTAGCAAGCAATGGATTATTGTCCTTTAAATCAACCAATGTTTTGAAGGTCTCTGTTTTAATTCAAATACAGTAAATATCAAAAGATAGAACCCACATAAATAAAAGGATCCTCAATCATTTTTAAGAGTTTCAAGGGGTCCTGAGACCAAAAAAAGTTTAACCCATTTATGTCACAGGTTGCAAGTTTTTGTGAAAAATCAGACCTTGGTGATGACCTTGAGCAGTAGAATATAAATAACTCCCACAAGCTTAGCATTCCAATAATGGAACACTAGGCATAAATAGGTTAAAGACTGCTGCTTTGGGGGATGGATTGCTTGAGACCAGGATGGCAAGGGAAGAACATGAGTCGAACAGTTCTGGATTTGAACTCCAGCAGGCCACTCATTAGCCATTACTAGCAGAAGACCATGACCAAACATAACTTTTCTGAGCTTCCTTATCTTTAAAGCCAGCCTCATAATTGTTACTGCAATAGGATTGTTGTGAAAATCAGAGATAATGCTGGTACCCAGCAAAGACACTGCCTGGAATCGGCTGGGTGATCACTAAGTGGTAATGCTCGTTATTTTATTAATGTTTTTCCTAAATTCTAAGGCACCATCAACTTATTACCAACTTAGAGGGAAAAAACCCCACTATATTATTAAATGTACAAAGTGATTAGAAGATGCACCTCAGGCAGGGCACAATGGCTCACGCCTGTAATCCCAGCATCTTGGGAGGCCAAGGCAGGAGGATCGCTTGAGGCCAGGAGTTTGGGACCAGCCTGGGCAACATAGTAAGAACTCATTTCTATAAAAAAATAAAATAAAAAGTTAAAAAGATGCATTTCAATCTCAAAGATCTTTTAAAATAGTAACAGCATCTCTCAAACAACAATATTGGTTTTCCCAATCCAAAGCATGCAAAGTATCTAAAACATATCCATAAATGAAGCCAAAGTAGGCATTATCTGGAAACTTCCTAATCAGCTAATTTTTGTATAATTTTTGTTTAATGACAGAGTGTTTTCTTGGTGGCGGTGGCGGGGGGTGGGGTGCAAGAGCTTTAAATAAAGTTTAGTTAACACTTTAAGTTGGGTAAGTTCACCCAGATACAACCAGCCACATTAAAAATATTCTGAGGGCTGCATCTGATCAAGCTCCCAGCACTTACGCAGACAATGGCTCTGGTCCTGCAGATCTGTTGGCCCTTTCTTAACTTGGCAGTCTAAGTCAGCTTCTGCTCTGCCTCAGACCCCCTTCTAGGCAGCTGTGTCTACAAGCCTAGAAGTTTAGATTGTTAGACAATTAGGCATCCTACAATCTTCATCCCTAGCATGCTCACGCTCAAAGAATGAAAACATTTTGAGCAGAGGAGACGAGGAGGGAAACTTATCAGCAATGGATATAAACACTGCATCAGGTCAAGTCAATTCTCATCTCATCCACTTGGTCCGGTAGGTTTCTCACATCTGCTTTCCCAAGGACCCAACATAAGCAGTTAAAAATTCTTGGTGAATGCTGTCTGTCGAAAGTTAAATTCTTTTGCTATTCCCAGCTTGTGATCATTTAAAAGGAATTTTCCAAAGCAAGGTCTAATATTAGACTCAAAATGAAGTTTCCATTCCACTGAGGCGCTATTCTCACCAAAGTAACTACCGTATAATCAGATTGTCTTGGAGCAACTCGTTTAAATGCAGATGGACATACTTGAAATACCAGCTCAATAGCACCGACAGATTTGGCTGGAAAGGGCCTTACTCTAGGAGAAATTATTCCTGTGAATTAGGCTTCTTACACTGAAAATTAAGTTTTCCTCCAAGTTCACTTGTTTCAAGGCTGAAACTTCTCCATCTGCCCCAGGGCCACATTCTTTTAACTTTGGAATTCCTGGTGAGAAGTCCTGTTTTCTGAAACTTCTTCCCTGTGCACAGTACAAAGGAAAAACAATGACACCTCTCTCCTTCACTCAGGCTTTTGGAGAACAGTGATTCCATGCACCTTCCCACTTAACCATTCACTGCAGGGACTTTAGTCCTTGTCAAGGGATAAATCAAAAAGAAAATGTAAACAACTTTTTTTTTTTTTTCTGAGACAGGGTCTCACTCCCTGGCTGGAGTGCAGTGGCATGATCGTAGCTCACTGCAGCCTTGAACTCCTGGGCTCAAGTGATCCTCCCACCTCAGCCTCCTGAGCAGCTAGGACTATAGGCGTGCACCACCATGCCCAACTAATTTTTAAATTTTTTGTTGAGACAGGGTCTCGCTATATTGCTCAGGCTGGTCTGGAACTCCTGGCCTCAAGTGATCCACATGGGCCTCCCAAATAAACAACTTTTCAATACATAAATTTTCAAAACCGAGCTCAAATAGGACCTTTCTTAACCTGAGCATTGGAAAAATTAAGTCAGGACTGAAAGCAGAAAAGCGACTCTGGGAAAACGAATAGAAGAATAAACCCAAAACTTAAAAAGATGATAAACTGATGGATTCTTAACTTCCAACGAGAAGAATGAAAATATAGCAGTCAACAAAATATTTAATCACAGATATTAAACACTAAAACTTTTAAATATGCATAGACTAAATAAACTTTATAAACTGCATATAGATCAAATAAAGCATAAATTGTTGTCACGATCAGGGCTTGGGAGAGCGCCCTTTCTTGCAAGCTGTAAGAGATCTTGCTGTACACCAGGCAGTTTGAACTGTTCTGGTATTTAAATTCCTAGCCCTTCTCCTCCTTTTCTGGTCCTAAGGGAATCTAAACAGGCCTGTTTTCAGAGTACAGGGTTTTACAAATACATCTCTCCTCAAATTCAGAATCCTAAGCAAGCTATTATGAACAGCCTAGATTGCCCATCTTTCTATAACCACTAGTGCTCAGGGCAGGGCAGTAACACAGGTGAAATTACAAAAACCATGTCTGCACTGGGAGATGGACTAAGCAACTAAAATCATCTATACAAGGTAGAATTGGGATCAAATTTCTACCTCTGCCTGCTTCCACTGCTCCACAAATTAAAGTTTATTATTTGCATATTCTCTCTGAATTGGTAAACCAGCCCAGAATGGTAGTGGATTACCACATTTGCATCTTTTAACCTTACCATACTTCTAGGCTCAAATTTTAAATGACAGATACCATTTGTATTTTGATGGTAATAACTGTTTTTATTATGATTAAGCCAACAAGGACACCTGTAACGGCCAGATGAAAATATGGACTTGTTTGCTATCAGACAATGTTGATGTCAATGAAGTGAAATGGGACTAGGCAGACATTAAGGAAGAAAGTCGATGGAATGGATGTAGTGGAAGGGAATTAGGAACAACGTGATATAGCTGTGCTAATAAAAAGTGACACAGAGTAGTCAAGAAGACCCAATAATGCAAGCACAAGGCAAACTGAGCCTGTGGGGTCCTAAAATGCCACTCAAACAGCAGGAAGAAAACAGACCCCCGTCATGAGAAACTCAAGCCAAACATCTTACATTCGCCATGACATCTGCGTTGCACAACTCCAGGGGGCACCGTTAGCACAGAATGCAATGCTTCATGTTTCCCTGAAGTTGTGAGATGCTGCGGCCTCCTTACTAACCAAGGAGACGGCAAATGAAGCATCTGATATGCTTTTGTTTTTAAATTTCTGATCTACTAACATAAAATTATAATAATTCAATAAATAGGAATCAATAAAATTGCAAAAAGGGAGTTCTATAGAACTAGTGATAAAAGAAGCAAAAGCTCTCCAAGTCTAAATTTAGGTCCCATGTCACTAACAAAAAATGACATGATCTTTTAATGGCTACACTTAAGATCTCCAGAGGAAGCCAATTTGCATATTGGCAGTCAAGGAAGTCAATACACTTTAAATATAATTACAATTGGATTTAGTCAGATTTACAAGTGAACAAACTGATCAAGTGAGAGAATGTATATGAACATAATATATAAGCCATAAAATCCGGGCTATGAATGAACTATGAACAATGAACTATAGTCACACAAATTCATTTGTTTGTTCCATAAATATCTGCTGACTGCCTACTATGTGCCAGGCCCATACCACAAGGACCAAAATACAAGCACTGGCTCTCAAGAGGCATTCGAGCAGGGGAGATGGACACTAGGGAAGCAGACTCTGGGAAAACTAATAGAAGAATAAACCTTGAAGTGAAAAGGCATGTTGGGTCGTGTTCAAGTGCTGTGGAGAACATAACAGTAGGGGCGGGATGACATTTAACACAGGATGGCCAGGGAAAGGCCTGGCAGCAGGTGGGAGGAGAATAGCCCTGGGAAAGGGCTGAGGCGGGGAAACCCAATCAGGAAGTTACCAGTAAGCCAAGCCAGGGAGGATGGTGGGCCCGGGAGCAATGGTGCAGGTGATGAGAAGTACCTGCATTCTGGATAGACAGTGTTTCAGAAAGAGCCAGCAGGATTTGCTGATGGACTGGATAGCGGGTGGAGGAGAATGAGAGAGTCAGGCTGACTTGCTTTTTGGCCTGAGCAATGAGAGGAACAGAGCTGCCGCTCCCAGTGGAGGACAGTGCATGGCATCAGTCTAGAAGGCAGAAGTCAGCTCGGTTTTGGATAAATTTGACATCCTAGTAGAAATGTCAGATAGATACAAGAGTCCAGAATTCAAGAGAGAGAGACACAGAGGTAAGCTACAGACAAAAACTGAGCAAGTACAGATGGTAGCAGAGCCAGAAACCCACTGAGATCACCTAGGCCATGGATGGCGAAAAGAGCCAGCGCTAAGCATGGGGGTGCCCGAGTTTCCTGGGTCAGGAGGCTGAGATAGAACCAAAGAGAGACTTGAGAAAGAGTGGCCAGCAGGAAGGGGAGGGGGGAATAAAGGGAATGGGTGTTTTGGAAGCCACATTCAAAAACAAAAACTGTCCCAAATAGCAGAAAGCAGTCAAAAGTATCAAATGCAGCCGAAAGGTCACGAAAGGTGATTTTGGCGACAGAAGATGCTGGAGATAAAGACTGTGGTGGAGGAAGGGCCTGAGGGCCACAGTGTAAGTGACATGCTGAAGACTCTAGAGTCTGGCTAGTGTGCTTTCCCCTCGAGCCCTTTCTGCTTCTAACACGGAGGCCCGAACTGGCCTGCTTCTGCCAAGTAGCCTTGACCACAGAGAAAAGGCCTGTCATTAGGACAGTTCAGCTGTCCTCTTCAAAATAACACCTCCCTCTTTGAGTCCCTAGATCTGAACATGACACCATTAGATTTCCAATCACCCAGGCTTTAAAACTCTGAAATCTTTGTCTTTTCTCTTTTTCTTCCTTTTCAATGAAGAATGAATGAATGAATAGGTACACACACACAGCTGCATAAGTTTCACAGCTCAGTGAAACTTGACATTTGTGTATACCTGGAAAACTACCACCGGAAAGAGCCGGTGGGAGTCAGGGTGTTGACAACAGCTACAGGGGTGGGTGAGGCGGAAGACGGGGCTGGAGACAGGAACGGGGAATAGGTAATGTTGTGATAAGAGGAGGGGCTAAGTAGGTTCAGCAGACTTCAGGCTCCAAGGCGAACACCCTCCATGTGGCCCCTTCGGTAGGGCTCCCTTTCCTGCCCCTTCCCTTTGTTGATAGCAGGTCCCTTAAGCATAGACAGATCACATGCTGGTCCAGCAACAGGGCATGTCATGATAACTGGGGGACAGCACAACTTCAGAATAAGAGAAGCAATTCTCCTCCCGTATTTAGCTATATCTGGAATCTTAGTTCAGGTCTGGGTCTTGTATTTTACAAGAGGCAAACTGAGGGGAAATGCTGTACGATATACAAACTATGTCACGGGAGGAACAATTACATAAGCCAGAGACGTTTAGATGGAAGAGACATCTGGGCAGGGATGAGGTTGACAGCAGCCTTCAAATATCTGAAATCAGTCAGCTCCATGCCTCCTCACCCCACAGCTTGTTATCTGCACACCTGTAGCTCAGTGTGCTACAACATGGTCTCCCTGATTAGGCCATCAGCTCCAGATCAACTCCGGATCCACCTTTGTGTCAGCCCCTGCCAAGTCTAGCCAACGGCCAACACTCCTGTTTCTTCTCTACTCCTCCATTCACAAAGGAAGACTTACTCACCATAACATAACCACAGCATTCCATCACGCATGCACAGTGCTCACTTCCCACCAGCTACTGAATTAAGGAGAAAATGTTCCTAGGGCAGGGCTCAAAGGCATCACCACACTGCAACCTCCACTCTCCCCTTCTTAAGCTTCATCCGCCCAGACTTGACTTTTCACAGTCAGGTCCTCCATGGCTCTACTCACCCCTTCCTCTGCTTGAGCCCTTTTAATCCTTTTTTACCTTGCTCTTAATTCCACACATAATATCACCCATACCAGGAAGCCTGTTCTATTCCCAAAAGTAGAAATTATCTTTTATATTTTTGAGCTCCTATAATGTCATCTGAATTTCTCTTAAGGCATCTGTCTTTTTTGTTTTTTGAGATGGAGTCTCACTCTGTTAAGCAGGCTGAACTGCAGTGGTACAATCTTGGCTCATTACAACCTCTACCTCCCAGGTTCAAGTGATTCTCCTGCCTCAGCCTCCCAAGTAGCTGAGATTACAGGCATGCACCACCATGCCTGGCTAATTTTTGTATTTTTAGTAGAGACAGGGTTTCACCATGTTGGCCAGGCTGGTCTTGAACTCCTGACCTCAGGTGATCCACCCTTCTTGGCCTCCCAGAGGTGCTAGGACTACAGGCATGAGCCACTGCCATCTGGCCACATCTCTTTCTTATACTAAGTTTGTGATCTTTTCCCTGCTAGACTGGAAGCTCCTTGTTTCTCACCTTTCTCCCAGAACACCTAGCTTGATGCCACCCTCTACAAAGAGCAGGTAAGAAGGGGTCAGCCCTTATAGAGCCCCAGCCCCTCACTCACTGCCCTAACACACACAACCCACTGGGGCTGCCCTGCCACAGCCGCACCGTACCTAGGCTATGGGAATGCCTGGGACTCTATACCCACATTACTCTTAATAGTATTTTAGACAAGTCATTTCTCTATCCATTTCCCTCTCAATTAAACACCGGCAAAACCCAAAGAAAAATAAACCCTGAATTACAAGCCACGTAACAAACACTCAGATTTTTGTAATGAATACATGGATGAATGCTGATATGTGCCTTGCAAGTCTTCGGACTACTGTGGAGATCAACCTAGTATTAGAGGCCAGGCGCAATCGGTCACACCTGAAATCCCAGCACTTTGGGAGGCCGAGGCGGGCGGATCACCTCAGGTCAGGAGTTCGAGACCAACTTGGCCAACAGGGCAAAACCCCGTCTCTACTAAAAATACAAAAATTAGCCAGGCATGGTGGTGCACTCCTGTAGTCCCAGCTACTCGGGAGGCTGAGGCAGGACTGAATCTGGGAGGTAGAGGCTGCAATGAGCTGAGATCACGCCATGCATTCCAGCCTGGCTGACAGAGCGAGACTCCATCTCAAAAAAAAAGCAAAAAAAATCTAGTATTAGAACACGAGCTATAATCAAACCTGCTTAAGGAGAAGCAATACAATTTCATTTAGGAAACTATCACCTAGCTATTTCTGTACTGAAAGCTAAAATAAAAATAAAAACAAACTGTGTGTATCTTCTTTTTTTTTTAAGTACTTATTTTACCTTACCATCCCCACCAGATCTAAGTACATTTTTTCCAATTGAATTTTCCCACCATAAAATACACCAGAAAAATGTGACACAGATCTTAAAATAGTCCTATATAAACAATACATGAGTGTATATATAGAAGCACTTGCTGTATATAGAAGCCACTGGTTTTAAATGATAACTGTTGCTATTCTGGGAGACAAAAGCCTCCTTTTACTACTTCCAAAAATTCCAAAGTCTGACCCATAAGTGGCCGGCCCAGACCTCCCTAGCAGGACAGTTCCTTCAGTCCAGCCATGAACATCCTCACTCCTGGTTAGGCCTGAACTAATGCGTCTGCCAGTGAGGCTGACTGGTGGAATATGGAATCATGGTTTCTTTAAAAAAATCTAACATTTTTTGGTGAGGGTAGAGGTTTATTTGATACAGGGCCCTCTCCTGGACAGGACCCTGAATTTATCTATTAGCGTCGATGACAGTGTTGCTGCTGCTCTTTGGCCACTTGAACAACTCTGACAGTAGGGAGGTAGCACTCACTGAGGTGGTCACCCTCTAAAAGACTTTGTTTAAAACCAGGAGAAGCAAAGTAGACAAGTCCTCTCCATTAGTGGCTAAACAGTCTTGGCACAGTGCATGCAGCAGCCAGGAGTGTTATTTTAAAATTGACTGGTTGAATTTCACTTCTCTGTAAAAATCTCCATGCAGTAAGACCAGAAATATTATACATTGAGAAAAACTAATCTAGGTGGTTCTCAGATTTTACAGTTTTATCAATGGAGATTTGGGAAAGGTATGGTTACCCTCAAGGACATCAACATTTACATGTTAGGAAAGTTCCTGAAATACACAAGACTGTAGGCTAGGCACGGTGACTCAACGCCTGTAATCCCTGCACTTTGGGAGGCTAAGGTGCGCAAATGGCTTGAAGTCAGGAGTTCGAGACCAGGCTGGCCAACATGGTGAAACCCCGTCTCTACTAAAAATACAAAAATTAGCTGGGTATGGTGGTACATGCCTGTAATCCCAGCTGCTTGGGAGGATGAGGCAGGAGAATCGCTTGAACCCAAGAGGTGGAGGTTGCAGTGAGCCAAGATTGCACCACTGCACTCCAGCCTGGGTGACAAAACTAAGAGCTGTTTAAAAAAAACAAAAACAAAAACAAAAAAGCTGTAGATACCTGCCTGACACACTATAGGCAGGCAGATATTTACTGAATGAGTGATCTACAAATCGCATTTAAACCTTTTAAACATATTTTCAACGTATACAACTTTCTGAGCTAAAAGATATTTTATATTTGTCCTAAAACTACCCTCTCCACATTTCTAGAGTTTTCCTTTGTACTTATACTTTATGTTTATGTCTGGCATTATTTTTTGAGGCTATGCTATCTATCTTCTCTAAGTCATCATTACAGAGAGAAGACTCCATCTTCTTATACTATACCCAATATTTCATTTAATAATTTGACCCTGATTTTTACAAAACGTTTTTATATTCAACACTATACTTAACTGTCACCATCAATTTTCCCATCGTATGCTTTCTTCCACTCAAATACATATTGAGTAGCCAGACATGGTGGTCATGGTGGTGTGCCTCCATTGTCCCAGCTACTTGGGAGGCTGAGGCTGGAAGATGATTGAGCCCAAAAGTGAGTCTAGCCTAGGTAACATAGTGAGGCCCCCCTCTATGAAAATGTATTATATATAAAAATAAAATATATATATTTATTATATAATACTATATAATATATATAATTCCCAACACAGGGCTAAATATATATAGATGTCTACTTCTTTAATATGATTAAAAAGATCAATTAGGAAATGATTATTCATATTATTTGAAAAATCCTTTGCTGTTACAAAATGGAACATTTTATTTTAATTTTGAAACAATTGTATATTCACATGCAATTGTAAGGAACAACAGGAAGATCCTGTGGATTTTGCTCAAGATCCCATTTACTTTTCCCCAGTTTCCCCCAATGGTAACATCTTGCAAAACTACAGCACAGAGTCACAACCACGATATGAGCATTGACAGAGCCACAGTATAGGACACTTCTACCACCACAATGACCTTCCTATTTCCCTTTTATAGCCATACCCACAAACTAATCATTTTAATAGTTTCCTTGGTAAAATAAGGCCTTAGTTTTCTATTGACAGTGGCCCTTATGCTTTAGTGTTTAAGTTTAAACAAATATTTAAAAAGCTCACTAAACGGTTATCAATAGAAAAACATTTTTCAGTCAAAAAATTGTTTTACATGCAACATTTGAAAACCCGAGTGAGGTCCAATCCTGACAAAGATTAGCCAACCATGCTTTCCTGGGTGAGGTATACAGCAGGTAGTTGTATAACTAAGAGAGAAACGGTTTTTGGAGAGAGTAGCAGAGACCCCACCTCGATTTGATAAACGTCTGCAGAGGCACACCTGTGGCAGGATGATTTTCCAGGCAGCTCCTCTTTGGCTTCTCCCAATGTGTTGATGAATTTAACAATCCCTGGTAATTCAATTAAACACTAATCTAGGTGCTGTTGTGAAGGGATTTTGCAGATGCAAATGAAGTCCCTAATGGGACTTCATGGGTTGACTTTAAGGGAGATCACTCTTGGTAGACCTGACTTAATCAGTTGGAAGGCCTTAAAAGCCGGGCCTTAAGACTTTCTGAAGGAGAGAAGAAATTTCTCCCATAGAAAACAACTTCAGACTGTGCCTGTGGGATTCCAGCCTGCTTGTCATCTTCTCTTCCTAATGACCTGTCCTATCAATTTGGGCTTTCTTAAACATCCTCCACAATACATAAGCTAGAGTCTTATAATAAATCCCTTGATGAAAGAGTGTGTGTGTGTGTGTGTGTCCTATTGGTTTTGTTTCTCTGGTTGGATCCTGACTGATAGACTCAGGATCTATACCACAAAGGGATTAACAGAAAGCAGAAAGCAAAAGGAAAACTAGGATTAAACTAAGTTCTCATTTCCCAAAGCCAAGACAGCTAATGACTGATGCGTATAAGAAGACAAACTAATGTGTGTGCGCTATGCCAGAGAATTCGATCCATGAACTTCCCGGTGACAACAGCAGACACAGAAAGTAAAGTAACCCTCTGAAACAAAGAAACCTAAACTGTTTAAAAGACAAGAAGCCAAGTCATTTACTTCTAGCCATCCAAGTGGATGGTCCTATCAAAGACAGCCCTCCAGCCCTCTCCCCTAAGTTAGGATTCCAGGCAATAAACAAACAATGGATGGTCTCACATTCCCACCACCACCCACTCCTTTTCTCTTTCGCTTGTTCTTCAGTCTTGCTGCCAGATACTTTAGCCAGAAACCCAAAGTGAGGCAATTAATAGAAAATTCCAGTCATTATGTGACTTACTTAATGGCCCATCCAAATGACTTGTGAGAAAATCTCATGAACCAACAGAACAGAGACTGAAGAGTTTTTTCCATTATTTCTCTCTCTGAGTATTTAAAGACTCGGATTTTCCCATCTTTTGGGGAAATATTTTCTTATAAATAGTGAGGCATGCTGGGCATCTCCACTTCATCTTTTTTGGTGGTCTGTAACACTCACTGTACACTCATTGGAATGTTTCCCTAGTAAGTGATGGGCAATGGAAAACATGGCTAAGACAAAAGATGGCTTTCAGGCTGAGATGATGGGAACCTTCTCATGTTCCCCAAGAGACAGGTAGTTCTTCTATAGAACTAAGGGGTTTATTTTAGAACCAATGAGACTATTTCTGTCTTTCCTTTAGGCCTGCAGCGTTTATAAGAATGATAAACGAGGACTGACCAGACTACTTAGTAGTCCGTTTAGTAGAATTCCAATATATCCAATAATAGTAGGAGTTATTTTTTATTTTTCAAGACACGGTCCCACTATGTTGCCCAGACTGGTCTCGAATTCCTGGACTCAAGTGATCCTTCCACCTCAGCCTCCCAAAGTGCTGGGATTATAGACATGAACCACCATGCCCAGCCAATAGTAGGAGATTTTTTTTTTTTTTTTTTGAGACGGAGTCTCGCTCTGTCGCCCAGGCCGGACTGCAGACTGCAGTGGCGCAATCTCGGCTCACTGCAAGCTCCGCTTCCCGGGTTCACGCCATTCTCCTGCCTCAGCCTCCCGAGTAGCTGGGACTACAGGCGCCCGCCACCGCGCCCGGCTAATTTTTTGTATTTTTAGTAGAGACGGGGTTTCACCTTGTTAGCCAGGATGGTCTCGATCAGTAGGAGATTTTTAAAAGAGATCTATACTTCTGCTGCTAAGCCCAAATGTTAGGGCTTTGGTTTTATGATTTACTCTTCTGTTCCATTATAAGGTTTTAGTTTTTAGACCAATAATTATTTAGAAGCTTTGTTTTACAGTCCAAACTTACTGATTTCAACTAAGCTAATTTCTTGGCTGATTTCTACAACACAAGTAGACAAGATCAGTAATTATACAAAAGTCATACATAAAAATGTGGTCCTGTTGTCACAGTCACTGAACAAAAATTACCTAAGCCCAGACAATGTGCTAAATAACACTGCAGATCAAACCACACCGTACATTTGCTGCAGTCACAGGCGTTTTAAGGAGAGGAATGAGGTCGGTTTTTAAACCTGCTTGAAGGGGAAAGTAATGGTTTTTTTTGTTTTGTTTTGTTTTTAAAACCAAAAAAAAAAAACAAGAAAGACAGACCTTAACCCCTTTTCTCACTCAAGTCTCCTCTTTTTGGGAAGTCCTTCCTGATGACCTCAATTTGGAGCGAGGTAGAATTGCTATTATTTATTATTATACATTTAATAGTAAACATATATTACATAGTTAATAATTATGTGATATAAGGGAAAAGAGCTATCAAGATTATCCCCCTCCCAAAAAATCTCTGGATATTAGAAGGAAAATTAATCATCTAGATAAATTCTTATCCAATGTATTAATTATCTTCTGTAAATTTTGTGCATATGATAAACTTCAAAAAAAAAAATGAAAGGGTGAAAATATTTCAAGGTCTTCCTCATTGTCCTAAAATCCTAGCATTTTACTTTTGCTTCCTGTCCCCAGAAACTTCAAGCACTTCATCTTCATTATAGAGGAGAAAAAAGATGCAAACAACTTTTAAAACCCAGTGTTCTCTATTATAGATTCCTTCATAATTCCTACTCACCATTCCCATGATCTACTTTCCCCCAATAGCTCTTAAAAATGTGTAGAAGGGCTGGGCACGGTGGCTCACGCCTGTAATCCCAGCACTTTGGGAGGCCGAGGCAGGCGGATCACAAGGTTAGGAGTTCGAGACCAGCCTGGCCAACATGGTGAAACCCCCATCTCTACCAACCAAAAATAGGATCCTAGGGTAGAATTTGTGTTTATGGCTTTCCTAACTCATCCTCCTTTAAGTTGTAGAGACGGATGTATTTCAAGAGAGGAAATTTTTTGCAACATTTTCACAATTGTTTGTACATGTTTTTTCTTCACCAGAAGCTTTTTAAAAAAAACCTTAGATTGTCCAGGCGTGGTGGCTCACGCCTATTTGTAATCCCAGCACTTTGGGAGGCCAAGGCAGGCAGATCAGGAGGTCTGGAGATTGAGACTGTCCTGGCTAACACAGTGAAACCCCGTCTCTACTAAAAAATACAATAAAATTAAGTGGGCCTGGTGGTGGGCGCCTGTAGTCCCAACTACTCGGGAGGCTGAGGCAGGAGAATTGCTTGAACCTGGGAGGCGGAGGTTGCAGTGAGCTGAGATCATGCCATTGTACTCCAGCCTGTGTGACAAAGCAAGACTCCATCTCAAAAACATAAAAATAAAAATAAAATAAATTTAAAAAATGTATAGAAGACAAAAATTAGTTTTTCTGTTTTTCTTTTCTTTTTTTTTTTTTGGACAGGGTCTTACTCTGTCACTCAGGCTAGAGTGCAGTGGCATGATCATGGCTCACTACAACCTCCACCTCTTGGGTTCATGTGATTCTCCTGCCTCAGCCTCATAAGTAGCTGGGATTACAGGCATGGGTAGCCACATCTGGCTAATTTTTGTATCTTTTGTAGTGACAGGGTTTCACCATGTTGCCCAGGCTGGTCTCAAACTCTTAAGCTCAAGCAATCCATCCACCTCAGCCTCCCAAAGTGTTGGGATTACAGACGTGAGCCACCACACTCAGCTAAGTTTTTATATTTCTATAAGAAAAAAGTCACCACCTAAACATCCACGATAAAGCCCCGTTAAGTAAATTCTACAATATCCACACTAGAATGCTATGCAGCTAGCGTGGATATAGTAGGATTCTATCAGCAATAGAATGCTATGCAGCTATTTAAAAAAAAAAAAAAAAAAAAAGAGCTACATCAATTGTTATGAAAGGCTACTCTAAAAAAAAGTCATGTAGAATATTATAGTATGTTCCCATTTGTATTCATTGTAATTAATTGCATTAATCATAATTATATATAGAAAACTCTAGAAACAAATGTTAACAGTGGCATTCTGGATGAAATTTGCAGTACTGTTAAAAATTTGCATTCTACAGGGTAATTCTTTTTTTCTTTTTGAGATGGAGTCTCACTCTGTCCCCCAGGTTGGAGTGCGGTGGGGTGATCTCGGCTCGCTGCAACCTCCATCTCCCAGGTTCAAGCGATTCTCCTGCCTCAGCCTCCTGAGTAGCTGGAATTACAGATGTGCACCATCACGCCCAGCTGTTTTTTGTCTTTTTTAGTAGAGATGGGGTTTCACCATGTTGGCCAGGCTGGTCTTGAACTCCTGACCTCAGGTGATCCACCTGCCTCGGCCTCCCAAAGTGCTGGGATTACAGGCATGAGTCACCGTACCCGGCCCCTAATGTATATATTTCTAACAAGAGAAAATGTGTATTTCAACCAGGGATCAAGGGGAATAGGGTCCTCTGACAGTGTTGGACACCTCTAAAAAGCCACTTCCAACCCCCTAGGCCCCAGTGCTCACTCCCTCCACTGCCGCAGTGACTAGTTCACGCAGGCTTGCAGTGGCTTCATGCTCGTGCATCAGTGCAGGCAGACACTGCCTCATTGCTAATGCTCAATATTTCACTTCCTGCCTTAGGATTTCTCTTGAAACTTATTCTGCAGTTATGCATATGCAAACAAGAGGGAGAAATCAACGGGATAAATCCCCTCACGCCCCCCCCGCATTTTGTACTTAAGCAGACAGTTCTGAGAGCATTCCATTCCATAGGTTCCTAAAAAGGTTCTAGTGGAATTGAACACCTGCTGCCTAGGCGCTATCAGATCCTTAAATTTTCTTTCCCTCCTTCTCATTTCACTTTCCTTGTCCTGAACTCCTGCTTCCTGGGACTGCACTCCATATAAACTTCCCTGCATGCAAGTCTTTCTACCAGGCTGATGTTCAGGCTAAGACATCGGGTGAGTGGAAAGTTTTTCCACCAGCCACTTTTTGGTTTCACACATTTCATGCTCTTCTACTTGCAGATTCCAGTGCCAGATGTGTTAGAACACACTCCTGTCTCAATACAATGCAGGGCTTGTACCTTTGAGTGACATCCACATTGTTGGATATCATTTATGCAGTGAGATGGCCACCAATAACTATACATCAAAGTGACTGCAACCACAGAGATATATCCCAGTAAACTCAAACAAAGTGTATATCCACAGCTTAACTTTCCCACAGCTGAATCCCAAAAATGCTTGGGACCACTCCAACATTGCCACACACAAGAGTAAGAGAGGGTAACTCAATGTGGAAAGAGTAATTTTGGCCCACAGTAAACTTTCCGATTTTTCAAAATTTACAAATACACATAAACATGTAAAACTTGCTAGGGGTCTTCCCAGGGCCTTGGAAGCAGCCCACACATCTGAGCACTTAAGCTTTAGCTTCATTAGCTTTGTGGTAATATGCTTTTCACGATGCACTAATTGAGTAACTACAACAAAGGGAGCATAAAGCACAGACTGAAAACCCTAAAATCTACATACTCCACCATCCCAGTCTCATCTAAACCTCAGATATAAAAATATTCCATCTGTCCATCTGGTCCTCCTCCTCCTCTTGTCCAATAAGCATCTTAAGTTCAACATGTCCAAAACTAAACCTATCATCTTCTTCACAAAACCTGTTTCCCTGCTTCTAATCCTTATACTAATGACATCTGTAAAGGTCAAATGTGAAACTGTGAAAGTCAACTTAGATGCCTCTTTTCCCTCTAGTTTCATCCGGCTATGACATATTGGTACCTAACATTGTGTTAGGTTCTAAATTTAAGACTGCCTCCTAAATATCGACTTCCCCCCCTGCCAAGAGGGAGCCTCACTCTGTTGCCCAGGCTGGAGTGCAGTGGCATGATCTCAGCTCACTGCAGCCTCCGCCTCCCAGGCTCAAGCAATTCTCCCACCTCACAAGTGGCTGGGACTACAGGTGTGCCACCACGCCTGGCTAATTTTTTGTATTTTTAGTAGAGACTGGGTTTCACCGTGTTGGCCAGGCTGGTCTTGAACTCCTGACCTCAAGTGATCCACCTGCCTCGGCCTCCCAAAGTGCTGAGATTATAGGCATGAGCCACCATGTCCAGCCAATATTGATTATTTCATAGTCTCCATCCCTATCACCAGTTCACCTAAATTCCAAGTCCTCATTACTTCTAATGTACCTAACTTTAATGTAATTTCCTCAAGGCCACCTCACTGATGCCATAGTAATCTTATTAAAGACCAAATCTGAACATGTTACTCCTCTGCTTAAAATTCTTCCATAACTTCCCACTGCATTTAGGAACGTTTAAGTTCTTTGGGATGGCATTCAAAGCCCGTCATGATGGGATCCTTCTCTAGCCACATCTCCCATAGCTTTGCTCATTCCATCCAAGAGCATACATTTTCCAATTCCCCAAACTAGATATGCTATTTCACTGTTCTCTTTGCCATAAACACTGGCCTCCCCTTGGCTTCTTTACTCTTATTCTCCCTCAAATATTCAATGTAAGCATCATCTCATCTTGGAAGTCTTCCTAACCTCACCTAGACCAGCTGGGTTTGGTGCCTGTCACTGTTCCCACAAAGCCTTCATTGGCTCCATTAGGGCACTTATTACCCTGTATTAATAACTATCTCACTCTCCTCTGAGATTATTTTTTTTTTTTTTGAGACGGAGTCTTGCTCTGTCTCCCAGGCTAGAGTGCAGTGGCGTGATCTTGGCTCACTGCAACCTCCGCCTCCCAGGTTCAAGGGATTCTCCCGCCTCAGCCTCCCTAGTAGCTGGGACTACAGGCACGTGCCGCCATGCCTGGCTAATTTTTTTTTGTATTTTTAGTAGAGACGGGGTTTCATCGTGTTAGCCAGGCTGGTCTCTATCTCCTGAACCTCGTGATCCACCCGCCTCAGCCTCCCAAAGTGCTGGGATTACAGGCGTGAGCCACCGTGCCTGGCTCCTCTGAATTTTTAGTCCTCTGTGAGATTATTGAAGGAAGGGTTCTCTTTCACATCTAAAGCCTTAGAAACTAGCACAGTGTCTGGTAGATTATTTATGTATTTATTTATTTATTTTGAGACGGAGTTTTGCTCTGTCACCCAGGCTGGAGTGCAGTGGCACCATCTCAGCTCACTGCAACCTCTGCCACCTGGGTTCAAGTGATTCTCCTCAGCCTCCTGAGGAGCTGGGATTACAGGTGCTGGCCACCACGCCCGCCTATTTTTTTTTTTTTTTTTTTAAGTAGAGATGGGGTTTCGCCATGTTGGCCAAGCTGGTCTTGAACTCCTGACCAGGTGATCCACCTGCCTCAGCATCCTAAAGTACTGGGATTACAGGTGTGAGCCACCATGCCTGGCCAATACTTTTAATAAAGCTTAACTAAATAGCTCAAATTAATCTTAAGAAAATAGGAGTGGGGGCCGGGCACGGTGGCTCATGCCTGTAATCCCAGCATTTTGGGAGGCCGAGGCGGGTGGATCATTTGAGGTCAGGGGTTCAAAACCAGCCTGGCCAACATGGTGGAACCTCGTCTTTACTAAAAATACAAAAGTTAGTGGGCATGGTGGCACACGCCTATAATGCCAGCTACTTGGGAGACTGAGACATGACAATCGATTGAACCTGGTGTGCGGAGGTTGCAGTGAGCCGATATCACATCACTGCACTCCAGCCTGAGTGACACAGCGAGACTGTCTCAAAAAAAAAAAAAAGAAAAAAAAAAAAAGAAAAAGAAAAAGAAAAGAAAGAAGAAAATGGGAGGGGGATGAAGATTATGGCGGAAATGGTATTATCTCTGCAAGATCTTGTCATAAGAGGAGATTGTCTTTTTTTTCCTGGGACACAATGAAGTAAACAAGGCCAATCAGTGACTGCCAGTTGATTATAATTTTAGCAACCATTTCCCAGAGGAATGACCAACTGTTGTTACCTAATCTAAGGCCTTGTACATAAAAGACACTCATTTCCTATTTAATTGTACTGATTTTATTATTTTAACTCTTATTGGCACCAAATTCTAGAAAGGTTACAATAGAGTTTGTTCTCAGATGAAGCCCACTTGAAAAACAAGTAGAAATCAAACCCTGTGCTCCTTCCTCTGTTGTGCTTGAGAATGTCTTCAAGAATTTTCATTATCTTCTTATAAACACAAAACATGAATTCAACCTGAAAACCGAGACTCTGATACTCAAATACAATGAGTTGTCAAGTAAAAAAAGATAAGTGTTTACTGAATGACTAGATGAATAAATGAGCGAATGAATGGCCAAAAGAACTCAACATTCATTTGCTTCCGTAAAGAACCTTAGAAACAGACCATCCTTTTGAGGGACCTGGTCCTTGGTAAAAATGACAAACTGTCTTAAGCTTTCTGTGAGTACGCACTACAAATGCCTTATGGAACATCACCTCAGTTCCTGATACAATGTTCAGCAGATCTAGGCTGCTCTCGGTCACTGACCCCTCATCAAAAAAGGCACAGATTTTAAGAGCTCAAATATGTGACAGGACCCTAGGCATACTATCAGTGATTAAGAACTTTAAAATTAGACAAGTATGGGTGTAGATGCTTTGACTCTGTTACATACTACCTGTGTGACTGAGAGCAAGTCATTTACCTTCTCATGGCCTCCCACTTTGACCGTCTGTAAATGGAGATATACCCTATGTTTACTATAAAAATTGAAAAATCAAATGAAAAAACAATTTAAATAGTGCCTGGCACATAGTAAGTGCTCAATAAATGATAATGATTATATTACTGATGAACTTTCTCATGGGTTAGGAAGCTAAAAATCATCTCAAATGTACATGCATAATACCTTTTAATATCTATAGAAACAGGATCTTGGGATTATTGGAATTATACAGCTATAAGTAGCTTCTTTCAAAATATAGATTGTAGGCTTCTATCAAAGACCATCATTTGTATCACCTGAGCATTCAATCCTATGTAGGCTTATTTTGCTTTAAAGTTCAATATAGCAACTCTACAAATTGTTTGCTCAGTTTCTCAATACCAAAATTTTGCAGCTGGGTGCATCGAATGGGTTATGGAGATTGTCCTCCCTCCCCTCTCACCTCTAGAAGTAGTTGCTCCCGCTTACTGGATGAGGCAGTGGGGAGGGCGGCCCATGAAGGAAGCTTGTACAGCCACTGCCTTTGTCATATTTCCTCTGTGAAGAAACAGAAGACTTCAGTTCCTGGGATTGGTTAAGCTCTAGAATAGAGAACTAAGGAACTACTTTGTATTTTCCTAAGAATCTCATCTCTCTTTGGGCAGAGCGCCATTGCAGCCAAACTGCTACACATTCTTTTTGCATCTTTGTCAGGAAACTGGAATGATAATAAACACAGGTAGCTTGTAATACACAATAAATTGAAGGAAGTTGGCACAGAGCAGAGAAAGACTCAAAGACTGAGGGAATGAGAAGGGGAAAAGCCAATGAAATAATAAATTATGTGCAATGGCCATACCAACCTTGACATTTTTAAAGATATTGCAAAGGTTTCCATGTTTATGATTAGAATTCACTTGAGGTCAATATGGCCAGTCATGAATTCATTCAACAAGTATTTTTCTTGAGCACTCACTATATGCTAAGCACTGTACCATGCACCAGCGATTAAACTCAAACACATACAAGACTGATTTCCTTACTGTCAAGGAACTGGAAGTCGACCAAGGAAGACAGGCAAGGAAAATTACAACATGTTAGACTCTTCTCTTAACTGACCTCCATGTAACAATGTGCTAATGAACACACTCCATTCTCCCTGTAGAACACACTGACTGAGGCCCACAGCACACTGAATGCTTTTGTCTAATAGACTGCTATCTAGTACTCTGCATTCTAAACTCCCCTGGATTAAGTAGAAATTTTACTAAGAATTGGTTATTTCTGTTTCCAAACCTTTTTTTTTTTTTTTTTTTTTTTTGAAGACAAGGTCTCACTCTGTCCCTAAGGCTAGAGTGCAGTGGCACGATCACAGCTCACTGCAACCTTGACCTCCTGGGCTCCAGCAATTCTCTCACCTCAGCCTCTTGAGTAGCTGAGACTACAGGTATGTGCAACCATGCCCAGCTAAATTTTTGTATTTTTTGTAGAGACACAGTTTTGCCGTGTTTCCCAGACTGGTCTCAAACTCCTGAGCTCAAGCGATCCACCCGCCTTGGCCTCCCAAAGTGCTGGGATTACAGGCATGAGCCACTACTCCCAGCCTCCAAAAATATTTATGACATTTGTACTTGATGCTGCAATTATGTAATTTAAGTATTATAAAAACTTAAGAGAATAGAAAAGTTGTTTCTACGGACACTGTCTCAGTCCATTTTGTGCTGCTACATCACAATACCCAAGACAGGTTAATTTATGAAGAACAGATTTCTTACAGTTTGGAGGCTGGGAAGTGCAAGATTGAGGGGCCCACATCTGGCAAGGGCCTTCATGCTGTGTCATCCCATGGCAGAAGGGCAAGAGAGCAAGAGGGGACTGAACTTGCTCCTATAACAAGCCCATTCTCACAGTAACTAACCTAACTACATAATGACACCAATCCATTCACGAGGAACCTGATGACCCAATCACCTCTTATTAGACCCCCATCTCCCAGTGTTTGCATTGGAGATTAAGTTTCGCCACATGAACTTTGTGAGACACATTCAACCCACAGCAAATATGATGAATCTTTCAGAAAGAATCAGTAAAAGCAGGCTGTTAAACAAAAAAATCCCTGCTGTTGAATTAGGAGGGGGTAAGAGAAAACAGATCTAGGAAGATTCTGCACTTGTATTGCTTTGAAAATGCTTTGCATTGCTTGTTCCACTTGAAGTGAAAACTCAGATTTAGAGAAGATTTGGATAACTTAGAGAAGATATACTACGGATGTGATTCATGCACTATTGTATGAAACACGAATCAGTAAGCCCAACTCAAAGAAAATGCCTGGGTCCTACTTCAGAAGAATGGCAACACCATCTTCCAATGCCTGTTGAAATGTATTGATTCAGGCAAAGAACATTAACAGATGCTAAAACTATTAGGGGGAGAGGTTGATGGAGAAAATAATATTTGTGTGGTGCTGAAGTATCACTCCACAGATCATTGCTAATCCCAAAGAAGAAAGCTTATCTCTAGAATGGAGCCAACTTGGCTGGGCGTGGTGGCTCACGCCTGTAATCCCAGCAATTTGGGAGGCCGAGGTGGGTGGATCACAAGGTCAGGAGATCAAGACCATCCTGGCCAACACGGTGAAACCCCACCTCTACTAAAATACAAAAATTAGCCGGGCATGGTGGCACATGCCTGTAATCCCAGCTACTTGGGAGGCTGAGGCAGGAGAATCGCTTGAACCAGGGAGTTGGAGGTTGCCGCGAGCGGAGATCACGCCACTGCACTCCAGCCTGGGTGACAGGGCGAGACGCTGTCTCAAAAATAAAAATAAAAAATAAATAAAATAGAACGGAGCCAACTGCAGTCACTACCTTAATCAAGTGATCAAATTTAAAATCATTAGTAGTGGATAACCAGACCATATGTACCACCTAAAGTATTGCACACCAAAATATATTTCATCCTTTATAAAGTATTACTGATGAAGGTGTTTAATGTAGTCAGGAATTTGGATCTAGCTTCCAGTGTACAGGAAATACATGGGATAGATAAATGAGTTAAATGATACAATGACAAAACAATCATACAAGCCCCAAATGTAGGGCACTCTACAAAACAACTAGCTTGGTTTCTTTAAAAAGCCAATATCGGCCGGGTGCGGTGGCTCACGCCTGTAATCCCAGCAATTTGGGAGGCTGAAGTGGGTCGATCACGAGGTCAGGAGATCAAGATCATCCTGACTAACACGGTGAAACCCCATCTCTACTAAAAATACAAAAAACTAGCCAGGCATGGTGGCACGCACCTGCAGTCCCAGCTGCTCGGGAGGCTGAGGCAGGAGAATCGCTTGAACCCGGGAGGCGGAGATTGCAGTGAGCCGAGATCACGCCACCGCATTCCAGCCTGGGTGACAGAGCAAGACTCCATCTCAAAAAAAATAAAAATAAAAATAAAAATAAATTTTGCTTGGTATTATCACAGTACTGTATTTGGTTACATCACAAAATGACTTTATTGCTTAGACTTATGAGGCATGAAATGGTATGTCTTGAATCTGTTTTGAAATATTTTTGCAAAGAAAAAAGATAAATGAAACCAATATAACAAAGCCATGATAGTTATTGAATTGGTAATGGGTATATTGTGGTTTATTGTCTATTTTCTCTACTTTTATATATACTTTAAACTTATTAAAAAGTCAGTATCATGAAAAAATACTCAATGTCATGAAAAAATGAGAGGAATTATTCTAGCTTAAAGACACCAAAAAAAGCATAATATCACAATGCAATGCAAAAATCTTGATTGCATCCTTGTTAGAAGAAAACCAACTACAAATGACATTTGTGGAACAATTGGGAAAATGTGAATATGGAGAGAGTAGTCAATGATTTTAGGGTACCCTAATTTTCTTAAGAGTGATGATGGAATTAGGTTATGTGGAAGAAGTATGCAAAAACAGTTTAGGATAAAGTATGATATCTGTAACTTTCTTTGAAATGGTTCAAAAAATTAAAAATTATCACATCTAAAAAATATATGTATATTCATTATACTAGTCTCAATTTTTACATTTTTGCACATTTTTATAATCAAAACAAGTTTGTCAAATGATTGCAAATTTGTTTTATTTCAAAATAATATTTAGGGTATATATAATTTTTAATGATTCCATCCTTTTGCTGACTTTGTTGTTTAATGGAAATCACATGGTCTGGATGTGTGTCCCCTCCAAATCTCTTGTTGAAATGTGATCCCCAATGTTGGAGATGGGGCCTAGTGAGAGGTACTGGATCATGGGGGTGGACTCCTCATGAATGGCTTAGTGCTATTCAGTTGGTGTTGGGTGAGTTCTTTTTTTGTGGGGATGGGGAGGGGGGAACAGAGTTTCACTCTTGTCGCCCAGGCTGGAGTGCAATGGCACGATCTCGGCTCACCAAAATCTCCGCCTCCCAGGTTCAAGCGATTCTCCTGCCTCAGCCTCCTGAGTAGCTGGGATTACAGGTACTCACCACCATGCCACACCCTCTATTTTTAGTAGAGATGGGGTTTCACCATTTTGGTTAGGCTGGTCTCGAACTCCTGACCTCAGGTGATCCACCTGCCGTCAGCCACCCAAAGTGTTGGGATTATAGGCATGAGCCACTGCGCCAGGCCCAGTGTTGGGCGAGTTCTTGCTCAGTTCACCCAAGATCTGATCATTTAAAAGAGTCTGGGACCTTGGCTGGGCATGGTGGCTTATGCCTGTAATCCCAGCACTCTGGGAGGCTAAGGCAGGTGAATTGCTTCAGTCCAGGAATTCAAGACCAGTTTGGGCAACATAGCGAAGCGCCCTCCCTACTAAAAAATACAAAAAATTAGCCGAGTGTGGTGGTGTGCACCTGTAATCCCAGCTACTTGAGAGGCTGAGGTAGGAGAATCACCTGAGCCCGGGAGGTCAATGCTGCAGTGAACTGAAATCATGCCACTGCACTCCAGCCTGGGCAACCACAGTAAGACCCTGTCTCAAAAAAAAATAAAGAGTCTGAACCTTCTCCTCCTTTCTCTTGCTCTCTCTCTTGCCATGTGATACATCTGCTCCCCCTTTGCCTTTCACCATGATCGTAAACTTCCTGAGACCCTCACCAGGAGCAGATGCCAGTGCCATGCTTCCTGTACAGCCTGCAGAACCATATGCCAAAATAAACCTTTTTTCTTTATAAATTACCCAGTCTCAGGTACTCCTTTACAGCAATGCAAATGGACTAATACATGAATCAACTAAGGGTAAGACAGGAGAGGACCCAGAAGGTGGTGTGATGATAAAAGTTTAACAGCCAGCTCTCTGGAAAAAGCTGATTTGTAGCATTTGGCAATTTCCATGGTGTAAGTATTCCTACCATGGCTGATCCCAAGTTATTAACAGTGTCACTAAACAGAGTTGGAAAGAGATAAGCACAATCAGTTTTTTAAGCCGGTATAGGATCCAGTTCTAACATCACTGGATCCAGACCATAGCAGGGGGACACCTTGTCTATAAGGTCACCAGCTGACAATAGGGGATGAAGAAGAAAGAGTTTAAACACAGGAAAAAAAGTATGATAGGATCTTCCTCAAAGAGCTGCTTTGAAGATTAAATAAATTACATATAAAATACTCAGCACAATGCTTGGCATATGAAATAATGACTAACTTACTAAGAACCTTCTATTACTATCATTTCCTAACCTGATCCAAAATCTAAAAGGTCATCTCAACAACTACAAACCCTAAGAAAAAGTTCCAAATCAGCACGCCCAGCTGACGCGGTAGAAACTGCAGTTTCACAGGTCTGTTTATATAAGAAGTCAGAATTGTGGCTGCTTCAGTCCCATGATGAAATTCCTATGACGCTTTCACTCACTCAGAATGCCACGTCTCACTTAAACACATTCATCAAAGATGAACAGAACTCTCTCTGACCTTAAAGAATTCTAATTTGGCCTTCAAAACCTTCTTTACCAGGAATTGATCTAACCATAGGCAACTATCTTTGGCTAAGATTACTACATATACATACACACA